>NC_000002.12:197489618-197792648 GCF_000001405.40 Homo sapiens | reverse complement strand
TTAGCAAAGCTTGATTTACTTCTTATCAATTTAGATAAATAAAAATATGAGCTCTAATATTTTATTCCCATATCCCTGGGGTACTACTGCTCTACCTCAATAGTTTAAGATAAAATATTGAATGTCTGTTATGTGTCATTACAGAGTTAAGTTCACAGTGTACAAAAATGAATAAGACCTGACACATATCTCTAATCATCAAATAAATGCAAATTAAAACTGCAATGATGTATCACCTCACATCTGTTATATGGCTATCATCAAAAAGGTGAAAGATAAGTGTTGGTGAGGATATGGAGAAAAGGGAAGCCTAGTTGGTGGAAATGTACATTTGTACAGTCATTTTGAAAAACAGTACAGAGGTTCTCCAAAAAAACTAAAAATAGAATTACCATATGATCCAGCAATCCCAGTTCTGGGTATACATTCAAAGAAACTGAAACAAGTACGTCAAAGAGATATCTGCACTCCCATGTTCACTGCAACATTATCCACAAAAGCCAAGATATAGAAGCAATCTAAGCGTCCATCAACAGATAAATGGGTAAAGAAAATGTGGTATATGTACACAATGGAATACTATTCAGCCTTTAAAAAGGAAATCTTGTCATTTGCAACAATATAGATGAACCTGGAGGACAATATGTTAAGTGAAATAAGCCAGGCACAGAAAGGCAAATACTGCATGATCTCACTTACATAGAGAATCTAAAAAAGTCAAACTCATAGAAACAGAAAAAGGGAGGACATTGGTCAAAGGGTACAAAATTTTACTTAGATAGAATGAATAAGTTTTACTGATACATTTCAAAATTGCTAAAAGAGTAGATTTTAAATGTTCTCACCACAAGAAAAATGATAAGCAGATGAGATGATGGATATGTTAATTCACTTGACTTAATTATTCCACAATATATACATATATCAAAATATCACATCGTACCACATAAATATATACAACTATGCACTTATAAAATATTTTTATTTGTCAATTAAAAAAAAGAACTACAGAACATCAGAGCTATTAAAGGACCAACCAGTGAGCTTTTTAGATTTGCCTACCACCAGGCTGGCAGAAGCTTCCGAGAGTGAGAACTTACAGTGTGCCAATGAAAAGGAATCTGTACTCTCACAAATTGTTATGGGAAAATCAATCAGGAGAAATCAATTAAAATTTAGAATCCACATATCCATTGAGGGGGAAAAGGAACAAAGAAAAAGGTTATCTGGCAATAATCAATTGTTCTTCACTCTTAATCCAGAAGGATGTCATAGTGGTCTAGAAGGACAGTTGTGTTCTAGCCATGAGCTAGCCTGTCTAAAGTACCAAGAAGTCTCCTAGTTTATATCTTAATGAAAAAAAAAGCCACCTCTTACTAAGCATCACAACTAAAACTTTCCTTTACAGTTAAACATGTCCAAATTCACTTCTGTGAGTTAAGGACAAGAAAGTAAGTATCTGATCTCATTCTACCGATAAGGATTAGAGGACAGTCCAGCTGGTGAGCCTCTTAATGGTCCAAATGTCTAAAGTAAGAATCAAATGGTGGGGACTTAGACAAAGTGTGGTATGGGGTGAGGCTTATCTGTTCATTTATTCCCTTATTCTACAAATATTTTTTGAGTTCATACTTTATGCTAGTCAGTAGGTTCTATATTGTATGTTCTTGTATCTAAGTAGTGCTCACAGTAAACAGCGTAAGCAAATAAATGAACTAATTTTTACCAAAAAAAATCCAATAAATCAAATATTGTTCTAGTCTTCGTCTCTGTAACAACCTCTCCAAGTCTAAGTGTTGTGCTCCCTGTAGGAGAAAAGAAGATCTGAGCTGTCCTCTTTGCTTTCTTAAGGCATTTTTTTAAACTCTATCCCTCACCTCTCCTATTTCAAACATCCAACCATTACAGAGAAAAAGAAAGCACCTAAAATCCTCCAAAATGAAACAATAAGTTAATAGATCTGGAAACAAGAAAAAAAATAAAATGGAAACAGAGGCATCTTCTAAACATGTCTTTTCATGTTGTTTTATCTACCAAGTTAAATCACTCCCTGGTCTGGGCTATCTCTGTACCTGGCAACTCTTCTACTGCCATGCTTAGCACAATGAATGTATAAACTTTTTACTTACTTAGCTGCTTCTTGCACTAGACCACAGGCTGCTTAGCTGCTTCTTGCACTAGATCACAGGCTGCCACTAGGTCTTGCTACCAGAGCAAGAACTAGGCCTTAATCATTGCTGTATCCCATGCCATAGCATAAAGCCTGCCCACAGGAGGAACAAAATAGTTATCCACATCTATAAACTAGAGAATGCATCCAAAGGGTTATCAAGAAAATGAGAGCCAGAAGTAGATATTAGGAGCTTCAATCTGAAGTTAGAAAACTCAAGAGGCAAGAAGGGAAGAACTGTCAACTAGGGAAGGCAAGAAAGAAGGGTAGTTGGGTAAATCCCTGAAACAAAGACTATGTTCTGAACAGATTGTGCGAAGAAAAAAGATGAGAAACATTGGGAACCTGGCAGAAAACTTAAGAAAATGGGATTTTTAGGTTTGCAATTTGTAATGTGCTATACTTTTATGTTTATCTTGGTAAACAGTATCTCCCATATGTGAAACCAGATTTCTGAATGAGCCTCACCAATCCCTCTCCATCATCACCCATGCCCAACAGTCTCAATTCCTCACTGGTATCTCTTTAACCTTTTCCCAGTGTTTGATTCTCACTCCTGTCACCTTTGTTCAGGTCCCCATTATTTTTCACTTGAATTGTTTTCTCCTCCAAATTCAACTATCTGTTTCCAGTCTGTGCCCCTCAAAAACTCTTCTTTGATATGAAAATATCTTCCTAAAATTTGGCTCTGATTATACAACTTCCTGGTTCAATCATCTTCAATGGTCCCTATTTACAAAGGTCTCCAGAATAAAATTCTCTTTATTGCCATAGTATAAGTAACATGACAAAGTGCACTGAGCCCGAACATAAATCATGCTACTGTAAAGACACATGCACACGTATGTTTATTGCAGCACTATTCACAATAGCAAAGACTTGGAACCAACCCAAATGTCCATCAATGATGGACTGGATTAAGAAAATGTGGCACATATACACCATGGTATAATACTATGCAGCCATAAAAAAGGATGAGTTCATGTCCTTTGCAGGGACATGGATGCAGCTGGAAACCATCATTCTGAGCAAGCTATCGCAAGGACAGAAAACCAAACACCACATGTTCTCACTCATAGGTGGGAACTGAACAATGAGAACACTTGGACACAGGGTGGGAAACATCACACCCCAGTGCCTGTTGTTGGGTAGGGGGCTGGTAGGGGGGGGATAGCATTAGGAGAAATACCTAATGTAAATGATGAATTAATGGGTGCAGTAAACCAACATGGTACATGTATACCTATGTAACAAACCTGCACGTTGTGCACATGTACCCTAGAACTTAAGGTATAATTTAAAAAAAGGAACAAAGTTTTGAAAATGACATCCACCACTTACTAGCAATGTGACCACGAGAGTCACTTTTACCTCTCTAAGACTCAGGTTTCCAATGAGAGAGAGAAAAAGAGAGACTAAGAAAAAGAGAGAACTAAGACTTAAAAAGAATGTGGCTAGCCCAGCATTAGGTACATGATGCAGGCTCAATATCTTTCCCTCAATTTTTCTGCCCAGACCAGCATTCCAGCCTTAACAATGCCCTTACCCAGCCCTGGACACTGTGCTCTATGATGCTATCCTCTGTTCTCCCACAGACCGTTGATCATTGTTAATATATCACTCAGCCTGTTATGCCTGTATTTTATTTTCTTATAAGCATATTTATATTATACTGTTTGGAGTAATTAGTTTTTTCTATCCTTCTAGATTTAAAATGCTTTGAGAACAGAGGTTTGACCTTGTTCTTCAAGCTTGTCCAACTGGTGGCCCATGGGCCGCATTTGAATGCGGCCCAACACAAATTCGTAAACTTTCTTAAAACATTATGAGATTTTGTGATTTATTTTTTTAGCTCATAAGCTATCGTTAGTGTTTATGTATTTTATGTGTGGCCCAAGACAATTATTCTTCCAATGTAGCCCAGGGAAGCCAAAAGATTGGACACCCCTGTTCTTCATCTTCATATCTCCCACATTATATTCCATTATGTACTGCACAGAATAGGAACTCTGTTAAGTGTCTACTAAATTGGGGTGCATTGCATAATTTTATGTGGTTTATCCAAGTTTTAAAGCTGAACTTTCCTTTTGGTGTAAGAATTAATAGTAAGAGGCAGAACAGAGAACTGCCACACTGAAAATAAAGTATATCCCTCTAGTACCCAACACCAGCCTTGAAATACAGTTAGCGTTCCCTAAATTACGTAAATTTTTGTCAGATTAAACACCTACTGCGCTGAATACATTTTTTAAGAGAATGTAGTTCTTGAAAATAAGTGTTTTTAGTCAAAATGTTTTGGGCAAGAGAGGATAGTAACATCTACCCAAATCCAGCAACAGTCCTAGGAAAAAAAAATGCCCAAAGAAGATTAGTTCTACTGGTATTGAACAGTAAGATTATTATGCTTTAGAATATGAGTTTTCATCTAAATAGGTTTGTATTCTCGATTTCCACAGAGACTGAAACCTGGTAAAATGAGCTTAAATTGCATGCAGAAATGTATAATGACTTTAGGGATTCTTCGGGTAAGATAAACAAAAATTGTTTCCCATTTTATTTTGGGTAAAATAATATGAAGAGCTAATCTTTGAATAAATCAAAAATTAATATATTCACTCTGTTTTTAATTCTATATCTTGAAGGCAAAGTAACCCAAAGTCAAACTTTTATAGTAGTGTGTACAATAGTTATTACTGGTGTAAATTTTAACAGTTGTTACTGCTGATTCTTTAAAAATATGTGGCAAAATGGTTATGATCAAGAACTGTGGGTTGGGGGGGAGACGAGGGTTAAACCTCCTACAGCTTTAGATCTTGACCAAATTACTTATCCTTCAAATCTCTGCTTCATCACGTACTATGACGATAATTGGAGCATCTATCTGAAAGGTTGCTGTGAGCATGAAAAGATTAAATGATACTGATCATAAAGCATTGTGCCTGAAACAAAGTGAGTACTTGATAAATGGCAGCTATAATAATGATAATCATTACTATAAGTTTATCCAGTTGTAATCATTTTAGCTACCTACTAGAAATACGTATTATTTACAAAGCAGTCTTCTTTCAGCCAGGCATGGTGGCGTGGGCCTGCCTGTGGTCCCAGCTACTCAGAAGGCTGAGGTGGGAGGATCGCTTGAGCCCAGGAGGTCGAGAATTCAGTGAGCGTGATCGCACCACTGCACTCCAGCCTGGGCGACAGAGTGAGCCTTCGTGTCTAAATAATTAGTCAACTGGACGGGCACGGTGGCTCAAGCCTGTAATCCCAACAATTTGAGCGGCCAAGACAGGCAGCTCACTTGAAGTCAGAAGTTCAAGCCTGGCCAACATGGTGAAACCCCGTCTCTACTAAAAATACAAAAATTAGCCGTGGTAGCGGGCGCCTGTAATCCCAGCTACTCGGGAGGCTGAGACAAGGAGAATCGCTTGAATCCGGAAGGCGGAGGTTGCAGTGAGCCGAGATCGCGCCACTGCACTCCAGCCCGGGCGACAGTGCGAGACTCCGTCTCAAAAATAAAAATAATTAGTAAATTAATTCATTAATTTAAGAAAAAAAGCGCAATCTTCTTCCAAAGGCGATCCCAAGGCTGTTGGAGGCTGAAACCGCTAAGTCGCCCCCTACCGCGCGGGTGGCTTCGTCCCGGACCCCTCCAGAGGCTGTGCCACTGCTGGAGGTGCTCAGCGGGGCCGGGACCCGCTTGGGGCGCCGTCCGGGGCGAGCACCGGAGCCCGACTGGGCTGAATGGCAGGTCCTGACCAAGCCACCCGCGCGGCCCCGCCCGCCTGGCGGGATGAGTGACGGCGGCAACAGGTGCAGAGCGGCGTCCGCGGCTTCTCGGGAGCCCCCGAGTTTTGCGAGTCAGGCCCCGAGAGTCAGAGTTTGACTCTAGAACCTTCTTCGCTTTACACCAGTCTTCGGAAGTCGCCCGTCAACCGGCTTCTTCTACCTCAGTAAAGCCTTAAGGTCACCTCAACCTCTCGAAACCCACCAGTCCCAGAGGCCGACTCTTCTCAAGTGGAGGAGAGGGGAAGGCGTGCATGGAGCTTTGCCTGACCGCTCGCTCTCTCCTCCCCAGCCGTCTGAGAGAAGGCGAGAGGGGTCCCAGAACCGAGCCCTCGCTCCGCACGCCCCACGCCCGCCCCGCTGTGCCGTGCGCTCTGCCCCTGAGACGCCCCGGCTCGGAGTCCCAGGGCCACAGCCGAAACTCGCCCTCCCGCGCCCCTCTCCGGCTTGCAGCGCCCGCCCGCACCGCCACCTGCCACCCGAGGCGACGCAGTCCGCTTCTCCCCACCCGCCAGGTGGCAGGTTCAGGGCCGGGGTCCGAGCCTGCTTCCCTGCAGCTGCCACAGCCACCCTCGCCGCCAGGGGGCGAGAGTCCCAGGCAGGACAAGCAGCGCTGCTGCCTTGGCGTGAAGGTGGTTTCAAACTTTAGGCTTCTTTTCCCTACCCCGCGTCTCTGAAGAGCAGAGAGGAAGATGGAAACCGAGTCCGGGCCGGTGAGTACGGCGATCAGGGCCCCAGGGCGCGGGATAGCGGGGAGAAGGAGCAGCGTGGAGCCTGTCCCTGAGGGCTTGGAGGGGCGAGGTGAAGGCCCCAAACGCTCGCTATCTGGTTGGGAAGAAACGTGGCCAGGTGCCCCATCGACCGCTGCCAGGAGCCACCCGCCCGCAGACCTCGTCTGGCTGTGTCATGGGGGTCAGAAAGGCGCCGCCACGGGGCCTGGACTGGGTGTAGACGGGCCAGGGGACCTCAGGCGTGGATGTTTCGGGAGGCGGCGGGCTGCCAGGCACCCAGCGAAGTCCGAGCAGGTAAACCGCTTTCCCGCCGAAATTGGGCTAGGCAGCGTCTTTGACGCTCCCTGCGGCCGAACTCGACCCAGCCGCCCAAGGCGAGGAGTTGCCAGGGCGGTCGACGCCTCCACTCCCCGACTGGTCAGCGAGGACCGGAAGGTCTGAGAGACCTGGCAGGGCCCGCCTGTGGCCCAGGCGGGACCCGGACACTCTAGCCCTGGCTGTGCACCCAAGCCAGTCAGGGTGGACTTGGGGAAGTGAAGGAGGACTGCCCGCACAGGCCCGAGGCGCAGCGGCAACGTGCCATCCCGCCCCGCCCCGTCCCGCCGCCAGCAGCCAATCAGGGAGCGCCGCGCGAGGGTGGGGACCAGCTGCGCACGAGGCCAGCGGCGGGGTCGCTGCCGTTGAGGCTTCCCGCCACTGCTGCTGGCGGATTTGTGGGGCAAAATTTCTCGCTGGCTAGCCTTCTTTTCCCTCCCGCACTTTGGTGGGGAGGGGGTGGATCCTCGTTTCGGTGCCCAAGTTCACGATGACCCGAGAGAACTCGAGGAAGTTGTCGCCGCGGCCATTTCCCCCAGTGCCGCAACTTGCTGGCCTTGGAGGGGGAGGAGCGCCGAGGCAGTGACTGCGACGGTTAGCCCGCCCGTTCCTGCTGTCTTCGTTTGCAAAATAGATGCTAGATCTCGAGGTTGATTCTCAAGGGGAGGGGCCAGTGAGGGCACATTGCTTTGGAGGAGTAGTTTAATAAACTCTCTAGTGCTGGAAGTTTTAGCAAACGGAGGAGCCTTCAAACCCGGCAACAGTCCCCATCTAGGTGTTTCCGTAACACATGCGGAATTATTGCTAGTGGAATTTCAGGCTTTCTTTGTTGTTTAACTCAATGCATCGCTAATTGTTTATAATGAACTTAGATGTTGCCTCCACCTGAGCCTTGCTATTGCTAACATTAAAATATTTTGTAGGCCTGGCGCGATGGCTCCCGCCTGTAATCCCAGCACTTTGGGAGGCCAAGGTGGGCGGATCACGAGGTCAGGAGATCGAGACCATCCTGGCCAAAATGGTGAAAACCCATCTCTACTAATACAAAAAAATTAGCTGGGCGTGGTGGTGCGCACCTGTAGTCTCAGCTACTCAGGAGGCTGAGGCAGGAGAATCTCTTGAACCAGGGAGGCGGAGGTTGCAGTGAGCCGAAATCACGCCACTGCACTCCAGCCTGGCGACAGAGCAAGACTGTCTCAAATATATATATATATATATATATATATATATATATATATATATATATATATATATATATGTATTAGACTGCTGTTATACTGTATTCTTTAGCCTTCAGCCTATTTGGCATATCATGAGCAGGTCTCTCCTGAAGAAATGATTCACTTTTAGTCATTCAACAGATATTTATTGAGCACCTGCTGTGTACTGTCAGTACTTTAGATGCTGCCATGAAAAAAGCAAAACTTCTGCCCTGGTGCATTACATAATAGTGGAGACAGATAATAAACATACTAAGTAAACTATATCGTATGTTAGAAAATGATGAGGGAGAAAACTTAAGCAGAGCGAGCCCACAATAGAGCCTTAGAGAGTGGAGGAGAATGAAGTGAATTGAGTGTGAAAGGTTGTTTTTCTTTTCTCAGGGAGTATCCTTTAGTTTCTCGAGATTGGAAATAAAGCACTGTTTACTTCCGTTCATTTCATCCTTCTCTCAATGAAATATAATGGGGTTTGTCTTTTACTTAAACTTGCGAACATATTAGTACATCTTATTTTCAATAAGAGAATTTCATGAAGAATGATTTTTTAAATTTAGCAAATAGGTAATTTTGACACTGTAAACAAATGGGCAGAAAGACAAGATTACATCTACTAGAGCTGTTATATTATCTCTAGCAATACAAAATCCATAGTTGAAAAATACTAAGCATTCCAGAATTACCCATTCTGAGCATTATATCCTACTGAGCGAAGTGACTGAAGTCACAAATAACCTCCAAGTGCCCAGAGAGAAAGCTGTTAAGATTAGATTCCCAGTTTCTTTCATTGGAAACTACAACATAGTAATTATTAAATGTGGTGGCTTTTCTGTGTTTTAAAAGAAGTATTTACATATTCCCTTATTAGGAGTACATACTTCCTTAAGGCTGGATGGGGAAGAGAGCCCATAAGGTCCAGCCTATAGCCCAATTGCCACTCCTGCCCTAGTCATTTCTCTGTACATCTTGCAAAGATTAATTTAGGGATTGTGATTGTATTGGCCAGAGAAGAAAGAGCAGAACAAATTTGAAAAAGAACAACTTTATTACCTGAGCTGGAGATTCATTTTCATGAGTTTGTTTCTCAGAGAATTGGAATTATGAACTTCAAGCTTTTGTTATTTTCTTTTTCTTTCTTTTTGAGATGGGGTCTTTCTTTGTTGCCCAGGCTGGTCTCGAACTCCTGATCTCAAGCAATCCTCCTGCCTCAGCCTCCCAAGCAGCTGGGATTACAGGCACAAGCCACAACACCCAGTTTACTTCAAGTTTTTTGAAGCACACATTTAGGATATTATGGGGTTTGTCTTTAGGATATTATGGGGTTTGTCTCAGAAGTGTGTTTAGTGTTTCCAGATGGAAAATAATTCACCAGTTCTTGAATTGGTTTCTCTTCAATGTGATTCTCAAGTCTTGGGTTTTTTTTCAGTTATACCTTAAAAGTCTATTATCTTACCATTCTGCAAAGGCTTATACATTTATATATATTTATTAAAATTTAAATTATGTCCTCTAACTTAGAATTGTGAACATGTGGATATGTACTGAGCTAATTCTTTGGAATAAACATTTATGAGCTACAAGTATATAATTTTTTAACAAAATCAGTCCAATCTTCAAATTGACAAGTGCATTTAAAATTTTGACTTTCAGGCTGAAAATGGTGAATGTGAATGTTAGAGTTTATTAACTTGTCGATGACCATTAGTTAAAGACCACCAGGAACACATGCGTCATTTAGTAAAGTTGGGTCTGTTAATTGTTCAAACAAGGGAAAACATAAACCATGGGGCCTCTCAATCAGAAGGTGTTAGAACTTACAGGATATAGGCTTCTGTTGAGCAATTTCTAGAGAGGGTTTAAGGAAGTAGGGCTTTACTCTGGAATGTATAGCGTCAGGAAATGGTAGTAATTCTATGATTGGATGTGTTAACTTTTATCTAAAAGGAAAGAAAAATGGATCGAGGCTAAAACTATAGCTGATAAAGAAGGAGCAGTCACTCATATCAGCCAGAATGGAGGGTTGTTTGGTTATTCTTGTGGTTTGGGCAATGCCTTTGTTTTTGTCAGCATTCAAACATGATTATGGAGTGGTCTTGTTTTTAATCTTGATCCATCAGAGTCACAGGGTGACTTTGTCTGATGTTGGTGTTCTGTTAACAAGAGAACACCACAGCCTAGCTGTGAGTGCCAGGCCAACTCCTAACAACACCAGGGTGTAGTTGATTGTGTCAGGCTGGGACTGTTTTCTCTTTCTCAAACATGTTCATGAGTTTAATATTCCCCTTAATAATTAAGTAATAGGTTTGATAATAATATAAGCATTTTAAGTAATATATTTAATATTTAAAATCTCTATAGTGGAGTAGATTCTGTGTTTCCTAGTTCTGTTGCCTTAAAAAGCTCTTAGCTCTAATTATAATTTTTATAATATTAAAAGTAAAGCCTAGAATACTATATTTTGCCTAAATGACTCTTCTTTTTGAAAAATATATGTTTTTGGTCTGCATCAAAAGCAGACTGCATTATACCCAGTGCAAAAAGTGTAAAAGAATTTTATTTTACAGCAAACATCAAACCAGATGCAAACAGATTCATTATCTCCATCCCCTAATCCTGTGTCACCTGTGCCTTTGAATAACCCAACAAGTGCCCCAAGATATGGAACAGTGATCCCTAATCGCATCTTTGTAGGAGGAATTGATTTTAAGGTACCTATTTATGCATGCAGTAAAGTGTATTTTTTCATTAGAAGTCTTTATTTCTCAGAAATTATTTCTTTGTGCAACTATAAAATAACATATTTGCATAATGATTAACAGATTTTGAATTATCTTATTATAAAGAATCTTTTCAACCAGCATGTAGGTTACATAAAGCATTAAAAACTGTTCAATGTCAGATATAAAGAAATTGATCCTCACTGACTTGCTGTGGGCTGCTAGCCACATAGTGACAGAGTGAGACTAGAAGCCTAGTTTTCTGTCTCATAGCTCCATACTCTTCCATACCAGAACTAATTATACTTTCTTGCCTAATATTCCAATAGCCAAAATAATTGATTATTATAATTTTCAAAAGAGACTCTATTTTTTAAAAACTTACTTTTATGAAATACTATTTCTTTACCCCAACTCTTATCTCAGATTCCTGAGCAACCTCCTAGGCATCTATTCTTTGCAAAGCACTTTCTATGTTAGAATTTAGGATTTGATCACCAAAAAAGTCCTGTGTCCTTGTCAGAATAAAGCATCTTAAAAGTAGTATATTTAAGCAGAAAAAAAAATAACTATTCGGTACTAGGCTTAGTACCTGGGTGCCAAAATAATCTATACAACAAACCCCAATGATGAGTTTATAACAAATCTGCACGTGTACCCCGAACTTAAAATAAAAGTTTTTTAAAAACTAATATATTTATATCATGTAATCAGCCATTCCACTGTTTCAAGAAAGCATAGTTCATGACATGATGTGCAGTGCCCCCCAGCCCACATAGGGGAGGTAAGAGTAAACACCTACAAGAAAGGCATGCATAGATATTTTAAGTGGAATACTCTTACTTTCAAATGGATATATAGAAGGATTTCCAAGCTTCTATTTTACATATTAGAAATTATAGGGAGAGTTATCATTTTCAACAAAAAAAAAACCTTCCTTATGCCATTAGGTGTGATATTTGACATTTATAACTATTTCCATATAACCAATCTGTTACAATTTGGGTGGAATTTCTTTTTTCCTGCACAAGAGAAATGTTACACTTAGTGTATTTGCCAAAACAATGAGTCTTAAACAAGTATATGATTGTTTCACTAAAAATAAAGTAAGAAAAATTATTTCTTATAAAATATTTATTTTTAAAAAGATTTTCTTTGTGGAAAATACTGATAGCTGGCAGAAATGTTCAATTTGGGAATTCATTTATATTACAATAGATTAGCATGTTTTTAAAAATAAGTTATCAATAAATATAAACATTTGTATGGCCAGGTTATTTTAGGTTACTGAAGCCCATCAGCTACAGCATGCACTTTGGAGACGGTTGTTATAATGCAGCCATAGCTTTAAGGTAATTGCTAGGGCTTCCTCCTGTATACTTATACCTTTTTCAAAACCACAGATAAAGGCCAGCAAGGAAATCATTTACTTTAATAGCAAGTAGTCACAGACTTTTTAACCTTTCATTTTTATAAGCAAACAGACTATCCCTCTTAATGCTTACTTTTCTTGACTGTCTCTTTGTCACTAAAGAAGTGGAGCTACAAAATTGAGGTAGTGATTATTCTACCAGAGAATAGTTGGAATTAATTTGTATTCAAATATCTAGTAACAATTCTTATTCTAGCATTGATTTCATTTTCTGTTAACTGAAATAAAAGTCATTCAGTTTTTCTTAGATTGAATCAGTATTTGTCATTATGCAGCTTAGCAGGCTTTATGTTACCAACTAAAAACCAATAGTGTATGTAAGTAGTGAGGTGGCAGTTGAACTCAAAAGGCATAGCTCTGCACTAAGGCATGTCTTTTTGCAGTGTATATAAAGAAATTTTTTTCTAGAGAAAAGTTACTCTTGTAGACAAACAGTTACAGCTAAACCAGGAAATGAAATTGCAATGAATTTAGTGTCAGTATTCTGAGAAAAGGTGATATGAGTCTATTATCAGACTATTTCAATTAAAAAAACAGACATGCCAAAACCATCTTTGTAGACACCTTGTATGCTTTAAATCTAATTATGATTCCAATTTTTATTTTATTATCAAAACAATGTCTGAATTTAGCTGAAATGTATATTGAGTACAGATAAGGAATCTAATAACTTTAAATCTTATAGTCACTCCATTGTTCTCACAGTTGAGTTCAAGCACTTTTGGAAATACATTCCTTTCCTAAAACTGACTTAGGAAAGGAGTTCCTGAGACTACTGATTAAAATAGAATGACTGGTGTAGGCCAACACAACCTAGTTCCACTGCCATGACTGTCTCTGAGCCACAAGAGCCAAAATAGTATTGTACCCTTACTATGGAAATAGCATTCCTAATCCAAATTGGCTTTTTAAAAACTGGCCAGCTAGAGAACAAGAATCATTTAAAGATTTCTTTAAATAGTGAGTTTTGTAGTTTTAAAATAATTCAGCTTACATTTTTATTGGCATATGGTAATTTAACAACATAGCTATTGCATAAAGCAAGATATTTACCTTGATTTTAATCACCTAGTGGTTTATGCACTGTTTTGATGATGAGAGGCATTTTTCATGCATCTTATCTATAACTTTTTCTGTCTCCAGAGCAAGCATGAGAATTATTCATCTTTTATCAACTAAAAATGCTTTTTAACGTTTTCTTTTTATGCCATTAGACAAACGAAAGTGATTTAAGAAAATTTTTTTCCCAGTATGGGTCTGTGAAAGAAGTGAAGATTGTAAATGACAGAGCTGGAGTATCCAAAGGGTTAGTATCACTATAGATTGTCTATGGAATTAGCAACTCTATTTTCATTGGATGACTAGGTTTTGTACGCCAGTTTACTTTGGTTCCATTTTCCAGCAGAGACCATCATGCCCTCTTCTTTCCTCCTACCTTTTGATTTCCTTGTGTGTGTGTGTGTGTGTGTGTGTGTATTTTGGAGGGAGGAGACACTGTAATATTTCTTAATTTGTTGAGAAGTTATTCTTGCATGGGTGGAGGGACCATTCAGTGGTAGGCAGCAAGCACTTAATGTAAGTAGCAGATGTACATTAGCTGAGGAATGAGAAGCAAAAGGAATCAGATTCTTTTGGAATTGTATCCCTGCTTTAGGCCATAGAGAGCTTTATTTGAAAACAGCTGACACCAAGAAATGTCTGTAGGTTGTGCCTCAGAGACCTAATTAGGGGACCAGTATGAGAAATATAATTCTAGTGAGAATGATTTTTAATTGCTATATCAATGATAATGAAAATTGAGAAGAAAGTAATAGACTGTGTCTTTAAATGTGTATAGAGCTGTTTCAGTGGAATGCTATGTGTACAAAGCCAAATTTCAGAAAGGAAAAAGATAGTTTACATAGTACACTCACTTAAGGAGTTGGACTGCAAAGTTAAAAGAAAATAGATAAGGCAGTAAAGTATTGTATTTACTTTCTTGAAAGAGAGACGAGACATACATATTTATAGGCATAAGAAAAGGGACCCATTGAGGTGGTATTGGTGAGAAACAACATTCGACAGATGGATATGCTGGAAGAGATGGGATTCTACAGAAAGGTTATTTATAAACAGATGAGATACTTCCTCAGAATGCCAAACAATATTAAGGTGAAGTGAGATTTACCTCTTTTGTTTGACTAACAGAATTTGCTATGTTTTGGTAATACCATTTTTTAATCATTGGAAAACATACATGGAAATGTAAATGTAAACTGTATTTTATGCCTTTTCCACTGGGTGGCGTGTGTGTTCTACCAAAAAAATAGCGTAAAACTAATTCCTTAACTTTTTAATGTTTGGGCAAATAGATAAAGAGAAATTCCTTTGTTTAAAAGAAGAAACTTTGTATATGATCCAGTAATTATGAATTGAAGAAAATAGTGAAGATATTTAGCATTACTCAGAAGAGTTTACTTAAGTTATCTAAATAGCAATTATGTTTTGAGAGATACATTTTTTCTTTCTTTTGTTACTTTTTTCTCTACCTATTGTGGCTTTTTGGACATGGAGCACATCATTTATGTGTATTTGTATCTTCAACATTATATGAATTGTGCTTGAAGTTAATTATGTATGAAAAACAGATGTGAAATCTGGGTTGTACATATTTTTAATTGATATTGTTTGGGAATATACTAATAATTACATTATCAGTTATATGTGCTAATAATAATAATTAAATAATACATTTACATTGTCATTCACCAATATAAGAAATTTTATTGTGTTGAAATTTTAAATTTTTTAGTTATTTTTCTACTTTGATTTCTCTTAGCCAAACTTCTATTAGTTTAAAAGGAGATTATTGCTCTGGATTGAAATTTATTGCATCCCCAATTTTTAAGCAACAGCATGAATCTCTTGTGCTTTTCTTTCCTGCATACAGCTGAGAGCTGAAGCTGTTTCAAGATCTCAGGGGTTTTTTTTCTTTTAGTTCCTGACTAAAAGTGACAGTGTTAGGCTGTGAATGATTCTTCTAAGATTCCCATGCTAGTGCAGCATAGAAACATGCCTACTCCTACAGTGGCCGATGATTTAAAAACAAAATTTTTAAACATTTTAATATAATTAATATAACATTCTAAGAAAATGATTAATTAGTAATAATTAATGCATTTATTTAGGTATGGTTTCGTCACTTTTGAAACACAAGAAGATGCACAAAAAATTTTACAAGA
Organism: Homo sapiens; assembly: GCF_000001405.40. Taxonomy (NCBI): domain Eukaryota; kingdom Metazoa; phylum Chordata; class Mammalia; order Primates; family Hominidae; genus Homo; species Homo sapiens. Next base: position 197,777,059 of record NC_000002.12, on the reverse strand, counting down.
GGTATGATCTTTTGGTGTATTTAACTTCATTTCTGGAAATTTTGTATTTGAAACTAATCTTTTCGGGGTTCAAATACAATAATCAACTGCTTTTTAAAAAAGGTTTGCATCTTAAGATTGGCATTGGTCTCTAGGAAACTTAATCTGCAGAAGAGCAAATTCCAAAATCACTACAAGTATGGTTGTGAAACTGTAATATAATGTTTCGCTTTATTTACTTAAATTAAGAACTTGGGGATATATCTTTTGCGAAGTGTTAATAGCATTTTGAATGTTTAAAAAACACTACAAATGTGGATTCCAACAGTGAGGTTATCTGAGATGATTTCCCTCCTGTGAAAAACATTATATAAACTAAGAATATTCACAGAAAAAAAGCCTATAGCCAGCAATTCAGTGTAATAACTTTAAGTTAAGGCAAATATAACATTTAACTTTTTTAGAAAAAAAGTAGAATTTGAATTGTATGTTATTAAAATCAAATACAGTCAATTCTTGTTATTTGTGGCAGTTATGTTCTCTAACATTGCTAGGAACACTGAATTAGCAAATGCTGAACTCCTCTTTCTAGGGGAAGTACAAGGTAATGTTCCCAAGAACCTCTGGTCACAATATTGCCATCAACCTATCAATATATAACCTTGTTTTATATGGTTTTCCATTTAAAGGCATCATATATAACAGATTACTGGTTCATTAACATTGAAGCCATGGCCAATAGCACTATAATTCATGCTTGAATTAAGCACATCTAATATATATATTCTCCATAATGCCTATGACAGTCTTCTTGTGCTAGCCAGCACTTCAACAATACACATGGGGGCCATTTTAAATAGCCAAATCACCAACAAAAAGCACAAAAATGGAGAAAACATGGCACTAAATAGAAAGCTCTCTCTTAGAGTATGAGCACTGGAACAAGAAGAAAGAATATCGCCTTATTTGACCTCAACTGGGAGCATGCGCATCAGGCTACTCAAATTTTCCGCCGCTCTTCACGTGTCCACTAATAACCTCAAAATTGCCACAAATATTAATTTTAGGATTACAAGTAAATTTTAGCAAGTAGGCAAATTCACAAATACAGAATCCATGAGTAATGAGGATTGACTGTATTACAAATGGAGAAAATGGGGAATTGCGGTCAGACCCAGATCTATTTCAGTCTGAAGACGGCTCTTTCCCACTATTCCTTGCTGCTTTGAAAGAATATTATAGTCTGAATTTTTGAAATTCTTTCTAACTAGTTTTTCCTTATTGATTTTATAAATAATAGTGCTAAAATAATAAAATAATTTCTTTTTTCTTTATTTTAGGCTGAAAAACTTAATTATAAGGATAAGAAGCTGAACATTGGTCCAGCAATAAGAAAACAACAAGTAGGGATCCCTCGTATGTATTGAGAACTAATGTATTTTTAAATATTTTTGCATGGTTCTTTTTTGAAATATAAGACTTTTTATAGAACTTTATTAAAAGATCATGTTTCTTTCATCTAATAAAGTTATTTTAGCAAAGTTGGTGGAAAAACTGAATATTTTTGCCACAAAATAATATATCTCAATTTTTTTGGCTGGGAAAAAATTTATATACATAAAGATGCTTAAGTATATTCCATGTAGTTACATCATTAAAGGAAAAAAAATCTTTCGTGATGAAAATATCATTTAATATAGCAAAAGTAATTAGAAGTAATTTAATAATTTAGACTTACTAATGAGAAAAATTTTAATTAGAAACTAATTTAAAATTAATCAGAGTAAAAATATTGAAAGTGAAAACATAGAACTAATATCAGAAACTCGCTGCATGCTGTGTACTGTAACCCAGCCAGGTGTGTCATAATTTTCAGGGGGACAATCCCTAAAGCTTTAGGAATTGGCTAAATTATGTATCTACCTTCCTCAAATTTCTCTAATGCTTTCAATTCTATCTTTCCTCACTCTTTCTACTTATTAAGTTAGGCATCTTTATAGTTAACTTTTTACCTTTAATATTTATTAAAATTCCTAACAGTCTTTGGCTAGAAGGAGAAATGTGATGTAAAATTTATAACTAACTTATTTTCCCTTAGCCACATCCTAGTGTCTACGGGAATGTTTAAAACATTAGGTTATTATATATAATCTGTTAACAAATTAATAGATTGTATTCATTTGGACTGTTATGCTTTTGACTTAGAAATAATAGATATTTGGTTAATACAGTTGCCACAACTACAACAAAAAAGAGATTGATGTATATTAAGTTTAATTTTGACTTAGTATTTGTTAATTTAGGAGACAATCAAAGTATCCTCAGTAGGTTAATACAAAATGGAATGCACTAAATATGGCAGAATGCTGAATATTTTCAATCTACTGTTGTTACTTGCAAAGGTTAAGCTAGAACATATAGTAACGGTCCGTTAGCCCATTATCACCAGCAATATGTACTAAATAGTAATGCTCATAGTATGATCTACCAGTTGCTGAAATAGAAAATAAATCAGCACTATGCTGAATGCTTTCACATATACAAATAGTTTTTTCAAAACTACTTAGTGCAAGGGTCAATGTTATGAGTTTTCATTTAATCTTCATAGAATCCCATGATGTATTGTTATCTCTATTTTTGTAAATAGAAAATTCAATCCCAAAAAGATAAAGTCATTGTTTTAAAAATGTTTCTGCTGAAATACTCCTAAAGGTAGAGGAGAGTTAATCTTGGCATGTTGTGGTTCCTAACCCACTGCAGCATACTGGAATTGCAAATTTTCTTTAAAGTCTCATGATTTATGCAAAAACATCATGTATAATTTGCATTCTGTTCCATAATATCATATTGTTTATTTGAATATAAAAATATTTCCCAAAAACAATTGAATAAAACTGATTCTGTAGGAAGATTACTATGTTCAGCCTCTGCTTTTTCATATCTCCTGGTATACCATCCATCCCTTATCCAACTTTAAGAAGTATGGGGTTAAATAGCCTAATGGTGAGTGGTAGCACTAGCCTTCAAATGCAGGACTGTTTGACTCCAAAGTTCTTTTGACTTTTCTGCGAAGAAAAATAGGTGTTAAAAGTACATTTACAAATAAGGGATTCTTATCTTAGTTTTTTCTTAGATCTGTCATTTCTTTCCATCTCCATTACCAACACCCGAGTCCCAACTAACCACTTTGTTTACCTTAATTCCTGGAAAAACATCCTAAGTGGTCTCTCTGAATCCAATCTTTCTACCTTCCAATCCATCATTCACAAGGCAGCCAGAGTGATCTTTCAAAAGTGCACCTCTTATTGTCTTATGCTCAGCTTATTTTGAGGTATTCTTCCCTTTTCTTTCCATGCTTTAGCCATGTAGCCTTCTTTCAGTTCCAGAACATTCTATACTCCTGTTCTCAGAATCTAATATACTGTTTTCTTTACCTAGAATGTACTTTGCCATCCAATTCATTCTTTAGAGCTTAGCTGAACATCATTTCATCACAAATTTTCCATATATATGTATATAGAGAGAAATTTTATATATGTTTTGTATACATAATAATTGAAATGTTCAGTATCGTACCCTATAATGCCTCATGTATTTATCAAAATTGTATTTAATTAATTAATTGTGTAATCAACTAATGACTATCTTCACTACCAGACCTAACTTCTTTGAGGATACAGACCATCTCATGTCTAATTTTTTTATTTTTTGCTGTATCACTAGGGCCCTGTTCAATGCCTTGAAATAGTATGCACTGAAAATTTATTTATTTAGCAGGTAAAGCATGGTTCATTTTCTTTGAATAATGAACCATTATTGAATAATGAACCATTATCATTATCTTTGAATAATAGTGGAATATCTTTTGGGGGGAATCCATGGACCTCCAAAATTGTGTGTAAAATTGTGTTTGACTGTATATATATCTGAGGAAAAGGTCCCTGATTTTCATCAAATTCTCAAAAGGATCTAATTAAGAACCATTAAAATAAATAATAACAATACTAGATCAAATGCAGTGAAAATATAAAAGCTGAGGAGCAATAGTATTATTTAAAGTGGTAGGCCCATGCTATTTGAAGTGTGGTTTGCAGACAGTGTCATTTCATTGGAAGCTGTCAAAATGCAAATTCTTAGGCCCTGTCCCAGATTTACTGACTCAAAATCTCTGAAGATAAGTCCCTGGAATTTGCATTTTAGAAAACAATTTAAGTGATTCTAATTTATGGGAAATTTTGAGAAGCACTGGTATAGGTGGAAGAATTGTCAGTTTCACTAATTTATATAACCTTGCTGGTTAAGACCTAATCTAATTTGGCTAATTTAACTTTTAAAGTCTCCTCAATGACAAAAAATATATATATATCTATGTATATTATTTACTGTTTTTTGGTTTGTGGTGGGGGTTTATATAACTTGGCCCGGGAAAAGAGTTGGGGACCCCAGACTAGCCACATGAAGACTTGCGGTCATGTTTGCAACAGCAGCAGTTGTAGCAAAGGGAGACTAGATAGAGAATAGATCATAGAAAAGAGAGATAAAAGACAGCCATAGCATGAACGAATGTTTGCTGGTAGGATATCCAAAGAATTAGTAGGGTGGAACCAAAATGTCTTCAGGAAAGTAGAATCTTCTCCAACTTTACTGCCTCCATCATCTTTGGACTTTCAGAAATAAAAGGTCTAGCCAAGACCTTAGGAACTTCACTACAGTGTATGTTGTCTTGAAGTAACTTTAAATTATACATAATTTATATTTGTACAAATAATTACTTCGCTGATGATAGTCTAAATTGTTCAGCTTTGTGTAGCATACTGGTGTTGGAATCTGAATTGATACATTTTTGGTATTTCTTATTCGTATTGTTTTTCTTTTCTTTTAATCATCTTAAACTAAAAGCTTTAAGGTATTGAGTTTAAAAATACAGGCTTCAAAGATACTTTGACATAAGGAATTTTTTAAAAATATCTGTGACATTCAATTTTTACCATAGCTACATAGGTATATTAAGATAAATATTTTTCTGAAGTGTTTAGAAACTACATTTTTAACAGTTAAATTGAACATTTCAATTATTATTATTTAATCTTTGCTTTAGGTTCTAGTATAATGCCAGCAGCTGGAACAATGTATCTAACAACTTCAACTGGATATCCTTATACTTACCATAATGGTGTTGCTTATTTTCATACTCCAGAGGTAACTTCGGTCCCACCGCCTTGGCCTGTAAGTAATTTCATTTAAAAAAGGATTTCCATCTATTACTATCAATTTTTTAATGTTTGTTATATTTCTGAAATATCTTAACCACAGATAATTACAAATAATAACACACATCAACCAAATTAAATAGACATCAACATTTTGCCACATTTACTTAAGTTCTTAAAATGGGGAGTAAAGTAAGACAGCTTCAGGTCAATTCTCCTTACCCCCACTTCCTTACCCTCTTTCCTGTTCAAAAGTAAGCAGAATATCTTTCCTATTCATTTTATATATTTTTACTACAAATATATGTATTCATAAATGACATATAGTACTGCTTTAGTGGTTTTTATTTTTTATTTTTTGCATTTCTTTTTTTTATATACTTTAAGTTCTAGGGTACATGTGCACAACGTGCAGGTTTGTTACATATGTATACATGTGCCATGTTGGTGTGCTGTACCTGTTAACTCGTCATTTACATTAGGTACATCTCCTAATGCTATCCCTCCCCCCTCCCCCCACCCCACAACAGGCCCTGGTGTGTGATGGTCCCCATCCTCTGTCCAAGTGTTCTCATTGTTCAATTCCCACCTATGAGTGAGACCATATGGTGTTTGGTTTTCTGTCCTTGCAATAGCTTGCTCAGAATGATGGTTTCCAGCTTCATCCATATCCCTGCAAAGCACACGAACTCATCCTTTTTATGGCTGCATAGTATTCCATTGTGTATATGTGCCACATTTTCTTAATCCACTCTATCATTGATGGGCATTTGGGTTGGTTCCAAGTCTTTGCTATTGTGAATAGTGCCGCAGTAAACATACGTTTACATGTTTCTTTATAGCAGCATGATTTATAATCCTATGGGTATATACCCAGTAATGGGATGGCTGGGTCAAATGGTATTTCTAGTTCTAGATCCTTGAGAAATCGCCACACTGACTTCCACAATGGTTGAACTAGTTTACACTCCCACCAACAGTGTAAAAGTGCTCCTATTTCTCCATATCCCCTCCAGCACCTGTTGTTTCCTGACTTTTTAATGATCGCCATTCTAACTGATGTGAGATGGTATCTCACTGTGGTTTTGATTTGCATTTCTCTGATGGCCAGTGATGATGAGCATTTTTTCATGTGTCTTTTGGCTGCATAAATGTCTTCTTTTAAGAAGTGTCTGTTAATATCCTTCACCCACTTTTTGATGGGGTTGTTTGATTTTTTTCTTGTAAGTTTGTTTAAGTTCTTAGTAGATTCTGGATATTAGCCCTTTGTCAGATGGGTAGATTGCAAAAATTTTCTCCCATTCTGTAGGTTGCCTGTTCACTCTGATGGCAGTTTCTTTTGCTGTGCAGAAGCTCTTTAGTTTAATTAGATCCCATTTGTCAATTTTGGATTTGTGGCCATGGCTTTTGGTGTTTTAGACATGAAGTCCTTGCCCATGCCTATATCCTGAATGGTATTGCCTAGGTTTTCTCCTAGGGTTTTTATGGTTTTGGGTCTAACATTTGAAGTCTTTAATCTATCTTGAATTAATTTTTGTATAAGGTGTAAGGAAGGGATCCAGTTTCAGCTTTCTACATATGGCTAGCCAGTTTTCCTAGCACCATTTATTAAATAGGGAATCCTTTCCCCATTTCTTGTTTTTGTCAGGTTTGTCAAATATCAGATGGTTGTAGATGTGTAGTGTTATTTCTGAGGCCTCTGTTCTGTTGGTCTATATCTCTGTTTTGGTACCAGTACTATGCTGTTTTGGTTACTGTAGCCTTGTAGTATAGTTTGAAGTCAGCTAGCGTGATGCCTCCAGCTTTGTTCTTTTTGCTTAAGATTGTCTTGGCAATGTGGGCTCTTTTTTGGTTCCATATGAACTTTAAAGTAGTTTCTTCCAATTCTGTGAAGAAAGTCATTGGTAGCTTGATGGGGATGGCATTGAATCTATAAATTACCTTGGGCAGTATGGCCATTTTCACAATATTGATTCTTCCTATCCATGAGCACGGAATGTTCTCCCATTTGTTTGTGTCCTCTTTTATTTCGTTGAGCAGTGGTTTGTAGTTCTCCTTGAAGAGGTCCTTCACATCCCTTGTAAGTTGGATTCCTAGGTATTTTATTCTCTTTGAAGCAATTGTGAATGGGCGTTCACCCATGGTTTGGCTCTCTGTTTGTCTGTTATTGTGTATAGGAATGCTTGTGATTTTTGCACATCGATTTTGTATCCTGAGACTTTGCTGAAGTTGCTTATCAGCTTAAGGAGATTTTGGGCTGAGATGATGGGGTTTTCTAAATATACAATCATGTCATCTGCAAAGAGGGACAATTTGACTTCCTCTTTTCCTAATTGAATACCCTTTATTTCTTTCTCCTGCCTGATTGCCCTGGCCAGAACTTTCAACACTGTGTTGAATAGGAGTGAAGAGAGAGGGCTCTACGCCAATAAACTAGAAAATCTAGAAGAAATGGATAAATTCCTGGACACATACACCCTCCCAAGACTAAACCAGGAAGAAGTTGAATCTCTGAATAGGCCAATAACAGGCTCTGAAATTGAGGCAATCATTAATAGACTACCAAATAAAAAAATTCCAGGACCAGACAGATTCACAGCCGAATTTTACCAGAGGTACAAAGAGGAGCTGGTACCATTCCTTCTGAAGCTATTTCAATCAATAGATAAAGAGAGAATCCTCCCTAACTCATTTTATGAGGCCAGCATCATCCTGATACCAAAGCCTGGCAGAGACACAACAAAAAAAGAGAATTTTAGACCAATATCCTTGATGAACATTGATGCAAAAATCCTCAATAAAATACTGGCAAACCGAATCCAGCAGCACATCAAAAAGCTTATCCACCATAATCAAGTTGGCTTCATCCCTGGGATGCAAGGCTGGTTCAACATCACGAATCAATAAACATAATCCATCACATAAACAGACCCAACGACAAAAACCACATGATTAATCTCAATAGATGCAGGAAAGGCCTTCGACAAAATTCAACAGCCCTTCATGCTAAAAACTCTCAATAAACTAGGTATTGATGGAACGTATCTCAAAATAATAAGAGCTATTTATGATAAACCCACAGTCAGTATCATACTAGATGGGCAAAAACTGGAAGTATTCCCTTTGAAAACTGGCACAAGATTTTTTCTTCTTTTTTAGTTTTTTGTTTTTTACTACAAGAATATATGCTATTTTTTATTTTTAATGCTATAGTATTGCCACTTTTCACTTCTAGATCTTAAATCTTGAATTTATGTATCGACTAATCCACCTATTTCCTGCTATTTTGAAATTAATCCTCTGCCAAACACTAAGTTTCCATGTGTGTGGGTCTTTTTTCTGCTATTTTGTTCCATTGGTGTATTTGTTCACCTTGCCCAGTTGTAATTATTTTGACTTTATAACGAGTCTTGAAATCTTAAAGTACATTGTTCATCTTCAGGAGTCTCTCATCTATCCTTATGTCTTTGCTTTTATGTGTATAAATTTTTTAATTCAGTTTGTTTAGTTCAGTGAAAAGCCCTTTTTTTTATTAGAATTGCATTAAATAGTGTGAATAACTTGGGACATTTCAGTATTTTAAAATATTGAATCTTCCTATCCATGAACATGATACATCTCTCCATTTATTTGTCTTATTTTACTTCTATCCATAAAAAAGTTTTCTTTCTCCATAAAAAAGCGTGACACATTTTGTCAAATTTATTCTTAGTAGACTATAGTTTTGTTGCTTTAATGAATGCTGTTTTTTAAATAACATTTCCTAATAGATTGTAGCTGGTGTATAGTAATGCTCTTGATTTTTCAATAGTGATAATCTATCAGTAACCCTGCCAAACTCTCATTTACACAATTATTTATGATTCAGTGTACTTCTATTTCTTTCACTTCTTTTTTTCCTGGAGTTTTTGCACTGACCATGTCTCTGCTACAGTATTGATGTAGTGAAAACATCATGACCTTGTTCTTGAAAAAGGGAGCAATTTCAGTGATTCACCATTAAACTTTACATGTATGCATGCATGTATACATACATATATAGACACACACACGCATACTTTGTAAGTGGGAAGATACTCTTAACCAGACTTTCTCAATCTTAGCACTGTTGACATTTTGAGCCAGATTATTTCTTTGCTGTGAAGGTCTGTCCTGTGCACTGTAGGATGTTTAGAAGTATCCCTAGGCTCCCCATAGTTATGATAATCAAAAATGTCTCCCAACATTGCCAGATGTTCCCTATAGGACAAAATCACTCATGGTTGAGAGTTACTGCCCTAAATCAATTAAGGAAGCCATTTTCTACCATGTTTGTTAAGAGTTTTTAATCATAAAAAGGTATGGAATTTTAACAAATGCATTTTCTGTCTCTGTTGAAATTACCATTTTTTCTCCTTTAATCTATTAATATGGGAAATTACATTATTATTTTCTAATGTTAATCAGTGATACAGTTTTATTAGCATACCATAGTCTGTGAATTGTACAAAACTGTGATACTTTTCCTCAGTTTCGGGGGTGCAAACATTAAACAAAACAATATAAGTTAGATCCCACATTAGACACTGAATTTTAATTGCTACATTAGAGCCAGTTTTACTATCTTGCAATACAACTTGCCTGTTTTATTAAAGATCTGGTTTTAAGTAATCTGTTTTGGGGCTTACTCTTTCACTTTGAATAATCAAGTGTTACCTGTACTTTTTTCAGCACAGATTTTTCACTTGTAAGTTTATCAAACTATTAACTCTTTTAAATGTCAAATTACTAAAATAAAAATAAAATATCTTTGCTTTAATTATAGGTATAACAAAGGAATAGAACATTGATTATTTGTAACTAGTGGGAAAATTAGATACGACTATTCATTCAGTTCTAAACACTATTATAAACATTAACTGTTTCCTGCTGGTCCCCACAATGGAAACAGGCAGCGTCACCCTAAGTCTTGCTGTCATTTTCCTCTAAGTATTCTCTTATAACTATATTTTCATAATCTTTGGAGATGGTACATTTCAGACTAAAAACAACTTTTCTGGTGATTGTTTTAGCATTACTATGGAAATGAAACCACGTAGAAGTAGAAATATTGTGATGATTTTAATAGACTTAGTAGAGTTGGTAATCATATCAATAAGAGGTAGAAAAATAATATTTCTAATCATAAACCAGAAGTTTACTGGGTTTAGGTAATAATTTGAGATAAATTTTATTGTGAGCTATTTTAAAGGCTTCTGCCTAATTTTTCTTTTTCCATCCTTTTATAGTCACGTTCTGTATGTAGCTCCCCTGTGATGGTAGCTCAGCCCATTTATCAGCAACCTGCATATCACTACCAGGTAAACATAAATTACAATTAAAATTCTCTCTGAAACTTTCAGTCCTTTCTTAGCTAACTTTCATTTATTTCTTTCTCATGCAACTACTTTGCTAATTACAAAGAGATAGTTCATTAGAGAAATGTGAATCAAAACCACATTGATATACCATCTCACACCAGTCAGAATGGCTATTATTAAAAAGTCAAAAATAGCAGATGCTGGCGAGGTTACAGAGAATAGGAACACTTATACACTGTTGGTTGGAGTGTAAATTAGTTCAACCATTGTGGAAAGCAGTATGGAGATTCCTCAAAGAACTAAAAGCAGAACTACCATTAGACCCGTTACTGGGTATATAGCCAGAGGAATATAAATCATTCTACCATAAAGACACATGCATGCGAATGTTCATTGCAGCACTATTCACAATAGCAAAGACATGGAATGCCTATCAATGACAGATGGATAAAGAAAATGTGGTACATATACACCAAGGAATATTATGCAGCCATAAAAAACAATGAGATCATATATTTTGCAGGGACATGGATGGAGCCAGAGGCCATTATCCTTAGCAAACTGACACAGGAACAGAAAACCAAATAACCACATGTTCTTACTTATAAGTGTGAGCTAAATGATGAGAACTCATGAACGTAAAGAAGGGAACAGTAGACACTGGGGTCTACTTGAGGGTGGAGGGTGGGAAGAGGGAGAAGAGCAGAAAAGATAACTATTGGGTACTGGGCTATGAAATAATTTGTGTAACAACCTCCTGTGACACGAGTTTACCTATGTAACAAACCTTCACATGTACCCCTGAACCTAAAATAAAAGTTTTAAAAATAAGTAAAATAAAATAAATGATTAGTTAGAAAATAAAAAATAAAAAAGAGATAGTTAATCCTTGGTAGTGTTTTTTTTTTAATTTTTTTTCATTGACAAATGATAATTATACCTATTCATGGGGTATGTAGTGATGTTTTGATACATGTAATATGGTGATCAAATCAGAGTAATTAGCATATCCATCATCTCAAACATTTATCATTTCTTTGTGTTGGGAGCATTCAATAGCCTCCTAGCTATTTGAAACTATGTATTATTGTTAACTATAGTCATCCTATAGTGGTATAAAACATTAGAACTTATTCCTCCTATCTAGCTGTAATTTTGGAGGTGTTTTGGATTTTTTGTTGTTTTTTTTTTAATTTTTATTTCCATAGGTTTGTGGGGAACAGATGGTATTTGGTTACATGAGTAAGTTCTTTAATGGTGATTTGTGAGATTTTGATGCACCCATCACCCGAGCAGTATACAGTGAACACAATTTGTAGTCTTTTATCCCTCACCCTCTTCCTACTCCTTCTCCCTAAGTCTCCAAAGTCCATTGTATCATTCTTATGCCTTTGCATACTCATAGCTTAGCTCCCACTTATGAGTGAGAACATAGGATGTTTGGTTTTCCATTCCTGAGGTAGCTGTAATTTTGTATCCTTTCACAAACCTCTCCCTATTCCTCCTTTCCCTCTATCCTTCTCAGCCCCTAGTATTCTTTTTACTTCTATGAGATCAACTTTTTTTTTTTGTAACACATGGTACTCTTTATTGTGATGCTCAGTGGAAAACATCTGTAAACCAGCTTACTGTAGTGATGACAGTTGCAACTCATGCTAAGGCAGTTTTATTATATAAAAAAGGGATTAGGGTAGGAGTTACATTCATTTCTTTGTGACAGCAATGGGACCTGAATTCAGAGCTTTGTAGGCATATGCAACATTTACATCACTTCATGATTTGAGAGTTTGTTTCCTTTAACAACAACAACAACAAAAATGCCTTCTTGCCATATGTAAGTCTAAATGCAGCATATACAAAAACAGGAATACAAGTAAATTCAGCAACCAGTGTAGACCAGCAGAGGATAAGCTACTCTCTTCTGAACATGGTTTGGAAGGCAGTGAAAAAGACTTGGAATTTTATCACTTATTACAAGAAAGGGGGAAAAATAAAACTTGTTTCTTTCAAAAATATCTGTGCAGGTGGCAGATTTTTGAGATCAGTGTTTTTTAGCTTCCATATATGAGTGAGAACATGTGTTGTTTAACTTTCTGTTCCTGGCTTATTTCATTTAACGTAATGACCTCCAGTTCCATCCATGTTGCCATGAGTGATAGGATTTTATTCTTTTTTATAGCCAAATAGTATTCCATTGTGTATATATATACCATATTTTCTTTATTCATCTGTTGTTGGACACCCAGGTTGATTTCATATTTTGGCTATTGTGAATAATGCTGTAATAAACATGGGGGTGCAGATGTCTCTCTGATACAATGATTTCCTTTTCTCCAAATAAATTCCCAGTAGTGGGATTACCAGATCATATGGTAGTTCTATTTGTAGTTTCTTCAGGGATCTCCATACTGTTTTCCATAGTGGTTGTACTAGTTTGCATTCCTAGTAACAGTGTATAAGAGTTCCCTTTTCTCTACATCCTCACCAGGGTTTGTTATTTTCTCTTTTTGACAATAAACATCCTAACTGGGGTAGATAATACCTCATTGTGGTTTTGATTTACAGTTTCCTGATAATTAGTGATGTTGATCATTTTTTCATGTATTTGTTAGCCATTTCTTTGTCTTCTTTTGAGAAATGTCTATTCAGATCATTTGCCCATTTTTAATCAGTTTATTTTTTGTTTATTTTGCTGTTGAGATGTCTCAGTTCCTTGTAAATTTTGGGTATTAATTCTGTGTCAGATAAGTAGTTTACAGATGTTTTCTCCCATTCAACAGGTCGTCTGTTCACTCTGTTGATTGTTTTATTCACTGTGCAGGAACTTTTTAGTTTAATATAATCAAACTAATGGGATGAATTAGGGAGAATTCCCTCTGCTTCAATTTTTTGGAATAGTTTGGGAAGATCTGGTATTCTTCTCTAAAGGTTTGGTAGAATTCAGCCATGTAGTTCTGGACTTTTCTTTGTTGGAAGACGTTTTAATTACTGATTCAATCTTGTTACTTAAATTTGTTTCTTAAGGTTTTCTTTCTTTTTTTTTTTTTTTTTTAAGACGGACTCTCTGTCGCCCAGGCTGGAGTGTGCAGTGGTGCAATCTCTGCTCGCTGCAAGCTCCGCCTCCCAGGTTCATGTCATTCTCCTGCCTCAGCCTTCCGAGTAGCTGGGACTACAGGCGCCCGCCACTACACCCGGCTAATTTTTTGTATTTTTAGTAGAGACGGGGTTTCACCCTGTTAGCCAGGATGGTCTCGATCTCCTGACCTCGTGATCTGCCCGCCTCGGCCTCCCAAAGTGCTGGGATTACAGGCGTCAGCCACCGTGCCCGGCCTTGTTTCTTAAGGTTTTCAATTTCTTCAGTCTTGGTTTAGTCTTGGCAGATTGTATATGTTCAGGAATTTATCCGTTTCTTCTAGGTTTCCTAATTTATTTGCATAGAGTTGTTCATATTAGCCTCTAATGATCCTTTGTATTTCTGTGGTATTCATTGTGGTGTCTTTTTCATTGCTGATTTTATTTATTTGGGTCTACTTTCTTTTTTTTCTTAGACTAGCTAATGGTTTGTCGATTTTATCTTTTTAAAAAGTCAACCTTTTGTTTTGTTAATCTTTTGTATTGTTTTGTAGTCTCAACATTGTTTATTTCTGCCCTGATTATTACTATTTCTTTTCTTCTACTAATTTTGGGTTTAGCTTGTTCTTGCTCTTCTAGTTCCTAGAGGTACATTGTAAGGGTGTTTATTTGAAATATTTCTAGTTTTTTGATGTAAGCATTCATTGTTATAAATTTGCCTCTTAATACTGCTACTGTTGTGTCCCATAGGTTTTGGTATGCTGTGTTTCTATTTTCATTCTTAATTTCTTCCTTCACCCACTGGTCATTCAGCAGTATGTTGCTTAATTTCCATGAATTTGTATAGTTTTGAATGTTTTTCTTGTTATTGATATCTTGTTTTATTCCATTGTGGTCAGATAAGATACTTTATATAATTTCAGTTTTTTTTAATTTTTTGAGACTTGTTTTGTTTCCTGAAATATGGTAATTCTGGAGAATGTTTTATATCCTGATGAAAAGAAAGTATATTCTGCAGCTGTTCAGTTAAATGTTCTCTAAATGGCTGTTAGGTCTGTTTGGCCTATGGTGCAGTTTAAATCCATGTTTCTTTGTTTCTTTTCTTTTTTTCTTTTTGAGAAGGAATCTCGCTCTGTCACCCAGGCTAAAGTGCAATGGCATGATCTCGGCTCACTGCAACCTCCGCCTCCCAGGTTCAAGCAATTCTCCTGCCTCAGCCTCCTCGGTAGCTGGGATTACAGTTGCATGCCACCACGCCTGGCCAATTTTTGTATTTTTAGTAGAGACGGGGTTTCACCATATTGGTCAGGCCGGTCTCGAACTCCTGACCTTGTGATCTGCCCACCTCGGCCTCCCAAAGTGCTGGCACTACAGGTGTGAGCCACTGTGCCCGGCCTGTTTATTTTCTTTCTAGATAATCTGTCCAATGCTGAGAGTGGGGTGTTGAAGTCCCCAACCACTATTTTATTGGGGTTTCTCCCTCTCTCTTTAGATCAAATAAGACTTGCTTTATATATCTGGGTGCTTTTTGTTGGGTACATATGTATTACATTGTTATATTCTCTTGCGGAATTGATCCCTATATTATTATATAAATGTCCTTCTTTGTCTCTTTTTAAAACTTTTAACTTGAAGTTGGTTTTGTCTGATATAAGTATAGCTACTCTTGCCTGCTTTGGTTTCCATTTGCATGAAACATGTCTTTCCATCCCTTCACTTTCAGCCTATGTGTGTCTTTACAGGTAAGGTGAGTTTCTTTTAGGTAGCATATAGTTGGGTCTCTTTTTTTAATATATTCAGCTAGTCTCTATCTTTTAAATGGAGAATTTAACCCATTTGCATTCAGGGTTATTATTGATAGGTGAGGACATCCTGTCATTTTATTTATCATTTTCTGGTTATTTTGCATATCTTTTGTTCATTGTTCCCTCTCTTTTTGGTGATTTTTTGCAGCTGGGTTCTCTGTAATTATAAGGCTTGATTCTTTTCTTCTTTTTGTCCTTTGTGTAATGGCTGTCCCAGTGAATTTTATAGTTTTGCATGTTTCATGATCGTTGTTACCATCCTTTCACTTCCTGATGTGAGACTCCCTTGAGTATTTTTTTTGTAAGGCCAATCTAGTGGTGATAAATTCTCTCAGTTTTTGCTTGTCTATGAAAGAGCTGGTTTTTTTAGAGACAGAGTATAGTGACATGATCATAGCTCACTGCAGTGTCAAACTCGTGAGCTCAAGTAATCCCTCCCACCTTAGCCTGCCACACAGCTGAGACTACAGGCATGTGCCCTGCCTGCTAATTTTTTTTAAGAGATAGGGTCTTGCTATGTTGCCCAGGCTGGTCTCAAATTCCTGGGCTCAGGCAATCTTCCTGCCTTAGTCTCCCAAAGCACTGGGATTACAAGTATGAGCCACCACACCTGGCCTTGTGAAAGATCGTATTTCTCCTTCATTTCTGAAGGATAGCTTTACTGGGTATAATATTCTTGGCTGGCAGGTTTTTTTCCTTCAATATTTTGAATATATCTAAATATATCATCCCATTCTCCCTGGTAAGATTTCTGCTAAGAAATCTGCTGTTAGTATAATGGGGATTCCTTTAATTGTGACTTGATACTTTTTTCTTGCTGCTTTTAAAATTCTTTCTTTCTCTTTGACTTTTAACAATTTGACTATAATGTGCCTCTGAGAGGATCTGTTTAGATTGAATCTGCTAGATTCAACCTATCTGCTAGGGTAGTCTCTGTTTAGTCTCTTAAGCTGTAATACTCTCTAGTTGTGTTTCCAAGTTTCTCAGTGACCTAGCAAAAGAGAGTCTATGACAATGGTGGTAGGGCTTTGCCAGGGGTGGGCTTGCTGAGCTGTTCCTCAGGTCAGGGCTGTGTACATGAACATGGTAAGTCTGGCTCACTGGGCTTGGGGCCACAGGGCTGTTACTCTGGCTGAGAGCACAGGCATGCAGTTTCTCAGCCAGCCTGGAGGAGTGCCCACCAGAGGCAGCCTGTGGGGCTGTTTCTCAGGTCTGGTATGCAGGCACATGGCTCCTTCGCTGGCCTGGGGGTGCATCTGCTGGGGACAGCCCATGGGACTGTTTCTCAGGCCTGGAATACAGCTGCATGGCTGTTCAGTCGGCTAGGGACATGTTTGTCAGGGGCTGTTTCTCCGGCTCAGGATGCAGGTGCACAACTGCTCACCTGGCCTAGGGGCATGTCTGCTGGGGGTGGCCCACGGAGCTATTTCTCAAGTCTGGGACATAGGCACAGGGTGGATCACCCGGCCTGGAAACGTTTCTGTGAGGGCTGTTTCATAGGCCCAGAATGCAGGCACAGGGCTATTGGTCGGCCTGGGATCATGCCCACTGGAAGCAGCCTATGGGGCTGCTTTTCAGGCCTGGGACACAGGCTCCAGGCTGCTCAGCTGTCCTGGGGACGTGTCTGCTGGAGGGGTGGGCACGAGGCCATTTCTTAGGCCTGAGGCATGGACACACAGCCACTCCACTCCCCTGGGGACATTTCTGCCAGTGGCAGTCCCCGGAGCTGTTTCTTGGGCTCTAATTGCATGCACAGGGTAGGTCAGGGGCTTGTCTGCAGGGCGTGAGGCACCTCTGGGCTGTTTCTCAGCCCTGTATGCAGGTGTGTAACCATTCCATCCCGGCAGCATGTCAGCTACTACGAGGCTTGAGGACCTGTCCTGCTCAGGAGAGTGCAGCAGTTTGACCAGCTAAAGAGTGGGTTCACCCTGGGCAGGTCAGCCAGATTGTTCCTCTAGCTGGAGGTGAGGGCAACAGACGTTGGTTTCCCTACTGTACAGAACCAGAATCACAGCCAATCTTGAGCCTCAGGTTCCATGCTGCTGAGGTTGTGTTCAGCCACTGGTGTGTACTTGGCAGAATGAAAATGGAACCCCAGTACTGGAGACGTGCAATAGCTACTGGCCCCCTAGAGATGACTATGGCTTCAAGATGCTGTCACGCTGTAGCAGCTTCGCTCACAGGGTGGGGTTGAGGGGGTGGGGAGTACACACTTTGTACTCCTAATTCGGGGCAATGCAGCCACGAATTCCCAGCAGCTCTTCAAACTGTGAGACTGTGGGATTCTCCTGTTGCAAGGAGTGTGGCTGTTTGCAGTAGCAATGCAGGCTGGTGGGGATCTTCTGCTTACCTTTTCCCTGCAATAAGAAACTGCAGGACTCCAGGCAGAACCAATCCTAGCAGAAGAGAAGGGTTTGCAGAGGCTGGGTGGCTCCATGCTGCGCTCCTGGATTTGCAATCACCACAGGTGTGTCTCCACTCCCCTGCGGCACTCCAGCACTCTCCTTTTGATGCTCCTGTCAAATTGTAGCTGTTTATTCTTTGCCTTAGTCTTTTCTTGTGGCGGGGTGGGGAGCCAGTGGAAAATGAATGCTAGGCATCTCTGGTCAGCCATCTTGCTGACATCATGCCTCTCTTTTTTTACGAGGGAATTAAACAATGTCATACAAGAAGATGGATGGACTCTTTGCTTCCTTTTACCAAATGTGATGAGGTCAGTTTTGCTCCCCTGGCTAACATTTAGATCTAAAAAGTCTTTAGCAATAATTCCCCAAGTAAGATACAGGTATTGGACTGCAAGCTGGTTTTTTAATGTTAACATATGTCAGTTTCTTGCTATATTATATTTAACATAATTTATATTAAAGCAAATAATATATTGTGGTTTATTATATATTATGATATCCTCTTTCAGTTAACCAGCACTCTTCATTAATTTTAGTGAGAAATTGGGGATAAGTGAACTATAATGCCAGATCATTCTGGTCTATAGCAGGGTCATCAAACTATGGCTTGCAGACCAAACTCCAGCCAGCAGCCTGTTTTTGTAAATAAAACATTATTGGAACACAGCCACATTTGTTTACTTATTGTCTATGGCTGTTTTTGTGCTACAGTAGATGAGTTGAGTCTTCTTTTTCCCCTTATCCCAGTGCTAGGCAACCAGTAATCTACTTACCTGTTTTTCTAGATTTGCCTATTCTGGATATATCCTATAAAAACAATCATACAATATGTGGTCTTTTGTGACAGGCTTCTTTCATTTAGCATAATGATTTCAAGATTTATCTATGTCATGATAAATGAGACATGACATATCTCAGTACTTCGTTCTCAAATAATATCCCATTGTATGGATACACTGTACCACATTCTGTTTATCCATTCATCAGATGATGGACACTTGAGTTGTTTCTACTTTTTGACTGTTATAAATGATACTGCGATGGACATTCACATACAAATTTTTATGTGAACACATATTTTTATTTCTCTTAGGTTTTATAACTAGAGTGGAATTGCTGGGTCATACGGTAACTTTGTTTAACCTTTTAAGGAAGTGTTTATTTTCCCAAAGGGCTGCGCCATTTTACATTCCCACCAGCAGATTATGAGGGTTCTAATTTCTCCACGTGCCCGTCAACATTTATGATCTACTTTTTTGATTAAAGCCATCCTAGTAGGTATGAAGTGATGTTGTATTATGGTTTTGATTTGTATTTCCCTGAAGGCTAGTGGTGTCGAGCATTATTTCTTGTGTTTATTGGCCATATGTATATCTTCTTTGGAGAAAAGTCTATTCATATCATTTACCAATTTTTAAGTTGGGTTACTTGTCTTTTGATTATTGAGTTGTAAGAGTTCTTTATACATTCTTGATATAAGTTCCATGTTTTCTCTCATCCTGTGGGTTGTATTTTCACTTGCACAAAAGTTTTTTAAAGTTTTGATGAAATCTAATTTAACTATTTTTTGTTGTTGCTTTGTTGTTTATGCTTTTGGAACCATAATTTTAAAAACATTTCCTAATTCAAGGTCACAGGCATTTACACCTATGTTTTTTTCTAAGAGATGTATAATTTTAGCTCTTACATTTAAGTCTCTGGTCCATTTTGAGTTAATTTTTGTATATGGCTTGAGTTAATTTTTGTATATGGTGTGAGGGTCCAACTTCATATTTTTGCCTGTAGATATCTAGTTTTAACCCTTGTTTATAATCAGAATGGGTTTTTCTTTTCTTTTATTTAATTTTAGGCCACCACACAGTATTTACCAGGACAGTGGCAGTGGAGTGTTCCTCAGGTAAATGTTAACTTTCAATATATAATTTTAAATCCTTCTTTCATTATATTCTTGTGATGACTGCATGAATACTAAAGTTTTTTAGATTTGAGACCTTCTTCTTCTGTTTATTAACTTATTCTTTTGGCAGTTCATTTTCAGTTTCTTCATTTGTAAAATGGATATAATGATACTATACCTTTGTAAGTTTCCTTACATGATTTTTGTGAATATCAAATGATAATGCATAAGTGAAAGCATTTTATAAATGTGTACTGTATAAACATGAAAACTTACCCTTTTTTACTATTAGTGTTATTTGAAAATTTAGCATTTTTCTAACTTCATTTGGATTTGGCTTCAGTTTTTATTCTGTTCCTAAATAAGTATTCTATTTCCCAACTTTTGGTAACAAATAGTACTTCACCAAAAAAGTTTCACATTTTCCCACTTTCATTAGAAGTCACAGAGCTGAGAGTAGACATTTATGTCAATTTAAATACCATAGATCACATTATCACAACCTTTACTGGTGACATTAATATAACCATAATTATTATCTGAATTTATATATGAGGTTCTCAGTCATTAAGAAGTTCTAGTGCTTACCAATGATAAGATTCTTTAACTACATCTACACAGTTGGAATTTATAACAGATCAGTTTCTAATCCGTTGCTGAGATACTTCTGTGCTATTCCTAAAAAAAAATTTAGTAAAATAAAAAACAAGTACTTCTCTCATCTGTTGGCTAAGTCATTTGGTTTAACAGAAATAACTAATCATATTTGAATTAGAAATATGGTTTTGTATTTTAGCCTTCTGCCTCTTCTGCTCCATTCTTATACCTGCAACCTTCTGAGGTTATTTATCAACCAGTGGAAATTGCACAGGATGGTGGATGTGTTCCTCCTCCACTGTCTCTGATGGAAACTTCAGTTCCAGAGGTATGTATTAGTCTTAAAGTAATTGATCTATAACTACCTCATGTTAACATTTATTTCTTTTTCTCTTTTTTAAATTTGTTCACGACCCTCATTGAAACTGCTTCATCTTTGTTTTGTTGATTTATTCAAATCTCTTCCCCTTTCTTATATCTAAGAATGCATCATCTTAGACTTTTTCGCTAACTAGTTCTGAACCATTTCCCAAATCAACCATTCACTCCACTAAGCTAATCTTTGATTTGATCTTTTTGAAATAGTAAAATTCCAAATACTCTGCATTCTCATTTTGCCTGTCAATCTGTATTGTTACTAACATTCTATTAGTCAAAAGCATATAATTAAGATGAAGAAGAAAAAAAATCTTTAAAAAAATTCTTCCTACAAAAATGTAAATTAAATTTATAATTACAAATTTTAATATCCTCTTCAGCATCTTTAAATTATATTTCTGATCCGTTACTTATAGCTTCACCATCTGTATGCCAGGAACTGTGCATGGTATGTTTTATTTTATATTTTTTATTTTATATTATTTTAAGTTCCAGTACATATGTGTAGGATGTGCAGGTTTATTACATAGGTAAACCTGTGCCATGTTGGTTTGCTGCATCTATCAACCCATCACCTAGGTGTTAAGCCTGGCATGCATTAGCTATCTTTCCTGATGCTCTCCCTTCCCAGCCCCGACACGTCCCAATGTGTGTTGTGCCCCTCCCTGTGTCCATGTGTTTCTCATTGTTCAGCTCCCACTTACAAGTGAGAACGTGCAGTGTTTGGTTTTCTGTCCCTGTGTTAGTTTGCTGAGGATAATGGCTTCCAGCTCCATCCATGTCCCAGCAAAGGACATGATCTCTTTCCTTTTTATGGCTGCATAGCATTCCATGATGTATATGTACCACATTTTCTTTATCGAGTCTATCACAGATGAGCATTTGTGTTGATTCCATGTCTTTGCTATTGTGAATAGTGCTGCAATGAACATACACATGCATATATCTTTATAATAGAATGATTTATATTCTTTGGGTATATACCCAGTAATGGGATTGCTGGGTCAAATGGTATTTCTGCCTCTAGGTCTTTGAGGAATCACCACACTGTCTTCCACAATGGTTGAACTAATTTACATTTCCACCAACAGTGTAAAAAAGCGTTCCTGTTTCTCCACAGCCTCACCAGCATCTGTTGTTCCTTGACTTTTTAATAATCGCCATTCTGACTGGTGTGAGATGGTATCTCATTGTGTTGATTAGCATTTCTCCAATGATCAGTGATGCTGAGCTTTTTTTATGTTTGTTGGCTGGATAAATGTCTTCTTTTGAGAAGTGTCTGTTCGTGTCCTTTGCCGACTTTTTAACGAGGTTCTTTGTTTTTTTCTTGTGAATTTGTTTAAATTCCTTGTACATTATGGATATTGGACTTTTGTCAGATGGATAGATTGCAAAAATTTTCTCCCATTCTATAGGTTGTCTGTTGACTCTGATGATAGTTTCTTTTGCTGAGCAGAAGCTCTTTAGTTAATTAAATCCCATTTGTCAATTTTTGCTTAGTTGCAATTGCTTTTGATGTTTTCATCATGAAGTCTTTGCCCGTGCCTGTGTCCTGAATGAATAGTATTGCCTATATTGTCTTCTATGGTTTGTGTGTGTGTGTGTGTGTGTGTGTGTGTGTGTGTGTTTTGGGGTTTTTTTGTTTGTTTTTTGTTTTGTTTTTTGAGACGGAGTCTTGCTCCATCGCCCAGGCTAGAGTGCAATGGTGTGGTCTCGGCTCACTGCAACCTCCACCTCCCAGGTTCGAGTGATTCTCCTGCCTCAGCCTCCTGAGTAGCTGGGACTACAGGCACGTGCCACCATGCCCAGCTGGCTAATATTTTCATATTTTTAGTAGAGACGGGGTTTCACCGTGTTGGCCAGGATGGTCTCGAGCTCCTGACCTCATGATCCACCTGCCTCGGCCTCCCAAAGTGCTGGGATTACAGGTATGAGCCACTGCACCCAGCCCTTCTGTGGTTTCTATAGTTTCGGGTTTTACATTTAAGTCTTTAATCCATCTTGAGTTAATTTTTGTATAAGGTGTAAGGAACGGGTCCAGTTTCAATTTTCTATATATGGCTAAACAGTTTTCCCAGGACCATTTTTTTTTATTATACTTTACATTCTGGGATACATATGCAGAACGTGCAGGTTTGTTACATAGGTATACATGTGCCATGGGGGTTTACTGCACCCATCAGCCCATCATCTACATTAGGTATTTCTCCTAATGCTATCCCTCCCCGTGCCCCCGACCCCCTGACAGGCCCTGGTGTGTGATATTCCCCTCCCTATGTCCATGTGTTCTCATTGTTCAACTCCCACTTATGAGTGAGAACATGCAGTGTTTGGTTTTCTGTTCCTGTGTTAGTTTGCTGAGAATGCTGGTTTCCAGCTTCATCCATGTCCCTGCAAAGGACATGAACTCATTCTTTTTTATGGCTGCATAGTATTCCATGGTGTGTATGTGCCACATTTTCTTTATCTAGTCTATCATTGATGGGCATTTGGGTTGGTTCCAAGTCTTTGCTATTGTAAATAGTGCTGCAATAAACATACATGTGCATGTGTCTTTATAGAAGAAAGATTTATAAACTTCTCAATATATACCCAGTAATGGGATTGCTGGGTCAAATGGTATTTCTGGTTCTAGATCCTTGAGGAATCGCCACACTGTCTTCCACAGTGGTTGAATTAATTTACACTCCCACCAACAGTGTAAAAGCATGCCTATTTCTCCACATCCTCTCCAGCATCTGTTGTTTCCTGACTTTTTAGTGATCGCCATTCTAACTGGCGTGAGATGGTATCTCATTGTGCTTTTGATTTGCATTTCTCTAATGACCAGTGATGATGAGCTTTTTTTCATATGTTTGGTGGCCACATAAATATCTTCTTTTGAGAAGTGTCTGTTCATATCCTTCACCCATTTTTTGATGGGATTGTTTTTTTCTTGTAAATTTGTTTAAGTTCTGTTTAGATTCTAGATATTAGCCTATTGTCAGATGGATAGATGGCAAAAATTTTCTCCCATTCTGTATGTTGCCTGTTCACTCTGATGATAGTTTCTTTTGCTGTTCAGAAGCTCTTTAGTCTAATTAGATCCCATTTGTCAATTTTGGCTTTTGTTGCCATTACTTTTAGTGTTTTAGTCATGCCTATGTCCTGAATGGTATTGCCTAGGTTTTCTTCTAGGATTTTTATGGTTTTAGTTCTTACATTTAAGTCATTAATCCATCGTGAGTTAATTTTTGTATAAGGTGTAAGGAAGAGGTCCAGTTTCAGTTTTCTGCATATGGCCAGCCAGTTTTCTCGACACCATTTATTAAATAGGGAATCCTTTCCCCATTTCTTGTTTTAGTCAGGTTTGTCAAAGATCAGATGGTTGTAGATGTGTGATGTTATTTCTGAGGTCTCTGTTCTGTTCCATTGGTCTATATATCTGTTTTGGTACCAGTACCATGCTGTTTTGGTTAGTGTAGCCTTGTAGTATAGTTTGAAGTCAGGTAGCGTGATGCCTCCAGCTTTGTTCTTTTCACTTAGGATTGTCTTGGTTATATGGCCTCTTTTTTGGTTCCATATGAAATTTAAACTAGTTTTTTCTAATTCTGTGAAGAAAGTCAATGGTAGCTTGATGGGAATAGCATTGAATCTATAAATTACTTTGGGCAGTATGGCCATTTTCACAATATTGATTCTTCCTATCCATAAGCATGGAATGTTTTTCCATTTGATTGTGTCCTCTCATATTTCCTTGAGCAGTGGTTTGTAGTTCTCCTTGAAGAGGTCCTTCACATCCCTTGTAAGTTGTATTCCTAGCTACTTTATTCTCTTTGTAGCAATTGTGAATGGGAGTTTGCTCATGATTTGATTCTCTGTCTATTATTGGAGTATAGGAATGCTGAATGCTTGTGATTTTTGCACATTGATTTTGTATCCTGAGACTTTACTGAAGTTTCTTATCAGTTTAAGGAGTTTTGGGGCTGAGATGATGGGGTTTTCTAAATATACAATCATGTCATCTGCAAACAGAGATAGTTTGACTTCCTGTCTTCCTATTTGAATACACTTTATTTCTTTCTCTTGCCTGATTGCCCTGGCCAGAACTTCCAATACTGTGTTGAATAGGAGTGATGAGAGAAGGCATCCTTGTCTTGTGCCGGTTTTCAAGGGAATGCTTCCAGCTTTTGCCCATTCAGTATGATATTGGCTATTCGTTTGTCATAAATAGCTCTTATTATTTTGAGATACATTCCATCAATACCTAGTTTATTAAGTGTTTTTAGCATGAAAGGGTGTTGAATTTTTTTGAAGGCCTTTTCTGCGTCTATTGAGATAATCATGTGGTTTTTGTCGTTGGTTCTGTTTATGTGATGGGTTACATTTACTGATTTGCATATGTTGAACCAGCCTTGCATCCCAGGGATGAAGCCAACTTGACGGTGCTGAATAAGATTTTTGATGTGCTGCTGGATTTGGTTTGCCAGTATTTTATTGAGGATTTTTGCTTCGATGTTCATTAGGGATGTTGGCCTGAAATTTTCTTTTTTTTTTTTTGTTGGTTTCTGACAGGTTTTGGTATCAGGATGATGCTGGCCTCACAAAATAAGTTAGGAAGGAGTCCCTCTTTTTCTATTATTTGGAATAGTTTCAGAAGGAATGGTACTAGCTCCTCTTTGTACCTCTGGTAGAATTCGGCTATGAATCTGTCTGCTCCTGGACTTTTTTTGTTTAGTAGGCTATTAATTACTGCCTTAATTTCAGAACTTGTTATTGGCCTATTCAGGGATTCAACTTCTTCCTGGATTAGTATTGGGAGGGTGTATATGTCCAGAAATTTATCCATTTCTTCTAGATTTTCTAGTTTATTTGTGTAGAGGTGTTTATAGTATTCTCTGATGGTAGTTTGTATTTCTGTGGGATCAGTGGTGATATCCCTTTTATCATTTTTTACTGTGTCTATTTGATTCTTCTCTCTTTTCTTCTTTATCCGTCTGGCTAGTGGTCTATTTTGTTAATCTTTTCAAAAAACCAGCTCTTGGATTCATTGATTTTTTTTGAAGGGTTTTTCGTGTCTCTATCTCCCTCAGTTCTGCTCTAATATAGTTATTTCTTGTCTTCTGCTAGCTTTTGAATTTGTTTGATCTTGCTTCTCTAGTTCTTTTAATTGTAATGTTAGGGTGTCCATTTTAGATCTTTCCCTCTTTCTTCTGTGGGCATTTAGTGCTATAAATTTCTCTCTAAACAGTGTGTTAACTGTGTCCCAGAGATTCTGGTATGTTGTGTCTTTGTTCTCATTGGTTTCAAAGAACCTATTTATTTCCGCCTTAATTTCATAATTTATCCACTAGTCATTCAGGAGCAGATTGTTCAGTTTCCATGTAGTTGTGTGGTTTTGAGTGAGTTTCTTAATCCTGCATTCTAATTTGATTGCACTGTGGTCTGAGAGACTGTTTGTTATGATTTCTGTTCTTTACCATTTTCTGAGGAGTGTTTTACTTCCAATTATGTGGTCAATTTTACAATAAGTGCTATGTGGTGCTGAGAAGAATGTATATTCTGTTGATTTGGGGTGGAGAGTTCTGTAGATGTCTATTAGGTCCTCTTGCTCCAGAGCTGAGTTTAAGTCCTGACTATATTTGTTAATTTTCTGTCTCGTTGATCTGTCTAATATTGACAGTGGGGTGTTAAAGTCTCCCATTATTATTGTGTGGGAGTCTAAGTCTCTGTGTAGGTTTCTAAGAACCTGCTTTGTGAATCTGGGTGCTCCTGTATTGGGTGCATATATATTTAGGATAGTTAGCTCTTCTTGTTGCATTGATCCCTTTACCATTATGTAATGCCCTTCTTTGTCTTTTTTGATCTTTGTTGGTTTAAAGTCTGTTTTATCAGAGACTAGGATTACAACCCCTGCTTTTTTTTGCTTTCCATTTGCTTGGTAAATATTCCTCCATCCCTTTATTTTGAGCCTATGTGTGTCTTTGCACATGAGATGGGTCTCCTGAATATAGCACACCAATGGGTCTTGACTCTTTGTCCAATTTGCCAGTCTGTGTCTTTTAATTGGGGCGTTTAGCCCATTTACCTTTTAAGTTAATATTGTTATGTGTGAATTTGATCCTGTCGTTGTGATGTTAACTGGTTATTTTCCCATTAGTTGATGCGGTTTCCTTATAGTGTCGATGGTCTTTACATTTTGGTATGTTTTTGCAGTCACTGGTACTGGTTTTTCCTTTCCATATTTAGTACTTCCTTCAGGAATTCTTGTAAGGCAGGCCTGGTGGTGACAAAGTCTCTCAGCATTTGCTTGTCTGTAAAGGATTTTATTTCTCCTTCACTTATAAAGCTTAGTTTGGCTGGATATGAAATTCTGGGTTGAAAATTCTTTTCTTTAAGAATGTTGAATATTGGCCGCTACTCTCTTCTGGCTTGTAAGGTTTCTGCAGAGAGATCTGCTGTTAGTTTGGTGGGCTTCCCACCAAACTCTTCTCAAGGAGTATCTTTCTGGTGGTCTCTGTATTTTCTAAATTTGAATGTTGGCCTGTCTTGCTAGGTTGAGGAAGTTCTCCTGGATAATATCCTGAGTGTGTTTTCCACCTTGGTTCCATTCCCCGTGTCACTTTTAGGTACACCAATCAAACCTAAACTTTGGCCTTTTCACATAGTCCCATATTTCTTGAAGGCTTTGTTCATTCCTTTTCATTCTTTTTTCTCTAATCTTGTCTTCACGCTTTATTTCATTAAGTCAATCTTCCATCTCTGATATCCTTTCTTCTGCTTGATCAATTCAGCTATTGATACTTGTGTATGCTTCACGAAGTTCTCGTGCTGTGTTTTTCAGTTCCATCAGGTCACTTTTCTTTTTCTCTAAACTAGCTATTCTAGTTGGCAGTTCCTGTAACCTTTTATCAAGGTTCTTAGCTTCCTTGCACTGGGTTAGAACATGCGCCTTTAGCTCGGAAGAGTTTATTACCCACCTCTGAAGCCTACTTCTGTCAATTCATCAAACTCATTCTCCGTCCAGTTTTGTTCCCTTGCTGGCGAGGAGTTGTGATCCTTTGGAGGGGAAGAGGCATTCTGGTATTTGGAATTTTCAGCCTTTTTGTGCTGGTTTTTCCTCATCTTTGTGGATTTATCTACCTTTGATATTTGATGCTGATGACCTGTGAATGGGGTTTTTGCGTGGATGTCCTTTTTGTTGATGTTGATGTTATTGCTTTCTGTTTGTTAGTTTTCCTTCTAAGAGTCAGGCCCCTCTGCTGCAGGTCTGTAGGAGTTTGCTGGAGATCCACCCCAGACCCTGTTTGCCTGGGTATCACCAGCGGAAGCTGCGGAACAGCAAAGATTGCTGCCTGCTCCTTCTTCTGGAAGCTTCGTCCCAGAGGGACACCCACCAGATGCCAACTGGAGCTCTCCTGTATGAGGTGTCTGTCAACCCCTGCTAGGAGGTATCTCCCAGTCAGGAGGCACAGGTGTCAGGGACTCACTTAAGGAGGCATTCTGTCCCTTAGCAGAGCTCAAGCACTGTGCTGGGAGATCTGTTGCTCTCTTCAGAGCCGGCAGGCAGGAACATTTAAGTCTGCTGAAGCTGCACCCACAGCTGCCCCTTCCCCCAGGTGTTTTGTCCCAGGGAGATGGGAGTTTTATCTATAAGCCCCTGACTGGGGCTGCTGCCTTTCTTTCAGAGATGCCCTGCCCAGAGAGGAGGAATCTAGAAAGGCAGTCTGGCTACAGTGGCTTTGCAGTACTGAGGTGGGTTCTGCCCAGTCCGAACTTCCCAGTGGCTTTATTTACACTGTGAGTGGAAAACCGCTTACTCAAGCCTCAGTAATGGCAGATGCCCCAACCCCTGACCAAGCCTGAGCATCCCAGGTCGACTTCAGACAGCTGTGCTGGCAGCAAGAATTTCAAGCCAGTGGGTCTTAGCTTGCTGGGCTCCATGGAAGTGGGATCCACTGAGCAAGACCACTTGGCTCCTGGCTTCAGCTCCCTTTCCAGGAGAGTGAATGGTTCTGTCTCTCTGGAGTTCCAGGTGCCACTGGGGTATGAACAAAAAAAACCCTGTAGCTAGCTCGGTGTCTGCCCAAATGGGCACCCAGTTTTGTGCTTGAAATCCAGGGCCCTGGTGGTGTAGGCACCCGAGGGGATCTCCTGGTCTGCAGGTGCAAAAGCCATGGGAAAAGCGTAGTATCTGAGCCAGATATCACTGTCCCTCATGGCTTCCCTTGGCTGGGGAAGGGAGTTCCCTGACCCCTTGTGCTTCCCGGGTGAGGTGACGCCCCACCCTGCTTCTGCTCACCCTCCGTGGGCTGCACCCACTGTCTAACCAGTCCCAGTGAGATGAGCTGGGTACCTCAGTTGGAAATGCAGAAATCACCCACCTTCTACATTGTTCTCACTGGAAGCTGCGGACCAGAGCTGGTCCTATTTGGCCATCTTGCCCTGGACCTCCCCAGCACCATTTATTAAACAAGGAATCCTTTCCCCATTGCTTGTTTTTGTCAGGTTTGTTGAAAATCAGATGGTTGTAAATATGTGGTCTTATTTGAGTTCTCTATCCTGTTCCATTGGTCTGTGTTTTTGTACCAGTACCATGTGCATGGTATGTTTTAAATCAGTGTGGTGAAAGATTAAGAAATTAGCATTTACCTCCCAGTTTAAGTACATTGTTTTATTACTTTTTTAATATTATAATTTTGTTCTGAAACAATAATTTCCACAGTTGGATCTTAAGATTTACTATCAATACTTTTACTAGGATTTCTTTATTATTTGTTTCATGCCCCACCTTTTTTTTTTTTTTTTTTTTTTTTGAGCCCGAGTCTCGCTCTGTCGCCCAGGCTGGAGTGCAGTGGTGCCATCTCGGCTCACTGCAACCTCTGCCTCCTGGGTTCAAGTGATTCTCCTGCCTCAGCCTCCCAAGTAGCTGGGACTACAGGCGTGTGCCACCAAGTCTGGCTAATTTTTTGTATTTTTAGTAGAGACGGGGTTTCACCGTGTTAGCCAGGATGGTCTCAATCTCCTGACCTCGTAATCAGCCTGCCTCGGCCTCCCAAAGTGCTGAGATTACAGGCGTGAGCCACTGCGCCTGGCCTGCCCCACCTACTTTTTTATGGTTGCTTTTTTCTTTTTATCCTCAGCTTTACTAAATTGTAACTAACGACAAATGGTATACATTTACAGTGTATAGCATGATGGTTGGATATATGTACACACTGTGAAATGATTACCCCAATCAAGCTAATCCATCACCTCACATGGTTATCCTTTTTTTTGTTTGTGGTGAGAACATTTAAGGTACTTTAAGTCTTAGCAATTTTCAAGTATATAATATGTTATTATTAACTATAGTCATGCTATACAGTAGATCTTCAGGGCATATTCTTCCTTTAGAACTGAAACCCTGTAACCTTTGACCAACATCTCCCATCTCACTCGCCATCCCCAGTCCCTGGCAACCACCATTCTTCTCTCTGCTTTTTTTTTTTTTTTTTTTCGAGACAGAGTCTCACTCTGTCACCAAGTTGGAGTGCAGTGGCATGATCTCGGCTCACTGCAACCTCTGCCTCCCGGGTTCAAGCGATCCCCCTGTCCCAGCCTCCCAAATAGCTGGGACTACAGGCGCACACCACCATGCCGGGCTAATTTTTATATTTTTAGTAGAGACGGGGTTTCACCATGTTGGCCAGGATGGTCTCGATTTCTTGACCTCATGATCCGCCTGCCTCGGCCTCCAAAAGTGCTGGGATTACAGGCATAAGCCACCGCACCTGGCCCTCTCTGCTTCTATGAGTTCGACTTTTTCACGTTCTGCACATAAGTGAAATCATGTAGTATTTGTCTTTCTGTGCTTGGCTTATTTCACTTAGCATAATGTCCTCCAGGTTCATCCATGTTGTCATAAATGACAGGATCTCCTTCTTTGTTAAGGCTGAACAGTATTCCATTGTGTATATGGATACTACATTTTCTTTATCCATTCACTGATTGATGGACACTAAGGTTGATTCCATATCTTGACTATTATCAATAATGCTGGAGTGAACATGGAAATGGAGATATCTTTTTAACATACTGACTTCATTTCCTTTGGATATGTATACACAGTAGTGGGATTTCTAGATCACATGATAGTATTCTTAATTTTCTGAGAAACCACCCTACTGTTTTCCAAAATGGCCATACTAATTTACATTCCCACCAGCAGTGTACAAGGATTCCCTTTCCTCCACATCCTTGCCAGAGATCATTTTTGTTCCTTGTAAAGCCCTTTTTATCACAGGGGTTCTGTATTGGGATGTGGCAATTGCTACTTCCTTTCCCACTTTCTCCCTGCTTCACCTCCAGCAGTATTCCTCAGGTAAAAGGCTAGATAGTAGACAAGAAAAATTATATAAACATGATTTCTCCATCAATTCTACCTCCCCTGTTAAGTCAGGATTCTTAATTATTATTAATTATTATCCTAATTATGAATAGGATCTCTGTGGAGATATTTTGTGCTTCTACCTCACTCTGACCAATACATACTTCTGCACTCAAGACTCTAAAGTATCTTTGAGGAGGTCTTCCAGAACATTGACCTCTTGGGAAATCGTCATCCTTTCTCATGACTGAGGAGGCTTCAGAATCCTCCCTTATGTTCGTCCAACTTGCACAGCACTTGGCAGACATTCTACATTGTGTATGGTTTGGGAGTCATAGGCATTTTCTTCTTTAATTGATGATGGCATTTTAAAAATCTATATTTTGTTCTTTTTGTTGTTTTCTGGTTTGCCAGGAGCAGGTAGTGAGATAAGAATGCTTTTACATTTGATTTTTTGTCAGAATCTCTTTTGGCATTAAATCATATTTTTAATATCTGATATCAGATACTTACCATCAGAATATATGCACTATTTAATGGAATCTAATAAAGCTTTTCTGAAAATATTGCCCATCATTATCTTATAACTTGTACTTTGTGTGGTATTTCCATACAAAATATTTGCATGTTTTTGTTTTGCTACTGTTTCTAGTAGAGGGTATAGTCTGACTAATATATAACTTAATGAATAGAGTGGGATGGTTTACAGTTGAAGTGTTTTTTTCCCTAAAATTAAGAACTTCACGACTTTTCTTGTGAGTGTTATAGTCAAATTTCTTTTTTTAAAAAAAAAAGTGACCGTCTTCACTCACTTATTTCAATGATTATTTTAAACCTTTGCCAAGCCCTCAGTACTACCAGATTGCACCCACTCCACTGCCTGCCCATGTCATTCTGAGAATATAGCTTTGCCTTCTCTTTTGCAGAGTAAGAACCAATTTGTGAAAACCAACTCAGCCTCCAACCCCTGAAACACAAACTTTACCTGTATCGTAACTCATCCTTAGCTTCTTATATTTATTTAGTGACTTTCAGTCTTGTCCAAGGTTATTTCTGCCTCTTGCGATCTAGATGCTATCAGTTCCCTCCTCCTCAGGGACCTCATTCCATCTACTGTTCTTTTTCTGTCTTGTATTTGAAGTCTTCTTCTCTCCACTGGTTTACAGCTTCACAACTTACTGTGTTACTTTGAGGAATTGCTTAACCCTTCATGGTCTTGCTTTCATAATCTCCTTATTTGTAAAATGAGGACATCAGGAAAAACTATTTTGCAGGATTGATGTAAAGACTAGAGAGATGGTATACAAAGTTCTTTGTATAGTGTGCAGCACCTTGTAAGAGGCAATATTATCCTGTGACACACACTCCCACCACTTCCCTGATTTTCTGCTACCTTCCAAAGCCAAGTGTCTTGAAAAAGTAGTCTACATTCAGAATTTCTGCTACTTCACTACTCATTCACTCCTCACCTGCTGAAGTCTACTTCATTACCTTTCTGCTGAAGCTGCCTTGGGTAAAGGTCCTCAATGACTTCCTAACTGACACAAACTTTCCTTTCTTTTTTATCTTATTTGACCTCTCAGAGACATTGTACCTACTCCCTAAAACTCTTCCTACCCTTGGTTTCCATGATACTACTCTCTTCTGGCAATCCTTTTACCTCCTTTTGTTTTCCTTTATAAGCAGATTTTGTATTTGATTCTCCATTCTTTCACCACATGTACTCACTCTGATGTTATCATCCATAGCCATATATCTAGCCTCCGTCTCACTCCTGAGTTTTAGACTGCACTATCCACTACAATAGCCACTAGCCACATGTGGCAGTTGAGCACTTGAAATGCAGTAAGACCGAATTGAGATGTCCCCTAAGTGTAAAATACATACTGGGTTTTGAAGACACAGTGTGAAAAAAGAATGTAGCTGGGCGCAATGGCTCACGCCTGTAATCCCAGCATTTTGGGAGGCCGAGGCGGGTGGATCCCGAGGTCAGGAGATCAAGACCATCCTGGCTAACACGGTGAAACCCCGTCTCTACTAAAAATACAAAAAATTAGCCGGGTGTAGTGGCGGCACCTGTAGTCTCAGCTACTTGGGAGGCTGAGGCAGGAGAATGGTGTGAAGCCGGGAGGTGGAACTTGCAGTGAGCCGAGATCACACCACTGCACTCCAGCCTGGAAGACAGCAAGACTCCATCTCAAAAAAAAAAGAAAAAAGAATGTAAAACATCTTGGTAATGTTTGTATTGATTGTACTTTTATATGATAATATTTAATATGTATTAGTTTAAATAAAAGGTATTACTAAAAATTAATTCTACCATTTTTTATTTTTCTAACATGACAATGGGAAAATTTTAAATAACATATGTAGCTCACATTGTATTTCTATTTGACAGTCCTGGTCTAGAGCCACATCTATCAACAGTATACGTCTACTAGAATTCCTACAGATACCACAAATTTTGTATATCACAAACCTAACTCCTGCTCTGCAACCCCTTACACACAATTACATGAATATTAAGCTTTCCTTGTATTCTATATTCCAATGAATGGTACCACCATCTGCTGGACAAGCCATAACTGCATTTACATAATCTCTTCCCTTGCCTGTTGCATCCCTATACATGTCTATAGGATTTATGATCATTCTGACTACTGTCTATTTCCCTCATCAGATTACAAGTTAATTCATAAGTTAATTCATTATATTAACTCATCAGATTATAAGTTAATTAAACATAAGGGCATGTGTTTTTAACTGTTTCTACATTGTATAGCTAGATGATTAGTATATTGTAAATGCTGAGTAAATATTTAGAATTAATAGATGAAAGGTGACATTTTTTCTCTCTTTTTTTGTAATAGCCTTATTCTGATCATGGAGTTCAAGCAACATATCACCAGGTTTATGCTCCAAGTGCCATCACTATGCCTGCGCCTGTGATGCAGCCTGAGCCAATTAAAGTAAGAAATTTGTTTTGACTTTTTACTTTGTTTTTCTTCCATCATATTTCAAGTTTTCCAACTTTCTCTTCTAGAAAGGAACAATTTTGGATATTTACATCACACTTGTGATCAGAAGTACAGAATTAGCAAACTCATGTGAAGGAAATATAATTCTAAATTAACTATTAACTTTTTTATTTATTGTGGTAATATATGCAACTTAAAAATTTTCTTTTTTAAAAAATTTTTATTTTATTTTATTTTATTATACTTTAAGTTTTAGGGTACATGTGCACAATGTGCAGGTTTGTTACATATGTATACATGTGCCATGTTGGTGTACTGAACCCATTAACTCGTCATTTAGCATTAGGCATATCTCCTAATGCTATCCCTCCCCACTCCCCCCACCCCACAACAGTCCCCGGAGTGTGATGTTCCCCTTCCTGTGTCCATGTGTTCTCATTGTTCAATTCCCACCTATGAGTGAGAACATGCGGTGTTTGGTTTTTTGTCCTTGCAATAGTTTGCTGAGAATGATGGTTTCCAGCTTCATCCATGTCCCTACAAAGGACATGAACTCATCATTTTTTATGGCTGCATAGTATTCCGAGGTGTATATCTGCCACATTTTCTTAATCCAGTCTATCGTTGTTGGACATTTGGGTTGGTTCCAAGTCTTTGCTATTGTGAATAGTGCCGCAATAAACATACGTGTGCATGTGTCTTTATAGCAGCATGATTTGTAGTCCTTTGGGTATATACCCAGTAATGGGATGGCTGGGTCAAATGGTATTTCTAGTTCTAGATCCCTGAGGAATCGCCACACTGACTTCCACAATGGTTGAACTAGTTTACACTCCCACCAACATTGTAAAAGTGTTCCTATTTCTCCACATCCTCTCCAGCACCTGTTGTTTCCTGACTTTTTAATGATCGCCATTCTAACTGGTGTAAGATGGTATCTCATTGTGGTTTTGATTTGCATTTCTCTGATGGCCAGTGATGATGAGCATTTTTTCATGTGTTTTTTGGCTGCATAAATGTCTTCTTTTGAGAAGTGTCTGTTAATATCCTTCACCCACTTTTTGATGGGGTTGTTTTTTTCTTGTAAATTTGTTTGAGTTCATTGTAGATTCTGGATATTAGAGATATCCTTTGTCAGAGGAGTAGATTGTGAAAATTTTCTCCCATTTTGTAGGTTGCCTTTTCACTCTGATGGTAGTTTCTTTTGCTGTGCAGAAGCTCTTTAGTTTAATTAGATCCCATTTGTCAATTTTGGCTTTTGTTGCCATGGCTTTTGGTGTTTTAGACATGAAGTCCTTGCCCATGCCTATGTCCTGAATGGTATTGCCTAGGTTTTCTTCTAGGGTTTTTATGGTTTTAGGTCTAACATGTAAGTCTTTAATCCATCTTGAATTAATTTTTGTATAAGGTGTAAGGAAGGGATCCAGTTTCAGCTTTCTACATATGGCTAGCCAGTTTTCCCAGCACCATTTATTAAATAGGGGATCCTTTCCCCATTTCTTGTTTTTGTCAGGCTTGTCAAAGATCAGATAGTTGTAGATATGCGGCATTATTTCTGAGGGCTCTGTTCTGTTCCATTGGTCTCTATCTCTGTTTTGGTACCAGTACCATGCTGTTTTGGTTACTGTAGCCTTGTAGTATTGTATATCTAGAAAACCCCATTGTCTCAGCCCAAAATCTCCTTAAGCTGATAAGCAACTTCAGAAAAGTCTCAGGATACAAAATCAATGTACAAACATCACAAGTATTCTTATACACCAATAACAGACAAACAGAGAGCCAAATCATGAGTGAACTCCCATTCACAATTGCTTCAAAGAGAATAAAATACCTAGGAATCCAACTTACGAGGGATGTGAAGGACGTCTTCAAGAAGAACTACAAACCACTGCTCAATGAAATAAAAGAGGATACAAACAAATGGAAGAACATTCCATGCTCACGGGTAGGAAGAATCAATATCGTGAAAATGGCCATACTGCCCAAGGTAATTTATAGATTCAATGCCATCCCCATCAAGCTACCAATGGCTTTCTTCACAGAATTGGAAAAAACTACTTTAAAGTTCATATGGAACCAAAAAAGAGCCCTCATTGCCAAGTCAATCCTAAGCCAAAAGAACAAAGCCGGAGGTATCACGCTACCTGACTTCAAACTTAAAAATTTTCTGTTTCAACCATTGTTAAGTGTACAATTCAGTGGCATTAATTACATTCACAATGCTATGCAACCATCACCATTGTTTTCAAACCTTTTCCTCATCCCAAGTTGAAACTCTGTGCACCCATTAAGCAATAACTCTTCCTATGTGCTTCCTCTCAACCCCTAGTCCCTGGTAACCTCTAATTTACTTTCTATCTATATGAATTTGCCTATTCTAGATATTTAATATACAGTACTCTGATTTTTATTATCTATGTTGATGACATGTGACATTTATGGGGAGGTGAAAACAATTAATGATCTCCTTTTCCAGTTTGGGAACCATGTTCATGCCTCCTTAGTCAGATTCAGGCCAAAGAATGATAATCCAGTTATACCCATGTATACACTCAATATATTTTGACTATCTACTATGTACAGGGAATTCTTCCTATTCCCTTATGAACAAGTTTCTTGGTGAAACTCTTGCATCATCCCTTTAAGGAAATGAACTTTATCTGCAGTAAAGAGCCACAGACTGATCAACTGTTGAGATGGTAATATGAATCCTGCATACAGTGTACTTTGGTGAGGAAGGTAGGCATAGTCTTTGCATTAAAATAATGGATATTAGCTATTTCACACTCATATTTATGTTCTGGCCCATCCTATGTGTTGAACTCAATACCAAGACAGTCTACTTTAAGGAGCCTCCCGGTCTTCTCGTGACCCTTCACACCATTACCACTCACTGCCATTACCACTCACTGCATCCCTTCATTGGCTTTATCACTATACACCAAACATGAAATAAAACCATAATTTTGACATATTGTCAAAACCTATAGTGTTACTAAACATTACTCATAGAGGCTTCATTTTTAGTATTGTTAGAAAATCTTCTAAAATAGACTTCTTCTGTCGTTAACATTTACTCCAAATATACTTTTGCAGAAATGGCTGATGTTGCTATGCCATATTATGTAAGTGATAGTTATTTTCAGTTACTGAGAGAGAGCTATATCACAAAGTGATGGAAATTGTGTAATTTATACAATTATACAAATTGAATAATTTGAATAGAGGATGGAGTGGTGGGTGGTATTTGGATAGGAGAAATTTCCAAAGGATGTTAATGTTAAACATTCTTAAAATTTAATTCTTCTAGTTTAAGAGTATATATTTCTCTAAATGTTCTTAGATCTGTGAGTAGGTAACATCAGAAATTGTACAGAGAAACTGGTATCTTACTCTTTAATATAGTCATATAAAGATTACCAATTCTGGCCAACTGTGGTGGCTCATGCCTGCAATCCCAGCACTTTGGGAGGCCAAGGTAGGAGGATTGCTTGAAGCCAGGAGTTTGAGAGCATAGTGAGACCCTGCCTCTACAAAATAAAAATTTTAAAAACTATCTGGGCATGGTGGTGCACCCCTATAGTGCTAACTCCTCAGCCTCTACAAAATAAAAATTTTAAAAACTATCTGGGCATGGTGGTGCACCCCTATAGTGCTAACTACTCAGGAGGCTGAGGCAGGATGATCACTTGAGCCCAAAGGTTCAAGGTTACAGTGAGCTATGATCACGCCACTGCATTCTAGTTTGGGCAACAGAGTGAAACCATGTATATCTCTAAAATAAAAAAATAATAATAATTACCAATTCCTCTTTTGTTAGAGATGGAAAAAAATAGACTTCCAAAGTCAAAACTGGAGCACAAGATAGTTATGTAGAATTTTGTGTTTCTCATTTTTATTTTTTAAGATTAAATGTTCTATGCATTTTATACTCAATATTTTTCTTTAGGTGACTTAGTGGCCCTCAATACAAAACGATACCCCACTCAGAGACAGAAACTCCAAAACCACTTCTGTAGTTTTCTAGAACTATATAATGCTGTAGAAATGCTTTAATATGCATGTATTACTATGTGGCAAATTATCTATTTTCATTTACAGTGCATTTCTATTATAACATGGAAATCTTAATATACAAATGTTGTTCTACATTATGAAACAATCTTTTTCTAGAACATATTACTAATATTAAAATATTAGTGAATGACATTTGAAACATTAGCCTTTTTTTACTTCCAATGCAAATTTTCTCTAGTACCAAAAATCTTGGTGACTTTTAAAATAGAAAGGTGGAAATATTCTTTGGAGGAGTTGTTGTTTTTATAAGCGTAAAACTCATTTTTAAAGCTCTAATGATTACAACTCATGAATGTTAATTGAAGATATCCCAAAGTAGGAATTTCAAATGTCAAAATTATCTTGAAGCAACAAATCTATTCCATAAAATAGAAACCTTATGCAGAGTTTGAAGCACAAGTCTAACTGCTGTGAAGTACTGTTTACCAGAAACTACTCATTGGCTGTAAGCCACAGCCTACATACTCTGTCAAATCAAATACAAAAACGAATAAATACAAAACAGACCAATATAGAGGTAACTAGATTAATATAATACTAATTAGGGCCATCATTCCCTAATTCAGCAGTAACATCTTATACAGAATCAAGTTTTAGGCCAGGTGTGGTAACTCACACCTGAACCCCAGCACTTTGGGAGGCCAAGGCAGGAGGATCACTTGAGCCAGGAGTTTAAGGCCAGCCTGGCAATATGGCGAGACCCCATCTCTAATTTTAAAAAAGAAATAAAAGAGAATTAAGTTTTAAAGTCAAAAAAAGCAAAACCACATAATGTCAAAATTATCCCACTGAACTAGACTAGGAAGGAACAAAAGGAAAATCTGTGTTTCTGGGTATGTGAACTATTATGTTTCTAAGATAAATATCAAATCCCAAGGTATGAAGGGTATAAGTGGAGAATTCTCAAGTGTTTTGGTTTTCTTACAGTGTTTTTACATTTTTGCATTAATATAAGCATCTAATAAAATTGTTCTTATATGGATTAAGTTCAATGTGTATTTTATTTAACTCCCATGTCTACTAACAATCGATGAAAACATATGGCTATTAAGGATCATATTTAACCTCTTGCCCAGGCTATAAGGAATTTCTTCTAAGTAAAATACTGATTGGACTTAAATGAAAAACACAACTAATGGTCGACAAAGTATGATTCAGAAGTAAATTGGAGAGGGATCTGAACTACTACCACTATCTACTTCTAGTTCAGAGGCCCAGAGCGTGCACTTACCTAAAAATTAGCAACTATATCTGCTTTACAAAAAGATTCCACTACCAGTATTTTTTTCCCAACCATTTCCTCATTTGAGTATCATTAATACTTATGAATCAATTTAGAGACTCAAATTGTCTTGTATTCTGAAAAACCTGGGAAGGACAAGTATAAAGCAATGTAATCTAGAGGACAGAGGCAGGAAAAGCTCTGAATATATAAGGAGGGTATAAATTTTCATGTATGCTATATATAGTCAAACAATAGACAGCCTCAGATTCTCTAGAATAAGTTTTTTACTCATAAAGAACTAGGCAGGAGGAGCAAAAAATGCTCACCCACTTAGACATTAGAAATTGTATAGGTTCTGTGTCTACCAAGACTCCTTTTTGATGTAAGGACAGTAAGGAGAATCAAGTGTTCATGACACCAATTCTAATTGTCATGAGTAGATCCCCATTCAAGGATGAGTAAACAGAAAAGTATGTATTATATGGATTCTGTGAAAAAAAATTGAATATGGCACTACATTGAAGGCAAGGATGAATAGTATAAATATGTATATATGTATAAGAACGTATGTATTAGAGGAAATTAAATACAATTTTTAAGATGTATCCCATGTTCTCAGTAATAGATCTTTAAGAAACAATTGCAAGCTGAAAAACAGGAAAAATGAAATGGTTGCTGGCTAGTGTAAGAAAATACTGCCCAAAAACTATTGACATGATGGAAAGAATCATATTTGCCTTTGTCATAAAGGGCCAGTAGTCACAAAAGAAAATGAAATCCTTCATAGAGAGGGATATTTTTAATTCTTCCAGAATGTAAAAGAAAATAACATGAAAGATTAAATGATGAGATAAAATGCTAGAATAGAGAGAGCAGAGAGACAGGTCCAACCAAAAAAATAGTAATTCTCAAGAAAAGAATACAGAATAAATGGAACAGAAAGAATGTGCAGAAATTTTAACAGCAAAACAAAATCAAAAACACTGTGACTTGAATTTACAAATCAAAAAAGGATTCATCATGCCTCAAGCAAAATTAATGAGAAGCAACCCATGCATAGATATCCTGGCAGTTATCCTCCCCCATCATCCCATCCCACCAAATGTCCTTGGCCTTTTAACCTATTTTTTAACATTTTATTTTAAAATAATTTTACACTTACAGAAAGGTTGTAAAAATAATACATAGAGTTCATGTATCTCTTCACTCAACTTCTAACAGCTTATAATTGAAACAATTAGCAAAACGAAGAAATTAGCATTCATAAAGTACTGTTAAGTAAACTACAGACCTATTAAGTGAACTACAAACTTCACCATTTTTTTCACTTATGTTCTTTTTCTGTTCTAGGATCTAATCTAAGATCCTACATTAATTTGTCATGTCTCCTTATTCTCCACCAATCTGTGACATTTACATAGTCTTTTATTGTCTTTCATGACCTTGATTCTTTTTTAAAATATTGATTAGTTATTTTGTAGAACACTCTTCACTTTTGTTGGCCTATGTTTTCTCTTAATTAGATAAAGGGTATGAATTTGGGACAATAATATCACAGAGGTGATATGCCCTTATCAGTGTGTCATATCAGGGGATATGAGATGCCAATATGTCTAATTACTGGCAGTGTTAATTTGATCACTTTAAGCTTAAAAAGTAACTTGCCCACAGTAGCATAGTTGAGTAAGTGGCAGATCCAGGATTCTAATCCAAGCATGCTTTCTACCACAGAGAAAAAGTTCGATGGTCTCTTAAATCCTTGAAGTGAAGATCACTGACAAACCATGCACAAAGAACTTCCCATTAGGATTTTAGTGCCTCCCTCTTAACTATGACGTGCAGCCACGTTAGAAGAAAACCTCTAGGGTGAGAGAACAAAATAAACAGAAAAAAAGAAATTCATAAGAAACATACAATGCAGGGAGCAGAAGAAAATATCAAAGAAACTACAATTAATATCCTCTCCGAAACAGGCAAAAACTAATGAGAAGTGGGACATGCATAGACAGCCTGATACTTTTTCTCTCAAATATCTGTCCTTTTAATTTTTTTAGCCTTGCATTTTGAAATAATTTCAGATTTACTGAGAAGTTATAGAAATAATAGAGTTTCTGTATATCCTTCACCTACTTCATCCTTTGGCTAGAGGGCACAGGCACAGGAAATGAACATCAGTACAGTCGTCTAAACTATACACCTTATTCTAAAATGTCACTAGTTTTTCCACTAATGTGATAATTGAAATAAATTATGTGTGAGTTAAATATTACAGGCAAAAGTTTTCAGAACGTAGAATCAAAAAAGACTGAGGTGAATAATAATAGAGAAAAGATAAAATTAGATTAATCCCAGAAGTCAAATATTTTTTAAATTGCAGAAAGAGGAATAGAGAAAAATCATTGGAGGAAATTATCAATAAATTAATAGAAGAAAACTTCCTAGAAACTTAAGGACAAGAGTCTCTAAATTGAAAAGGCCTACCAACTACTTGCCACAATTACTGCAAAAGACTCACACTAAGGCCAATTATTGTGAAATTTCAGAATGGCAGGAATAATAGAAAAAATTCCAAAAGCTTCTAAAGAGAGAAAATAGATCACATTTCCCCTTGATCTTATCCATTTTTTTAAATAAATTTTACAGTAACTTTTACCTCAAATGTATCATGTAACCTGGAAATAGTTATCTCAATGGTTCACTTTGTAAGAATGTACAGTGTATTTTTGCAGTAATTTTCTGCTTCATTTTTCATTATGCAGACTTTAAATAGAATTCTTTTTTTTAATTTTATTATTATTATACTTTAAGTTTTAGGATACATGTGCACAACGTGCAGATTCATTACATATGTATACGTGTGCCATGTTGGTGTGCTGCACCCATTAACTCGTCATTTAGCATTAGGCATATCTCCTAATGCTATCCCTCCCCGCTCCACCCGCAACAGTCCCCTCTGTGTGATATTCCCCTTCCTGTGTCCAAGTTTTCTCATTGTTCAATTCCCACCTATGAGTGAGAACATGCGGTGTTTGGTTTTTTGTCCTTGCAATAGTTTGCTGAGAATGATGGTTTCCAGCTTCATCCATGTCCCTACAAAGGACATGAACTCATCATTTTTTATGGCTGCATAGTATTCCATGGTGTATATCTGCCACATTTTCTTAATCCACTCTATCATTGTTGGACATTTGGGTTGGTTCCAAGTCTTTGCTATTGTGAATAGTGCCGTGATAAACATACGTGTGCGTCTTTATATCAGCATGATTTATAACCCTTTGGGTATATACCCAGTAATGGGATGGCTGGGTCAAATGGTATTTCTAGTTCTAGATCCCTGAGGAATCGCCACACTGACTTCCACAATGGTTGAACTGGTTTACAGTCCCACCAACAGTGTAAAAGTGTTCCTATTTCTCCACATCTTCTCCAGCACCTGTTGTTTCCTGACTTTTTAATGATCGCCATTCTAACTGGTGTGAGATGGTATCTCATTGTGGTTTTGATTTGCATTTCTCTGATGGCCAGTGATGATGAGCATTTTTTCATGTGTTTTTTGGCTGCATAAATGTCTTCTTTTGAGAAGTGTCTGTTCATATCCTTCGCCCACTTTTTGATGGGGTTGTTTGTTTTTTTCTTGTAAATTTGTTTGAGTTCATTGTAGATTCTGGATATTAGCCCTTTGTCAGATGAGTAGGTTGCAAAAATTTTCTCCCATTTTGTAGGTTGCCTGTTCACTCTGATGGTAGTTTCTTTTGCTGTGCAGAAGCTCTTGAGTTTAATTAGATCCCATTTGTCAATTTTGGCTTTTGTTGCCATGGCTTTTGGTGTTTTAGACATGAAGTCCTTGCCCATGCCTATGTCTTGAATGGTATTGCCTAGGTTTTCTTCTAGGGTTTTTATGGTTTTACGTCTAACATGTAAGTCTTTAATCCATCTTGAATTAATTCTTGTGTAAGGTGTAAGGAAGGGATCCAGTTTCAGCTTTCTACATATGGCTAGCCAGTTTTCCCAGCACCATTTATTAAATAGGGAATCCTTTCCCCATTGCTTGTTTTTCTCAGGCTTGTCAAAGATCAGATAGTTGTAGATATGTGGCATTATTTCTGAGGGCTCTGTTCTGTTCCATTGGTCTCTATCTCTGTTTTGGTACCAGTACCATGCTGTTTTGGTTACTGTAGCCTTGTAGTATAGTTTGAAGTCAGGTAGCGTGATGCCTCCAGCTTTGTTCTTTTGGCTTAGGATTGACTTGGCGATGCGGGCTCTTTTTTGGTTCCATATGAACTTTAAAGTAGTTTCTTCCAATTCTGTGAAGAAAGTCATTGGTAGCTTGATGGGGATGGCATTGAATCTGTAAATTACCTTGGGCAGTATGGCCATTTTCACGATATTGATTCTTCCTACCCATGAGCATGGAATGTTCTTCCATTTGTTTGTATCCTCTTTTATTTCGTTGAGCAGTGGTTTGTAGTTCTCCTTGAAGAGGTCCTTCACATCCCTTGTAAGTTGGATTCCTAGGTATTTTATTCTCTTTGAAGCAATTGTGAATGGGAGTTCACTCATGATTTGGCTCTCTGTTTGTCTGTTGTTGGTGTATAAGAATGCTTGTGATTTTTGTACATTGATTTTGTATCCTGAGACTTTGCTGAAGTTGCTTATCAGCCTAAGGAGATTTTGGGCTGAGACAATGGGGTTTTCTAGATATACAATCATGTCGTCTGCAAACAGGGACAATTTGACTTCCTCTTTTCCTAATTGAATACCCTTTATTTCCTTCTCCTGCCTAATTGCCCTGGCCAGAACTTCCAACACTATGTTGAATAGGAGTGGTGAGAGAGGGCATCCCCGTCTTGTGCCAGTTTTCAAAGGGAATGCTTCCAGTTTTTGCCCATTCAGTATGATATTGGCTGTGGGTTTGTCATAGATAGCTCTTATTATTTTGAAATACGTCCCATCAATACCTAATTTATTGAGAGTTTTTAGCATGAAGGGTTGTTGAATTTTGTCAAAGGCTTTTTCTGCATCTATTCAGATAATCATGTGGTTTTTGTCTTTGGCTCTGTTTATATGCTGGATTACATTTATTGATTTGCGTATATTGAACCAGTCTTGCATCCCAGGGATGAAGCCCACTTGATCATGG
This sequence comes from Homo sapiens, assembly GCF_000001405.40. Taxonomy (NCBI): domain Eukaryota; kingdom Metazoa; phylum Chordata; class Mammalia; order Primates; family Hominidae; genus Homo; species Homo sapiens. The sequence goes on along the minus strand of NC_000002.12, from coordinate 197,732,609 downwards.
TGGATAAGCTTTTTGATGTGCTGCTGGATTCATTTTGCCAGTATTTTATTGAGGATTTTTGCATCAATGTTCATCAAGGATATTGGTCTAAAATTCTCTTTTTTTGTTGTGTCTCTTCCTGGCTTTGGTATCAGAATGATGCTGGCCTCATAAAATGAGTTAGGGAGGATTCCCTCTTTTTCTATTGATTGGAATAGTTTCAGAAGGAATGGTACCAGTTGTTCCTTGTACCTCTGGTAGAATTCAGCTGTGAATCCATCTGGTCCTGGACTCTTTTTGGTTGGTAAGCTATTGATTATTGCCACAATTTCAGCTCCTGTTATTGGTCTATTCAGAGATTCAACTTCTTCCTGGTTTAGTCTTGGGAGAGTGTATGTGTCGAGAAATTTATCCATTTCTTCTAGATTTTCTAGTTTATTTGCGTAGAGGTGTTTGTAGTATTCTCTGATGGTAGTTTGTATTTCTGTGGGCTCGGTGGTGATATCCCCTTTATCATTTTTTATTGCGTCTATTTGATTCTTCTCTCTTTTTTTCTTTATTAGTCTTGCTAGCGGTCTATCAATTTTGTTGATCCTTTCAAAAAACCAGCTCCTGGATTCATTAATTTTTTGAAGGGTTTTTTGTGTCTCTATTTCCTTCAGTTCTGCTCTTAGTTATTTCTTGCCTTCTGCTAGCTTTTGAATGTGTTTGCTCTTGCTTTTCTAGTTCTTTTAATTGTGAGGTTAGGGTGTCAATTTTGTATCTTTCCTGCTTTCTCTTGTGGGCATTTAGTGCTATAAATTTCTCTCTACACACTGCTTTGAATGCGTCCCAGAGATTCTGGTATGTTGTGTCTTTGCTCTCGTTGGTTTCAAAGAACATCTTTATTTCTGCCTTCATTTTGTTATGTACCCAGTAGTCATTCAGGAGCAGGTTGTTCAGTTTCCATGTATTTGAGCAGTTTTGAGTGAGATTCTTAATCCTGAGTTCTAGTTTGATTGCACTGTGGTCTGAGAGATAGTTTGTTATAATTTCTGTTCTTTTACATTTGCTGAGGAGAGCTTTACTTCCAACTATGTGGTCAATTTTGGAATAGGTGTGGTGTGGTGCTGAAAAAAATGTATATTCTGTTGATTTGGGGTGGAGAGTTCTGTAGATGTCTGTTAGGTCTGCTTGGTGCAGAGCTGAGTTCAATTCCTGGGTATCCTTGTTGACTTTCTGTCTCGTTGATCTGTCTAATGTTGACAGTGGGGTGTTAAAGTCTCCCATTATTAATGTGTGGGAGTCTAAGTCTCTTTGTAGGTCACTCAGGACTTGCTTTATGAATCTTGGTGCTCCTGTATTGGGTGCATATATATTTAGGATAGTTAGCTCTTCTTGTTGAACTGATCCCTTTACCATTATGTAATGGCCTTCTTTGTCTCTTTTGATCTTTGTTGGTTTAAAGTCTGTTTTATCCAAGACCAGGATTGCAACCCCTGCCTTTTTTTGTTTTCCATTGGCTTGGTAGGTCTTCCTCCATCCTTTTATTTTGAGCCTATGTGTGTCTCTGCAAGTGAGGTGGGTTTCCTGAATACAGCACACTGATGGGTCTTGACTCTTTATCCAATTTGCCAGTCTGTGTCTTTTAATTGGAGCATTTAGTCCATTTACATTTAAAGTTAATATTGTTATGTGTGAATTTGATCCTGTCATTATGATGTTAGCTGGTTATTTTTCTCATTAGTTGATGCAGTTTCTTCCTAGTCTCGATGGTCTTTACATTTTGGCATGATTTTGCAGCGGCTGGTACCGGTTGTTCCTTTCCATGTTTAGTGCTTCCTTTAGGAGCTCTTGTAAGGCAGGCCTGGTGGTGACAAAATCTCTCAGCATTTGCTTGTCTGTAAAAGATTTTATTTCTCCTTCACTTATGAAGCTTAGTTTGGCTGGATATGAAATTCTGGGTTGAAAATTCTTTTCTTTAAGAATGTTGAATATTGGCCCCCACTCTCTTCTGGCTTGTAGGGTTTCTGCCGAGAGATCCGCTGTTAGTCTGATGGGCTTCCCTTTGAGGGTAACCCGACCTTTCTCTCTGGCTGCCCTCAACATTTTTTCCTTCATTTCAACTTTGGTGAATCTGACAATTATGTGTCTTGGAGTTGCTCTTCTCGAGGAGTATCTTTGTGGCGTTCTCTGTATTTCCTGAATCTGAACGTTGGCCTGCCTTGCTAGATTGGGGAAGTTCTCCTGGATAATATCCTGCAGAGTGTTTTCCAACTTGGTTCCATTCTCCCCATCACTTTCAGGTACACCAGTCAGACGTAGATTTGGTCTTTTCACATAGTCCCATATTTCTTGGAGGCTTTGCTCATTTCTTTTTATTCTTTTTTCTCTAAACTTCCCTTCTCGCTTCATTTCATTCATTTCATCTTCCATCGCTGATACCCTTTCTTCCAGTTGATCGCATTGGCTCCTGAGGCTTCTTCATTCTTCACGTAGTTCTCGAGCCTTGGTTTTCAGCTCCATCAGCTCCTTTAAGCACTTCTCTGTATTGGTTATTCTAGTTATACATTCTTCTAAATTTTTTTCAAAGTTTTCAACTTCTTTGCCTTTGGTTTGAATGTCCTCCCGTAGCTCAGAGTAATTTGATCGTCTGAAGCCTTCTTCTCTCAGCTCGTCAAAGTCATTCCCCATCCAGCTTTGTTCTGTTGCTGGTGAGGAACTGCGTTCCTTTGGAGGAGGAGAGACACTCTGCTTTTTAGAGTTTCCAGTTTTTCTGTTCTGTTTTTTCCCCATCTTTGTGGTTTTATCTACTTTTGGTCTTTGATGATGGTGATGTACAGATGGGTTTTTGGTGTGGATGTCCTTTCTGTTTGTTAGTTTTCCTTCTAACAGAGAGGACCCTCAGCTGCAGGTCTGTTGGAATACCCTGCCCTGTGAGGTGTCAGTGTGCCCCTGGTGGGGGGTGCCTCCCAGTTAGGCTGCTTGGGGGTCAGGGGTCAGGGACCCACTTGAGGAGGCAGTCTGCCCGTTCTCAGATCTCCAGCTGCATGCTGGGAAAACCACTGCTCTCTTCAAAGCTGTCAGACAGGGACATTTAAGTCTGCAGAGGTTACTGATCTTTTTGTTTGTCTGTGCCCTGCCCCCAGAGGTGGAGCCTACAGAGGCAGGCAGGCCTCCTTGAGCTGTGCTGGGCTCCACCCAGTTGGAGCTTCCCAGCTGCTTTGTTTACCTAATCAAGCCTGGGCAATGGCGGGCGCCCCTCCCCCAGCCTCGCTGCCGCCTTGCAGTTAGAGCTCAGACTGCTGTGCTAGCAATCAGCGAGACTCCGTGGGCGTAGGACCCTCCGAGCCAGGTGCGAGATATAATCTCGTGGTGCGCCGTTTTTTAAGCCCGTCGGAAAAGCGCAGTAGTGACCCGATTTTCCAGGTGCCGTCCATCACCCCTTTCTTTGACTCAGAAAGGGAACTCCCTGACCCCTTGCGCTTCCCAAGTGAGGCAATGCCTCGCCCTGCTTCAGCTTGCGCACGGTGCACGCACCCACTGACCTGCGCCCACTGTCTGGCACTCCCTAGTGAGATGAACCCGGTACCTCAGATGGAAATGCAGAAATCACCCGTCTTCTGCGTCGCTCACGCTGGGAGCTGTAGACCGGAGCTGTTCCTATTCGGCCATCTTGGCTCCTCCCCTGGACAGCGTTCTAAATAGCCTCCTGCCAAAAATACTATTCCCCTTTTAAAAACAAGTTTTTAAGACCCACCTAATAGAAGGAAATGTTGTAACTCGTAATCTGTGCTGACCCATCCCTCATTTTATTTACTCAACATTTATACTGTAACACTAGACTAGAGATTGTCTAATATAGATTCTAAGCTCTCAGAGAGCAGGTTTTCCTGAGTTCTGGAGCCCTCCTAAATTGCTAGCCTCTCACTTTGTAACATTCTAATTTAATTGGTACCAAGGTTCTGCAAATATTTAGTGAATGTTGATTGATGGTCTGTACTCATCTGTTCTAACTTATCTTTTTTTTTCCATTCAGTCTTCCTGATCTATATTTTCTCTTTACTTAACAGACAGTGTGGAGCATTCATTATTAAGACAATTGGGCAGCTCTATTCCAGCTCAACTGATTTCTTGTCCAATGATCCTTGCGTGGCCGAGATCCAGCTTCAACGAACCAGCTAGAAGCTGCCCGTTGTGAAACTTAGTGTTAGTTAATACCTCACCATACTCAGTTATTCCACTATAAGCTGTCTAAATTTGATGAAATTTGCTTTTTCAGCTGTTCTACAAAATTATTTAGGTAGATGTGGCATGTTGGTTTTTTATGTGCTAACCTAACTGTAATGACCTTTTCTACAACATGTTTTATCCATTCCATAAATAATAACCACATTGGGAATAGTGAGGTGTCTTTTATTTTCTCTGCTTTGTGTTATTTTTTCTTATCAAACAATTAGATGTTATGTTTCATATTATTTGATATTTATTTTCATATTTAGGATAAGAATCATTTTTAATTATAATACTTTTAATACTTTCATATATTTTACAACAGTATACTATTTAATATTAATGACAATTCTATTTTTGCTTTGCTGTTTTGTCATTTAATATGCTTTTGTCTAATTTTTAATTCATTTATTACTGTTACTCCTTATTTAATTTTGCGTCTGCCATGGTTTTCAGAATCTGAATAGTATTTATACTTCTTTTTTATAACATTTTCCAAATATTAGAAATACCATCAACATGATCAGTATTCTTGCCTTTTCATGTAATTTGACTATATTAAATTTTTTCTCCAGTGTTTGAGACAATATTGAAATCTTCCTATAACATAATTTATTTGGTATCAAATTTTATAAAATATGGATCCACCTTTGGAATTTTGATAAAAGGGTTCATCTCTGACATGATCCCATAACACTGACTGAAATTCCACCAAATTACTGTTCTTTGAATGCTTTAATCCTTAAACCTTTTCTTCTGATATGCAACCAATATATTCAATTATATATGTGATTAATTTTTAAAAGGACAATTGTTTTCATAAAATGCAAAACTATTTTTTACACCAAAGGAAAATTTTAGATTCTGATTCTAAATCCGATTTTTACTATAAAATTGGAAAATAGATGGGAGGGGTGTCATTCATTGTTCAAAAGGTACAGAACAAATCATAGGGGTTTTTAATCTCTAAAATTTCTACAGTAGTACAGGAAATATTCCTCTTTACATTCATTTGCAGTTCTTTCACTGACCTCCTAATTTTAGGTGGAGGGGGCAGGGGGAGCCATAAAAGTTGGTATTACCCTAATAAATCTATCTCTTTCCTCCCCTGTTTCAACCCCACATGTATTCCATGCTCAGCAGCAGCAGCAGAAATAGTAGGATATAGATCACAAAGGTTTTTCTGGTGAGTCAAATAGGGTGTTTTCTTTTGAAACTGTAATGAATATGTTTGCCAGTCAAATGGCTTCATGAGAACAGTAGAACCTTATGAATGTATACTAGCATACAAGGATCTCAAATACATTAATTATTCTCAGTTTTAGGAATGTAAATAGATTAAGTCCCACAATGAAATTTCAGAAGTTTTTGTTCTGTAAGTAAAAAATTACTAACCACTGATGTTCAAGATTTTCTTTTAATAGCACTATCCTTGAGAACCAAAAAGTTTATGTTTTGATTTTCAAATGTTAAACAAGATGCTAAACAAATCCTGGACTGTTAATAAAAATTAATTATGTATTATTGGATAAGGAATTTTGATGATAATTGATACCCAAGTGTGTTTCTTCCACAACTATATAGATTATATGCATACACATATATACATGTTTATATGCATATATACACACACATATATAATTTATACATATGCACTTTCTTAGAATTTAGCTTTATTTTGAGAAGCTACTAAAAATTTTGGGAGTTTGACAATCTGAATAAATGGAGGATATCATACAGCCTTCTTCATGGCCTAGCTTAATAGCCCAAACATGTTACTTTTTTTTTTTTTTTTTTTTTTTTTAAGAGACTGTCTTGCTCTGGGGCCCAGGTTGGAATGCAGTTATGCGATCATGGCTCACTGTGACCTCAAACTCCTGGGCTTAAGCCATCCTTTCACCTCAGCCTCCCTAGTAGCTAGGATTACAGGCATGCACCACCACACCCAGCTAATTTTTTATTTTTTGTAGAGACAGGGTCTTACTAGGTTCCCCAAGCTGGTCTCAAACTCCTGGGCTCAAGTGATCTTCCTACTTTGGCCATCCAAAGTGCTGAGATTACAGGCGTGAGCCATTGTACCCAGCCCCACACATGTTACTTCTAAAAACAGATAGATTGAGAGACAAAAATTCTCCTTACATATACTAAGTAAAGCCCATTTTATTTATTTCTATTTTGTAGTATATCTCTGATAATTTTGAAAATTAAGGTTTTACTTAGGACCCATTTTGAAAGGCAAATCTGAAGAAATTATCTGAAATTCACTGGGTGTTAGAATAAAATGGATAATACAGATATTAGTACATGTACCAAAATCACAAGGTAATAACTTTGCAGCCTGTTTTCCAAAAATCTCTAATACAATCTGAGATAGAAAGATGGTAACATGTCAAAAGATAAAGCATCTTGGGAAATTAGGCTTTAACTTCCTCTGTCAGCTGATTTCAGAAGGATGGCTTGGAAAGAGGTACGATTTAGTTTAAAACAGATTGCTTTATAAATTTCCACCGACAAGAACAGTACAATTATTTTCAAACAAATTTATACATGATAACCCCCATATGTAGGAGTGTGTTTCCTAGATTTATGCTACGCTTAACTATAAAATAATGATTTGGGGGTCACACATAAAAATTATTCGTATCTTTCCCAGAAATTGCACTTCAATAGAATTAAAATACAGAATCAAAGGACTTTAGGAGGGCATCCAATACAACTTCAATATCATGCTTCAACATGCTCTTTGTTACTGTAATAAATTGTTGGCCTCTAGATCTATAGTTTGACTCCAGTTTATCCTGAAATCCCTATAGACTTAAAAGTGGCAAAGAGGAAAATTTTACCCAAAGAATGAATATAAGTAATATTCATAATTGGTGCGGTTTCTTTCAACTCTATTCAGTGTTTTTATCCCTGTGCATAAGTCCTTAAAAATATCGCATCGGCTTTGTCCTTACATGGTGAATACTACTCTCTGATTAGCAACTACAGTGGCTGCTGTTTGTTGGACTTACTCTTCCCTTGGAAATACAGGAGTGTGAGAAGTGACCTCTCTATACTTTGAGACCAAGGCCCCTCACTTCCTCCCCTGCTAAGAGTCTTCTCACTTCAGAAGATAAGCAACAGTTGATGGTTGTTCATCAGAGAAAATTTTGGGGACCTAGATCCTCACACTTCTTGGGATGTACCCATAAGATTCCAGTATACCGTTAGGTCTGAAGAGAGAATGTCTAAGAAGAAAGTTCTTTGATTAGACTCCTACTTTTTTCTTCTCCATTTCTTCCTGCATGAGATGGTGAAGATAAAAACACATCTCTAAGAGTTTTTATTTCCTGGGAAAAAAATATCATTTTAAAAATATCATTTTGTGTTGTTATTTTGTTTTATAATGAGTCAGGTTTCTTTCCAGAGGTATAAAGCCTTCAAAGTAACTGCCCCTAATGTCTTAATATTTATTTTCTCCCTTTACTAACCACTGACAAGTTTTGTGGCATTCTCTCTATACCTTTGTCTTTGATAGGTTTTATTCCTTTAAAAAGTATTTGTGAAGGCTGGGTCTATCATATAATCTATGTGTTATCTCAGTAAAGTATTTTCTCCATCAAATGGGACCTGTGGTATTTACATTAATAGTGGCTTTACTTTCACTCATGAAGCATTTGAAATAAAAACATTTCTAAGTTGATCCTTCAATATCTCATAGTATTTGAATTGCAGATGCCCATTGGGGTACAATTGCTCATGTCATCATTCATTCTGTTCTTTTAATTAATCAAATGGTATATAATCATCTGAAACCTAAGGCTTTGTGATAATCTATAGTGAAGTCCTTTTATAGAAATATCTTGGTGATTAGAGCTTTTATGTAACTATATTATATATATTATATATATACACAAATATATATGTATGCATACATGTATAGATATAAAGAAGTATAACAGAAAACATATGTTAATTAGAACAGACAATATTATTGTAATATTACTTATTAACAAGTAGTGTTGCACCTATTCTACGTGTCTGGACTGGGAATCTGAGGCTACAGACAAGTTCTAATTTTTTAACAGGTGAGTTTTTGCAGCTTTATCTAACAGCTATCATTCCATCCCTTTGTAGAAGGTATCAAAAAAGCAACTGATAAATCCCATCTAATTAATGGATCAAAATTCTGTGGACTTATTTCTAGTTTTGGGGGAACTGACCAACATCTGATTTTTGAGAAATATAAAAGTCTGAATTCCTTGTTAAGATTTAGTTCTTGGCCAGGCACAGTGGCTCACATCTGTAATTCCAGCACTTTGGGAGGCCTAGGCGGGTGGATCACAAGGTCAGGAGATCGAGACCATCCCGGCCAACATGGTGAAACCCCATCTCTACTAAAATACAAAAAACTAGCCAGGTGTGGTGGTGCACGCCTGTAGTTCCAGCTACTCAAGAGGCTGAGGTAGGGGAATGGCTTGAAGCCGGGAGGCAGAGATTGCAGTGAGCCGAGATCACACCACTGCACTCCAGCCTGGTGACAGAGCAAGATTCCGTCTCAAAAACAAAAACAAAATAAAAAGATTTAGTTCTTCGTGCATCAAATGTTTAACTGGTGGTTTCCTACAGAACTGGAGTATATGTATTTGTTTGTAGTGGTAGTCTAAAGCATTATTTTTTTTCCCCATCCCCCAGTGAATAAATGACTTTGTTATCTTAGTAACCATATTAAAAACAGCAATAGAGAATTCAGGACATCCTTTCACATCACCTTCAGTGCACACAGGCTCCCTTAGCCCCACTGTGCCATGTGAATATTATGGTTATGCCATGATATGGGAAAAGTTTAGAAAGCTGAAGAAAAGATAATGTGTTTGTTTTTTTGATGGGACTTTTTGAAGTTAAACATTTTTTTAAAATTCAAACTTTGATTTGGGATATAAACCTAACACTGTACAATTCATTTAATCCATTCACTTGCTTCATGAAAATTACTTTCTAAATCACTGTCACCTTTGCTTAAATTTTGTATATCCATTACAGAGAATTCAGCTTTCCCTATTCTCTTCTAAATGATGAATTATTTGGAGAAACATCCAGAATTCATTCTAAATGTCATTTCTTCATATAAATCATCCAGTTGGTCTTTCCTTATTAAACATCCTTCAAACCAAACATCTTCATACATGCTAGCTAAAGGTAAGTAACAGTACAGTTTTTACTGACATGATTTAATCTCGGGTCATGCAGTTTCAAAAGAAATCTCATCTTTATTATTTAAATAAAGTACAATTCATTCCATTAAAGTAAGACAGACTGCCTGTCTTACTTTACGGTCTGTCTGAATAGAGTCATGTGTAGTAATATAACTACATCTTTTCTTAGAACTGATTACATCCTTAGACACATGCCAAGTTCCACTGTAATTATTAGTTTAACCTTCTCTGAAACAACATTATATGGACTCAGAATTAGGAGTCCTTGTTCTCCAACACATATTTCCTCTTGAATCTCACCCCCACCTGCATTGATGAGCAGCAGACTTGATTTTTATTATCTTTACAGAAATCAAGGTGATTCACCTATAGACGAGGTCCTCTGATGTTTCATCAGTCATATCAAATTCTGCACTAACTTCTGCTCCTTGTAATAGTCAGACAGTTCTTGACTTTGCTGATCTCTGCTCAGAGATCTTATATGGGGTAATCATCTACTTATCATCCAAATATGAATACTTGAGAGAGAAAGGGGGCACCAAAAAGAATTAAAATTACATATTTTTTGAAATATGTCTTTATTGGCCAAAAAGAAGTTTGCCATATTAATAAGCCTATAAAATCATTCTATTCAAAAACTGTTTTTCAAAACTAAAATTCTAGTAATACAGTAAGCATAAGCCTCGACTGTCTCAGGGAAATTGGAATATAGCTAACCCTATTAATATTAATATATTACACAATAAATGTAACATTAAATCAGGATCAAAAAGTATGGCCTAAAAAGGGATTAAGCTATAGGGCCTAGGCCTGGACTGCTTTATTACTTTAACCCTTGAAGCTTTATGGTTTCCAGTTTAGCCAGTGAGTGATACAGCTATATAAACAGATTGACTTATGTTTAGATATAAACATATTTTCCTATGTTATAAATATGAAACCATAGAATTATATAATTTAAGGACTCAAATAAATCCCAGAGATCCTATTATCCCTTACTTCATATATGAAGAAACAGAGTCTATAACTATGGAATAGTCTTAAGATACTAGTCTTGAAATTTTGGTCACTTAACCTGTGTTCACTGTTCTACAGAAAAGCTTTGCTTAAATCATTGAAGATTGTTCAAAGTCCACGATAATATTCCAAGTAAAAATGGTATTAACTTTGTTGATGATGTGCTATAAAGTCCTGCTTAAAATATCACATTTTTTCTGACTATATTATTTCAAAACAAGAGTAATACCTTATATTTATATATTTATATTTATATAGCACCTTACAATGTACAAGCACTTCACATGCATTATCTCATTTTATCCACTCAATATTTTTGTGAGATAATCAGGCACTTTTTTATGAGAGAAGTGAAGCTCAGAAAGGTTAAGAGAATTTCCCAAGGTGACATTACTATTAAGTGTTAGAACTCAGAACTTTTTTTTGCTAATAAATGATCACCTGTAAGGAAGCAAGTGATTTCTGGGGAGTGGAGGCGGGAGGAGGGTAGGAGGAGTGAGAGGGAAGTTCCTTAACACAATGCTTTTCAAAAATAATTTTTGTCCCACCCAAGAGTTATGGACCGTCTTTCATTGAATCACCAAAATTAAATCTAACTCAAATAAATATCTATTCTAATCCCTTTAGCATCTGGGAATCTGAATCAGAAAAATATTTCACTTCTAAAAAAAAGAAACAAATTGTGATAAACATAAAACTGTTTAATCATGCTTTTATCAAGTAACCTAAATATTAACCAGTTTTCTAACCAAAATAGTGGAAATAAATTACCCCAGAATTTAATTTTCTTTAAAAGTATTGTGCAAGTCAGCATTCTGGGAAATATAAGAAGGAACACAGCATGAGAAGAAAGAACTTCTAAGGTATCCCAGAAAAACTTTAATCCCTGCTATAGCAAAAGATACCTAGAGGCTGTGCCATGTCCTCTTTGTATATTGGGAACATGGCACATTTCCACTGCTTATGAAAGAATAAAGTTCACCAAAAATAAATGTTATTTTTCTTCTTTCTTCCTTTCAATTTTTCTTGCTAATTGCCACAATGTAGGCATGTATCAGTCTTAGTACAGGCCCTCCATATAGAATTTGCTATTTTGGAAGAGGGTTATTCTAGTTTAGTTTTCCTTTTTACATCCTAATGACAGGTACCAGACTTTTTATACTGATAAAACTTGGATGTGTCTCTAAGGTAAATGGGTCATTATCATAATTGTCCACTGAAGTATTTTTAGCTCAAAAATTATAACAGTGCCTAAGGTTAAATATAGTCTGATGTCATTGGAGTGAATTTTTTTCACAACACTGATTTCGATAAACCACCTTTAAATTATTATTAAAATACATCATAAATGTGTTTCTTTCCTAGTTGGAAGACTATTTTATAACTTCACAAGTGATAATTGTGCATTTACACAGAAAGCTTATTCATATTGCTTTAAGATACTTGATAAGAATAAACTCTGTGTAATTGCACAATTTAAAACACTTGACCCTAGAGTTATCTAGGTCTTATATGCCATGAGAAATTATCCATTGTTTTTATTACTTACTCCTGATACTTACCTATTCCAGCAGTGGCAAATTGCTTGTTGATAGACATGTTCAATGTTTTGGTAAGTCAGCAGAGGGCCTACGTTCCCAAATCATGGAAATTACAATATATAATCAAACATACCTCTTTACAAAAATTTTGCCTTTTACCTTAGAATCTTTAGCTCATTTCCCTTAACTATATAAGTCCCTAGTTAAGTTTTTGGAAAAACTAACAGAACACTTAGTATTAAATTTCTGTTATTAGATGCAGGCCAGGCAGTTGATTTGGCCTAAGTGCTACTTCAAAACTTGTGTTCATCTTTATGAAGTTAACCCCACCTCCTTGATGCTTGCATTCTTCTTCAATCACAACTCAAATCACTTAAAGCAGGCAGGGAAAATTACAAGATTTTTAGGTAAAAGGATTTGGTTACATCTTGACTCCTGAAGTAAGCATTTATTCATTATGGATGCCTTAACTGAAATTTCCTATTCTCAGTTTCTTGAGCAAAACAATATCTCAAAGGATCCTTATGTTCAGCAGTGGATCGAATAAAAATCATTTGTTGGGACACAGAGTCTATTCATTGCATGTTTTAACAGGATGCTACTCTATTAACATGAAGTAGTATATTAATAATTCTCTGATTTTCTCTGGATAGTTGCTTTATTACCTATCAGATCTCATCTTAATTTTGTATATCATAGTTCATAAATCTTTTTTCAACAAATCTTTACCAAAGTTCAGGGATGATACAAAGAAAGCATAACCTAATAACTTAGAAATACCATTGGATGTGGCCTCAGATCCCTTGAAGTGAGTCTCTTTTTATAGCCCTAGAATGCCTCCTTGTCCAGCAGCAGGTTATGAGGTCACCTACTTTTTCTAGTGGGAATTTCCTAAAACACACCTTCTCTCTGCAGAATCCAGGCCCAGTTAATCTGATTTTTTAAATCTTTCCCAAGTAATTATAAAATTAGAGCCATTTAAAATGCATTAAACCTTAATTTTCTTTAAATCTCTTAATAGGAACCAAGGTTACATTCTGTGAGAAGCTTTTCTCAGCCTTTGTCTAGGTTTGAAACCTTGATATTCTCAAAGCCCACATCTTCATCCTAGAAAAGATTTCAGAGCAGAGGATTCAATTCTTACTCCACCTTCCTCTGCTGATTCTGTTAAGCAGAACCTTGGATAACTATTTTGTCCAATAATAAAAAACAACTAGCCCCATATGTGATCTGGTAACAAATATGAGGGTTTGGATGTGCTTAAGGTTAAATGTTTTTGCTTTTTTAAGAGAATTAAAGAAATCTTAGTAACCAGAACATTGGAGATGCAGGATAAACTAAATGTTTCCTTTATTCATTCACACACTCAAGTAACATAGACTTATAATCTGTAACAAATAGACCAAAGGTTACACCTATAAGACAACAAAAATCTTGAGTTTGAAAAATTTAGTTATTATCTGGCTATTTTGTCAACATGATAATTTCATATACAACCATGTACAAACATCTTTGGTGTTTAGATTTTTCCATTTTATTCCAGCTATTCCATATTTGTAGACATAACTATGGCATGTACAGAATATGTGTAGCAACAGGCCATTTGTATAATATAGTACAGTCGAAAAAAAAAAAACACTATCTTGCTAGGGAGATATGTCAAGTAGATTCTAGTTTCCACATTATTTTGATTTTATTGTATTTAACTTTGTATATATTTTACATGTATTAAATGTTTTGATGAAACATTTCAAACTCTAAGTTTATATTAGAAATGTTGGCAAACATTAGTATCTATAAAATATAATCTGTATATATATAAAACATCCAGAAATCTGTCATATTTTTATTTTATAGCAATTACAATGGCCAAAGTTTACACTATTCTTAAATATACTTAATGATTATCTGGATTATCTCCATATCTATTTTTGGCCCTCTTTTGCCATCCATACGTGAAGTATAAAGATCCTTATTCCTTATGGCATCTTTTGTTTTTGTTTTTGTTTTTTTTTTTTTGAGACGGAGTCTGGCTCTGTAGCCCAGGCCGGAGTGCAAGGGCGCAATCTCGGCTCACTGCAAGCTCCACCTCCCAGGTTCGTTCACGCCCTTCTCCTGCTTCAGCCTCCCGAGTAGCTGGGACTACAGGCGCCCGCCACTACTCCCGGCTAATTTTTTGTATTTTTAGTAGTGACGGGGTTTCAGCGTGTTAGCCAGGATGGTCCCGACCTCCTGACCTCGTGATCCGCCCACCTGGTCTCCCAAAATGCTGGGATTACAGGCGTTGAGCCACCACGCATATTTCACCTTTTAAATACAAAGAAGCTATGATTGCGTGCTTTTACAGAATTAGAGAAGCTTTTTACAATTAACAAATGCCACTCTAACTAGAACATTTTAAAATTAAATAATTGCCACAGTAACTTTCCTTTAAATATTGCCTGTTTAATATATATCCCAACTTTCTTCTCTAAAAACATTATACTCCTTTTAGAGAAGAATAGATTAATAAAACAATAAAAAGTTACATAAATAAGCAATATTTACATTGACTACATGAAAATTTATTCTGGCCTTTAATAAAATTCGATTGCACAATACGAGGAAATACTAGGATTTTACTATTTTAATTTCACATCCATTCTAAGATCTAAAGTTGATTTGTACTTCTGCTGGGCAAGAATAAGAATTATATACAAAAAATCTTCTCATAATATTAGGAAGATAACCCAATAATAACTTTAGGTGATTTTATTTTACCTTGTCATAAAAGATAATGTACTAAGGTTTCTGAGCTCAAATATTTAGATTAAGGAATAAAATGTAATGGCATAGTTATATTAAAGAATATTTTGGCACACCCTAAGGCCACTCCAACTATTTAATTTTTTTTCCTGCAGTTTTTTTGTTCTGTTTTGGTTTTTTCTTTTGTTTTGTTGTGATATGAAGTCTCAGCCTTGTCCCCCAGGCTGGCTTGCAATGCCGCCATCTTGGCTCACTGCAACCTCTGCCTCCCGGGTTCAAGCAGTTCTCCTACCTCTGCCTCCCAGGTTCAAGCAATTCTCCTGCCTCAGCCTCCCGAGTAGCTAGGATTACAGGCGCCTGCCACCACGCCCGGCTAATTTTGTATTTTTAATAGAGACAGGGTTTCACCATGTTGGCAAGGCTGGTCTCAAACTCCTCATCTCAGGTGATCCACCCACCTCAGCCTCCCAAAGTGCTGGGATTACAGGCCTGAGTTCTGCAGTTATTTTTATTTATTTTTTATTTTTTTAATTTATTTTGATTTATTTATTTATTTTTTTGAGACTGAGTCCCGCTCTGTTGCACAGGCTGGAGTGCAGTGGTGCCATCTCGGCTCACTGCAAGCTCCAACTCCCGGGTTCATGCCATTCTCCTGCCTCAGCCTCCCGAGTAGCTGGGACTACAGGCGCCCGCCACCAGGCCCAGCTAATTTTTTTGTATTTTTAGTAGAGACGGGGTTTCACCGTGTTAGCCAGGATGGTCTCTATCTCCTGACCTCGTGATCCACCTGCCTCGGCCTCCCAAAGTGCTAGGATTACAGACATGAGCCACCGCGCCCAGCCAGTTATTTTTAAAATAACATGCTGTGTAGAACAACCCCAGTAGAGTGTTATTAGAGCCCTAGTCAAAATATCGTGAAACAATCTATTTCATATTCAGCTTGTCTGATGTTTTCAGCATACATGTTAATCCTATATTTATTATTCAGGCTTATTCAAGTGTACAACAAGGCATTTTTGTTCCACACCATCTGTAAATTTTAAGAGTCTGAGAGTCATTGTATATTAGTTCAAGAAAGATTGATATCGAAGTGTTTTTCTTAGCTATTTTAGGCAATTGGCTCTTTACCAAAATGTATTGATGTGCTTCCACATTACTTTCGTTCAGTTCTACAAATATTATATATTACTTTATTTCTCACTCCAAACTATAAAGTACAGAAGAACAGAGATGGTAGGAAAATTTATTAATGTATTCCCCCCAAAAAACTTACTCTGCTTAAATTGTGATATTTGGCTCTTATTTTGTAATATAACATATCCATGATAGCAAAAATACCTTTAATAACTACAAAAGATCAATGCTTTAACTTTTAATTATCAACATCATTTTTATAAATCATGGTATAAAAATGAATGAAGATACCGAGACTAAACTTTCATCTTTAACCTCATACAGCTGTGAAACAACACAATGATAGTATATAAACGTTTCATTACTATAAAAAGTATTGCCTAAAAAGCATACCTTTTTTTCCTTTGATGTTTTGGAGAAAACATCTAAAGGATGATAATTTTAAAGTATTCATTAACAATTTGAGATGATTTTAATACAATGTGTATTAATTGCTAATCACACTCAGGATCTTTGCTTTTAACATGTCTAATTTTGATACCAAAATAAAGCTACACAATATTCATTTATATATTTGTAGCAACACATAAAAGAAATTTCCTAAAATCCTTATTAGTATCTGAACTATTACGCATAGTATTTTAAAAGATACTAATACGTGTAAATTTTTCCTGCCCTATATAGGTACCCACATACTGACTTCAGTTAACCTGTTAGCATTATTTTATTCAGGCTATTTCCAACTGTCTGTGAGAATAGCTTTCAATTAAAGTAACATATTTAATATCCTAATGTTGTCTATTTCCTTATGTCTAAGGAAAAATGAACATAAATGCAGCAACAATCCTACGTTTACCAAATAGATTTTCATGCTTATGCCCTAGCTGTTTAGACAATTTGTTTAAAACTCTTGAGCTCAGACTCACCTACCTACCTTCACATACTGAATATTTAAACATCTGCCTCAACCAACTTACCAAGGATGAGTTTCGATAACTTGGTTTAACTTGGGTAGTCCCCTTCTCTCTACTCTGTGTTAAGCAATAAGATTTCACTATTTTTCCTATGTTTTTCTAACTGATATCATACTGATTTCAATTTTTACAATAGCTACACAGTTATACATTTATATTGGTTTTATGCCCCAGTGCTGATAGCTCCACTTTTAGATCATCTCCATGGATTATGGAAAAAGAAAGAAGTGCTACATATTCTCCTTAAGCTAAAAAACTAATTTTAGGACATCAGTTACAACCAAAAGTTTTATTTAAAATTTGTTATGAATTAACTACCTTCTAGAGGCTGATTTTTATGTACATAACATTTAAATAAGAAAAAACTTACTATTTTGAGGACTATTATTATTGTTTGTAGTAGGTCAAACAATATCACAATGAATGTTAAAAATATTTCCTTTATAGCCAAGCCAAAAAATACTTTTTTCAACTCTTAAAATGGCACGAAAATGCAATCATCAGCGTTCATGCAATTAACCATATATATTTTCAAAAATTTGCTTATGTTAGTACTTATAATTTTATTCTATAAATCAATAGGCTTCTCACACATTTTAACTTGATATAATGTTCCAGTAATTACTTATAAAATCAAACAGAACTCAGTACTGTTTTGCTTTTTATATAAAATATAGGATGTTTCTGTAAAATAAATTTTATAGAAATTTAAATGTAAAAAATTAATGCAGTAACTTCAATTTACCAAAATTGAAGACTCTTTACGAAAGCCTTTATAAGCCGGGAGCGGTGGCTCACACCTGTAATCCCAGCACTTTGGGAGGCCTTTCTTACCTTACGAGGTCAGGAGTTCAAGACCAGCCTGGCCAAGATGGTGAAACCCCGTCTCTACTAAAAATACAAAAATTAGCCAGGCACGGTGGCAGGTGGCTATAATCCCAGCTACTCAGGAGGCTGAGGCAGGAGAATTGCTTGAACTCGGGGGACAGAGGTTGCAGTGAGCCGAGATCACGCCACTGCACTCCAGCCTAGGCAGCAGAGTGAGACTTCACCTCAAAAAAAAAAAAAGAGAAAGCCTTTATAAATTCCTTAAGTGAGTTTTAAAGGTAATCTAAAATATGCTACCCAGGACATTTTGTATGATCTATCAATCTGATTCTGTCAAAAAGTCGTAACCTGCCATACCAAAAAAAAAAACTGAAAAAGCACCCATCATGCTTTGCTGTGGGACTATACTGCTTGCATTTAGACAGAATCCTGAAAAAAATTATTTAAACATGGAATAAAAATATAGGTCTTCCTGGCCTTCCAAGTTAGCAAGAACTTTAATGCCTTTTGATATTTTTTAAATACATTTTCGATGATAGCTAAGAGACCTATATAAAAATAAGATTCAACACATTTCTTCAAAGACACATCATGTCCAACAAAATAGCTACACTTCAGAAAAAATGTAAAATACAGCATTGTGTATTCATTATGCAATTCATAGTAAAGTCTCTTAGTTTGGGGGTATAAGAGCTTATCTCAACTGTGATATGAGGTGTTTAATTTACCAGGAATTATCCAATCTGTGGCATTTTAGCTAACAGGGTGGTATTTGCTTTGGTAATAACCACTGTCAAGGATATTTAATCTGGTTTCTGCAGGCTTGTTAGGAAAGATATAAGAATACAGTAATAAATGTTCGATAAATTCATAGAACTTAAATTGTTAATAAATGGATGTCATATTAATAAGTTCATTTGCATTAAAACTGTATGTATGAAAAAGTTTCAGTGTTTGTGGCCTCTAATAAAATTATCTGGCTTTGTCACTATAATAGTTAATTCAAATAAAACTTTTGAATGTTGATGTTTTCATGTTCAGAGATAAATGTATATTTAAATAATTAGTAAAATATCATTAAAAAATACTTAGATTCATGAATTTATGACTATATACTTTCACTTAGAGAACTGCTAGATTCTAGAAATTGGAACATCATTCTAAAATTAAGAAACAAAATAAGAAAACAAGGACAAACAAAAATAGGGACTATACAGTTATTTAAAATTTTAACAATTTGCACAGCACACATAAGCAGATTTAGGATATAAAAGAAAATACTAAAAGCAAAAGTGAAATATACCATATTTCATGATAAAGGTAAGTATATTTTTCTGAATTTCTATTTTGGCACTCATCAGTTTCATAATCTGGCTATCAACAAACAGATTCCTCATCTTGAAACACTAACTGATCTATTTCAGTTCAAGGTTCTTATTTGGACTTTTCATCTTCAGATCTTTAAATCTCATTATACTACTTCCTCTTCCCCACAATACTTAAAACAATGCCCTCAGTATATACATATTGACTGATTGTGGTGTTGGTACTAAAGGTGGTGCTAAGGCTTTGGCATTAACACAGGATTGAGTCCCAGGCTCTCCTGTTTTACAAGCTGTATAACGCTAGCCAAGTTGCTTAATCTCTGTACCTCCGTTTCTCATTAGCCCATTTATACCTAGAGTTCCATTATTGGAACGCCAAGCATGTGGGGGTTATTTTATATCCTGCTCAAGGTCTTCGCCAAGGTCTGATTGCAAAAATTCAAAAAATTGCAACCTCAGGCATAAATGGGTTAAACACAAGAAGAGTACCTTAAGGTGCTGAATACCTCAAGGGAAAAATAAATGAGAGAACACAAATAAGGAAAACAGAACTGTTGGTTCTCTCCCCTCAACTTATTACTGAACTAACAGAAAATTTGGCAAAATTATGGCCATGTGATTCCCCGCTTTTGGTAACCCAGAGAGGACTTACTGAATAGATATATTTGGCTGACAGTTATATTCAAAAAGCAAGCTGTTATTTTCACAGAGGTATAGATAGAAAAAGACAAAGTTTTAGAGTCACGAAACCTTGACTGCCATAATTTTTTTTCCCTACATTTAGCAGTGATGATACACTTAGTAGTAAGCATTAAAGACTGAAATGCTAATGTCTAGTATGAGTTGTTATACTTTTACCCTGTGGGCCTTTTTTTTTTTTTATAGACTTGAACATTTCTTGTAATTTTCAATCTTAGCTTTTTACATTTTGAGGCTATGTGGTTAGGTCATACAAGTTTATAATTGTAACTTGGTGCATTACTCCTTTTATATTAAATTCCACCTTTTTAGTAATGGTTTCCCCCTAGTATAGATTATGTAATATTAATATTGCTACACCAGCTTTCTTTTGGTTAATATATGCCTAGTGTTTCTTCGTATGTCTTAGTTTCTTCTATGTTTAAGTATATCCCTTTTAACTACATATATTGCTTTTTAAATTTAATTTTGAATAGTTTTGTCTTTTGACAGAAGACTCATGAAGTTTTATTTTATTACAATTACTGACATATTTGTATTTATTTCTGCCATTTTATTTTGGGCTTTCTATTTACAATATTTTTCCTTTTTCTTTGCCTCTTTTTTCTCCTACCTGTCTTCTATTGCATTGTTCCTTCCTGGCTTCTGTTGGATTGTTTTCTTTCACTTCTCTTTTCATCTGGCTTGAAAGAAATACATTCCATTTGTATTATTTTGTGATTAATCTAAGATGTATACCATGTTTATTAACTTTATATTTTTAATATCTATAGCTTTTTAACCAATAGAAGCTTCTAGACTGGTTTCAAAGGAAGCCAAACTACTGAAGCTATTTTATTTAATGTGTTCCAAAAATATACAATCAGGAAAAAATGTGTAATTGGTCATATTTTTATGGAATGTATTAAAAGAATAATATGATGATACCAACCTATAACAATCATTATCTAGTTTTTGAAGCTTCATCATCATGTTAAATCCCATAAACAATTGATTCTCAACTAATGAGGGTACATGTACAAGGCATGGCCTTAATAGCAGTAGCACAGAGGTGTTAGTACCATTTCTCCCACATCATAATCTAAGAAAGGCATCCTCCATTTCCATAGTTATTCCTGGGTCTGTCCCTTCAGCTTACCCAGTGAGTCAGGCCCTCTGCAGATGTTTCATCCAGAAGTGACTCAAGGGCAGGGCTCATCCCTCCTTGGAGCTATAATTTTCTTCTTGCAGATGGCACACTTGGTTTCCTGAAACATCTTGAACATCTCACACCATCCTGTTCTTAAGTGAGGAGCAGTGGACTTTAAAATCCATGGTGAGTAAACTGTGCCATTAGCTAAGGGGGTACAATTCAGCTCAAGGCCAAGGATGAAACATATGTACTATGCCTTGCTTACCTTGGTGAACATCCAAGTATGGCTGAACCTCCCAAGTGGTACTCATCAGAAGAGGCATGGTAGAGGATATATTATTTCTAGTTGTCGGGGCCATAGGAAGATCCTGTTGGTGTGTAGTTCCTTCTAGTTCCCTTCCCTCATCATGAAAAGTGGAAACTAATGTGATACAATCCTAAACAAACTATTTAAATATGGCCAACTGTTTCCTGCTAGGTAGTTCCTTTAATTCAGAGGATCTATTCTGGGTAACCCAAGACTACCTACTAAAGAGAAGCAGCTAATTTCACCTCTAAATTGGTTAGTCCCTTCCCCTCTGCTCAAAGTAGTTATTGGTGACATAGGAAGGAAGTTTAACCAGGGCTTCTCCTGTCCTGTCTCCAGAAAGAATAAGATACTCTTCCTAAAAGGTTAAAATTCCCATTAACCTTAATTAACTTGGTTGTTAACTGTTGTTAACCTCCAAATTTGGTGTGTTCCTCTTGATAAGAGTTAACTAATCCTCTCCAAACTTCCTGCAAGAGGAAGGGGCAGGGTGAGTTTTGTTGTGCTGAAATAACATATATTATACTATCTTAGTTTTCCAAGAGACTCAAGGGCTTTCTTCTAGAATCTATCAATATGTCTACATATTGACAATAATATGTATAATATTACACATATTATTATACATATAATACATATTATATTATATGTATTATATATATACATATTATATTATATATGTATCATATAATACATATTATTATTATACATATAATAATATGTATAATAATAATAATAATCTGTCAATAATCTGTCAATATGTCTACACCCTTTTAGGTCCATTGATATTCACTTTCTGACAAAAGACAAGGCAAGGACCCACCAGCACTCCAGGTCTCACTTCATGATGATGTCATCCTCATTGAGGGCTCACAACCTGACCAACTACTGGTTTCACTTCAGTTTTGACATTTCCCAGAGCTAAAGAGCTAACCTAAGTCCCAATCACAGGTACAACCACCTTGGGGGGTGGGGGGAAGGGGGAAGACCAGTGTCCCAGGGCCCATGTTCCAGCCTAGGCCCTTCTTAAGTACTCTGACATCAACTTCATATTCAATTTATTGGGCTCTTCATAGACCCTACAAAGTCCACAGATTCTTAAGAGAAATAATGAGGTCTACATGCAGAATAAACTGAGGTTTCAATAAAATCAGAGATTATATCTATTTCTTATGCTCCTTCTTATAGCCATAGGTCTTCTGTCTAATCTATGAGTTCACTTGTGAAACAGCCCTCCAGTATATAATGGGGCAACTTAAAATGTGCATTGCCCACTTCTCACATGACTTCACAGAGAGGATTATAGTCTGCTGAGTGAGTTGACGTCTTTTTATTACTCTCCTAATGTGACATCCATGAATACCTGATCTAGGCAGTGGTCTTTCACCTCCTGCAACGCTGCTTCCAGGAACACACCAAAATGAATATTTGAGGACTTCAAGGATAGTATTTGGAAGACAGTTACTTTCTGGCGAAGGAATCCAGAAAATGCCAGATAAAAGTATTAACAGTGCTAGAGTAGGGAATTCTACAAGTGTATCATTTTCTACCAGAAGTGGTTAGGATGCCCCCTCTTGGAAGTACATCCCCTTCAGTTTTCACGTATTCTCCATTTGCTATTCTTAAACTTCTGGACCAACTCAAACACATCACTAATTATTCAAAGAATATTTGCTGTATCTATTGTGCCTCCTATAGAGAATCCAACTGGTTCATCTTCAGGATCACCGCAGAAGTCAGATCCAACTTACCACACATTCCTCCATTTAAAATACCCTGTCTTTGGAAAGTCAGGCCTCTGCACCAAAGCTAAGCCATCATATCCCCTGTGACCTGCACGTACACATCCAGATGGTCGGTTCCTGCCTTAACTGATGACATTCCACCACAAAAGAAGTGAAAATGGGCTGTTCCTGCCTTAACTGATGATATTACCTTGTGAAATTCCTTTTCCTGGCTCATCCTGGTTCAAAAGCTCCCCCACTGAGCACCTTGTGACCCCCACCCCTGCCCGCCAGAGAACCCCCTTTGACTGTAATTTTCCTTTACCTACCCAAATCCTATAAAACGGCCCCACCCCATCTCCCTTCGCTGACTCTCTTTTCCGACTCAGCCCGCCTGCACCCAGGTGATTAAAAAGCTTTATTGCTCACACAAAAATAAATAAATAAATAAATAAATAAATAAATAAATAAATAAACAAAATAAAATATCCTGTCTTTCTAATAATTACGCCCTGTCCTATCTGGTTCCCCTATGTTCTTGTGTCCTCCAGTATCACAAATATCCAGGTAGCCAGCTAAGTGCCTGCACAAATGACAGACTGCACTAAAAGAACTCCATTGACACCCTCCAGCAAGCAAAGGTCGATTGTATTGACCAGCACAAGGCTATAGGAAAGATCATTCAAGTAGAAGACACTGTCTCCATCCATGGTAGGAACTGTAACACTGCTATAAGAGCACTTCAGAGGCAGAGGTTATCATCTCACTGGTTTTCAAATATGTTTTCCTTCATCCACGTAAATACATATTATCTTTTTCCACTCTCTGCTCTATCCACCTGTAGGAGATATTACACTCCTACATCCTATGCCCCAGTAGTCTGTGCTAATAACCCCAGCAGTTAACTTGAACATGTCATGTGGAAAGCCCAGACTTATGAATAAGAAGGGTCTGAAGGGACATTTGTGGCAACAGTCCTTCCACCTTTAGAATACCTTCAAGCATTCTCTTCTAAGCAATATTCCAGCAACCAAAAATTCCTCATTTCGCTGATTAATAAACAGAAACTGGAACTGAATGGTGGCACCTAGAATAAATCCAGGGGAACTACCAGTACAATAGTTTAATTCATTGTGGGCCCTCTCTACTTGCTACCATACTTAGAATGTATATTCCAAGGCAAGTTCTCATTTTGAACTTTGGCCCAGCTGTCTAATCACCTATGAGACATAACTGGCTTACTATGTTGTAATCACTGTATAAATTGCTAACATCTTCTCTGTGATGTTCTCTTATGGAGCCTTAGAGAGATTCCTAAATCCAGTCTGAGATTCCTGAAGCATTGGTCAGTTCCTCCTTTCACCATCACCTTCAACGAATGCAACAGAACAGATCTGAATAAGGTACTTACGAACTTTTAAACTTTAATAACTTAAGTTAAAAGAGCAAAAGAAATAATCAGTTAAAATTACCTGAAAGTTGTGTATTAACATTTATAATAACTATTACACAATTTCTATATTGTATTAAAGATCCTGATTGACCAAAAGAAATCATGAGGTAAATTATGCACATGGATAACAAAATTAAGACTATAAGAAATATAAAGAAAACATTGCCCTTTTGAACTATTTACAAATTTTTAAATCATACCTGTAACCTAATGTTACTAAAGTTTAAAATTTTTAACATACCAAGTGCCTCAAGAGTTTTATAATTTATTATATAAACAACTTGATACATTTACTTATTCACTTATTAAACATTTAACAGAGTAAATGTCATTTTTCAGTAGTCTGAAAAAGAACGAGGATTCTGATAAGTTTGGGGGGGTTTTTTGCTTTCCATTAAAACAATAGTGGTTGCAAAGCTATCCCTTATTTTAAGAAAAGCAATAAAAATGTAAAGATCTGCAAAATTAGAAAGCAGAAAACTAATTTATTCTAAATATTCCGAATCCTCAATCTTTAGTAAGTAAATGTGTGAGATTAGAGCCATCTACCGGTTGAAGTGTGATGTTACACAACCCAACTGTTGGACTATTAACAAAGCAGGGAGACTTAGTTGTAGGAATTTAAATGGGGATACACATGGGCAAAAATCATCTGGTCTAGGACACTGGTTCAAGGGTTTAATAAAATACTCTCTTTTTATCAGGAAACCCAACATGTGTAACAAAGTAGGATCCCCCTGTAAAACCACCAGTAAGGGGCCTCCAACCCTGACCCTCAAAGAAAGGAGTCACTAATTAGCCTGAGAAGCAGAGGCCAGGCCAATGAAAAACCAGCCACGAGAGGTAGTTTGGGCAAATAACTGTGGTTTGGAAGGAGGCACAAAGAAGGAACAGCATTAGCAACACTGTCTCTTACCCATCTTTCCCCTGAAGACATCTTAGACACACAATGCACAAAGGACAGTGATCAATGGTCACAGAGAAATGAATAGGAGCAGGCACCTGAAAGGCTACAAACCTCTTTTCACAGGGACACAGCTTATGTGCTCATTTGATTCCACACTTAAGAAAATACTAGTATAACTTTCCTGAAAATAAAAAATAAAAAGATAACACATTTGCTTTTTTACCACAAGCCGGTAAGAACTGAGTTTCTAGGTCCGGTGGGCTTTCACCAGCCAAGTCCTGGACTGGTCTAGTCTTGGAAACAAAAGCCCAGTTTCAGGTCCCAGCCTCCTCCCTTCAAAAGGGCATGGATGTCCATAGAATCGAGGCAAGAAATAGAGCTCTCCAAGACTCCTCTCTGAGGCAGAGACCCCCAGCCTAGACAGCAGCTTGTCAGCTAGGCTTGGGGTGACAGGCTGCAGCAAAGTCCCAAAGACTCGCAAACATTCCAAGGCCACATGAAGCACAGTACCCAGCCAGGGAGCATCCACTGGGCTCTCCCAGTTCAGCTTCCATGGTGCATGCCTTTGGACAAAACCATTAGTTTGCCGGACACAGCTGGACACGGCCTCCAGAGCCTTATATATCCGAAAGTTATCATAGTGGTCTGCTACCTGCTTTGGCAAAGTGGCCACTGCGCTCACCAGAGCATAATCCTCTGCCTGAGCACGAACTGACGGCCCCACCAACCCTGGCTCACTAGGGAAGCAGGTAGTGCAGAAGGCTGGGTAGGTCTCAGAAGGATTTATTCTTTTGGCAGTGCATCGGTTCAAGAGACCTCCCAAGGCATCTGCCAGCTCGGAGTTCAGCAACTTAACCACCTTTTCATCATAGTAGTCACAGTCCCAGTTGGGGACGCCCTGCCGAAGGAGAAAGTAGCGGAAGCCATCCACGGTATAGCGGTTAAGGCAAGTCCTAGGATCCACCACGTTGCCCAAGCTCTTGGACATCTTTTGGCCACAGACTGTCCAGTGGGAATGGACACAGATGCGCTGTGGCGGGCTCATGCCGGCCCCTAACAGGAAGGCAGGCCAATAGATGGCATGGAATTTGAGAATGTCCTTACCTATGATATGAGAGGTGGCCGGCCACCAAGATTTGAACTCAGCATTTGGGTAGCCAATTACAGTGAGGTAGTTGACCAGGGCATCCAGCCATACATAGATGGTCTGCGAATCATCCCCGGGCACCGGAATGCCCCAGTGCAAGTGGCTACTTCTGCGAGACACGGACAGGTCGGGCAGCTCCTCGTCCAGCCACTGAAGAACTACGTGATGAAATGGTTCGGGGGTGATCGCCTGAGGGTTGCCCCGCAGCCACCGCTGGAGTGGCTTCCGGAACTGGGAAAGCCTGAAAATGTAGTTTTCTTCCTTGGTCCAGGAGACTGGATGCCCGCTCTCGAGAGATACAGGAAACGAATCCCCCGATGGGCCCGGCTGCTGGGTGACCTTGGCCTCAGGCAGGAAGCACTCGTCGGAAGCGCAATACCAACCTTCATAGACGCCCTTGTAGAGCAGACCGCGGGACTTAAGCACCCCCCAGAAGTGCTGCACAGCCACCCGGTGCCGGGCCTCCGTGGTGCGGATGAAATCTGTGCAGGAGATACCGGCCTCCTGGAAAAGCTGCTGGAACTGCTCAGAGACTCGGTCGCACAGCTCGGTCGGGGCCAGGCCCGCGGTAGCTGCTGCCTGCTGAATCTTCAGCCCGTGCTCGTCGGTACCAGTGGAGAATCGCGTGGCGGCCGTGCTGGGACCTCGGAGGCGACGGTGGCGGCATAGGGCGTCCGCCAGTAGTGCCGAGTACAGGTGCCCGATGTGCGGCGCCGCGTTCACGTAGAAAATGGGTGTAGTGAAGTAGGCGCGCACATCACAAGCATCATCGCCGGCACTGAGGGAGCCCGAACTGTAGTAGCGTGGGCCGAAGTCCTCCAGGAGAGACAGCCTACTAGCCCCCGTGCGTCCTAGCAGGCGGAGGACGGACGTTCGCAGCATGGTGCAGACCGGCCGCAAGCGGAGGAGGCGGCGTTCTGACAGCACGTGTGAGAGGCGCATGCGCAGCCGGGTCGCGCCGCAGCTTCCGGCCGGAAAGCCAATGAAACGCGGCCCCGAGCGCCGGCCCTCACCGCCCTCCCCGCCCGGCCCCGCCCCGCCCGCGCCTGCGCCGTCCGCACGCCGAAAGCCGCGGCGCCAGAGGCCGCCAATGGACGGCGGCTTGCCAGAAAAACAGCTCAGAGTTGCCGGGTTTAGGAGAGGCTATGAAAGAAGACGAACCTCTTTGCCTTCGTATAACATACTGTGTTTCCTGCTTTGGATTGTAATTTTATATTTATGAATCTGTTTCCCCCTCTAGGCTGAGCTGCTTGTAGGCAAGAGTTTTATATTCAGCCGTTTGTCTAAACCCCGTCCGTGGCTGGCATACTGCAAGACAGAGTATTGCTCTGCACATGCCCTGTCGATATCTAAAATGTCACCTAAATTTTATCTCAGAGCCTAAATCAATCTGTAAGGGAGGGAGAGAGAAAAAAGATGAAAAATCATTACCTACAGCATTTTGAGAGAAGGATAAGAACTGAGAATGGAAGAGAAGTCTTTAAACAGTTTTTGTTGAATCAACAAAAGTAGATTTGTGATCTGCCAAGTTCTTGCCAAAGTTTATTGAGATCCAGGAAAGTAGAGTGCAATATGCTGTCACTGTGCATATAAAGAATAATTTTCAAATTTATTTCTCAAAAAGTTAATTTTTTTAATGGTCTTGAAGTTCTTTTAAAATAGTGTTTCTCAAGTTTGCTTTTAGTAATGGAACCTTAGAATTTTTTTTAGGGGAGGAAACCTCAGGAGCCCAGAATTGAATTAATGTTAATCCCTAGTTCATAACACACTCTCATCTTTGATC
Source organism: Homo sapiens (assembly GCF_000001405.40). NCBI lineage: Eukaryota > Metazoa > Chordata > Mammalia > Primates > Hominidae > Homo > Homo sapiens. Next base: position 197,704,504 of record NC_000002.12, on the reverse strand, counting down.
TTTTTTTTTTAATTTAATTTAAGTAGCATATACATTTAATAATAAAATGGAGCAGCTATGAACCTACAACCCAATCTAAGAACTACAAGTGGTTTCAGAGTGTGGTCCCCAGAGCAGCAGAACTGGCAGCACCTGGAACTTCGTTCGATATGTATATTCTTAGGCCCCATCCCCCACATACTGAACCAGAAAACTCTGAGGGTAGGGCCCAGTAATTTAGATTTTAAGGTGATTCTGATGCACATTAAAGTTTGAGAAACACTGAACTAGAAAATTACCAGTGATTTAGATCTGTGTGCTCCTTTTCTTCTCGTACTGTCCTCCCTGAGGTAGTCATTGTCCTGAATTTTGTTCTTGCACATTTGTGTGATCACATACAAAGTATGTCTAAGTAACATTGTTTAATTTTGCTTGCATTTAAATATTCTAAAAAGGATATAATACTACATGTAGTCTTCAACTTGCCTTTTTATTCAACATTTTGTTGCTATATTAATCCATGTTGTTGCATGTAACTGCATTCATATGTTCTTAATACATGTTGCATGTAATTCATTCATTTTGACTGCTGTATAATAACCTTTGACTGAACACATATGGTAACTTGGATCTGATTTCTCTAGTGATATGATGAAAGGTGGACCAATCGAATTCTGTATAAGAGATATAAAAAATAACTTTGGATACTCAGTTGATGTGCTCTTATTTAATCCAGCAGTTTAAGAATGACCTACAACCATCTGGTCTTCAACAAAGTTGATAAAAACAAGCAATGGGCAAAAGACTCCCTATTCAATAAATGGTGCTTGGATAACTAGCTAGCCATATACAGATGAAACAGGACCCCCTTCCTATACCATATACAAAACTCAACTCAAAATGGATTAAAGACTTAAATGTAAAACCTAAAACTAAAAACCTTAGAAGGTAACCTGGGAAATACCATTCTGGACATAGGACCTGACAAAGATTTCATCATGAGGATGCCAAAAGCAATTGCAACAAAAACAAAAATTGACAAATGGGACCTAATTAAAGAGTTTCCGCACCACAAAATAAACTATCAACAGAGTAAGCAGACAATCTACAGAATGGGAGAAAATATTTTCAAACTATGAATCCAAGAAAGGTCTAATATCCAGAATCTATAAGGAATTTTAAAAATCAATAAGCAAAAAACCTCATTAAAAAGGCAAAGGACATAAACAGACACTTCTCAAAAGAAGATAGACATGCGGCCAACAAGCATATAAAAAATGCTTAACATCACTCGTCATTACAGAAATGCAAATCAAAACCACATTTAGATACCATCTCACACCAGTCAGAATGAATATTATTAAAAAGTCAAAAAACAACAGATGCTGGCAAGGTTGCAGAGAAAAGCAACACATACACTGCTGGTGGGAATGTAAATTACTTCAGCCATTATAGAAAGCAGTTTGGTGATTTCTCAAAGAACACAAAGCATAATTATGATTTGACTTAGCAATCTCATTATTGAGTATATATCCAAAGGAATATAAATCATTCTACTGTAAAAAAAAAACGCACTCCCATGTTTATTGCAGCACTGTTCACAATAGCAAAGACATGGAATCTTCCCTAAATGCCCATCAACAGTAGACTGAATAAAGAAAATGTGGTACATATACACCATGGAATACTATGCAACCATAAAAAAGAACAAGATCATGTTCTTTACAGCAACATGGGTGGAGCTGGATGCCATTATCCTAAGTTAACCAACATAGGAACAGAAAGCCAACTATCATATGTTCTCACAAGTGGGAGCAAAACATTGAGTACATATGGACACAAAAAAGGAAACAGCAGACTCTGGGGCCTACTTGAGGGTGGAGGAAGGGAGGAGAGTGAGGACTGAAAAACCATCTATCGGGTACTATGCTTTTTACCTAGGTGGAGAAATAATCTGTACACCAAACTGCCGTGACACACAATTTACCTATATAACAAACAGGCACATGTACCCTGAACCTAATACAAGTTTTTTTTAAAATGGCAAGTGAACATAGGTAAAACTTAAAACTGGAAGGTATATACGGCACCCTCCAGAACTGGCAGATAAATGGAAGCTAAGTGTCTGAGAAACCAGGTTATCCAGAAATTCTTACTATTTTTTTTTCCTTTTCCATTGAAGTACTGCCTCAGCATACAAGTGTGCTATTTTTTCTCCCATTTAAAAAAAAAATTCTCAACCTCCATTACTGCACCATTTCTTTCCTTCCCTTTAGAGCAGAACTCCTTAAAGAAATGGCCATTGATACACACTTCAGTGATTCAAGTTTTCACTCTTAGAAACAATACTACTATTAACACTGTCGTATATGTCTCCTGGTGCCTATATGCTGAAGTTTCTCTTGGATATATACATGGGAATGAAATTGCTGGATCATAGAGAGTATGAGTTTTCCATTTTTCAAAATAATGCCAAGTTATTTTCCAATGGTTAAACAAATTTACACTCTACTCAGCAATATACCCTTGAATAGATCTCTCCAGTATTTGGTATTGTCTGTCTTAATTTTTGTCAGTCAAATAGATGTAAAGTATTATCTCACTAATATTTATTTATAACAGCAGTATTCACAATAGACAAAAGGTGGAAACAGCCCAAATGTCCATCATCTGATGAATGGATAAACAAATGAGATATATCTATACAATGGACTATTACTCAGCAATAAAAAAGAAAAAAGTGAGAGAGGGAAGATGGTGGTTAGGAGACAGGGCTGATGTGCAGCTCCCACTTGGATGGAGAGAACAGTGTGGGCAGATTCACACCATGAACTTTTGCTCCAGCAACCACTGCAGGAGCATATCAGGAAAACCATAACAAATCACAGATCCTTTAAAATAAGTGGCAGGCCCCTGCAAATTCCACAAGACAGGTGAAAAACTCTGGTGCTATCTCAAAAACACCACCTCCCAGCTAGAGGCCAACCAACTCAGGACATTACAGCAACTCATGACAGAACAACCCTGTTCCAAGGAAGGAGAAAATAACAGCTAATTCCACTGCCTGCAACATCCTGGCTAACCAGTGGTTCTGAATCTGTCCACGTGACAGCTTCACTGCTGGCATAACCAGCATTTGAGAAAGCAGGCACTCTAAACATATCTACAACCAAGGACTCTCACAGAGTCTACGTCACTCCCCTACCATCTCTACCAGAACAGGTGCTGGTATCCACAACTGGGAGACCTAAAGACGAATTGCAACACAGGAATCTTCACAGACATTCTCCAGCACCAGCCTAGAGTCTGGTAGCACCACTGGGTGGCTAGACCCAGAAGAGCAATAACAATCAGTCTGCAGACTGGCTCGCCAGAGCCCCATCTTTAGGGAAAGGAGGAGTGTACCACATCAAGGGATCACCCCATGAGTCAAAAGAATCTGAGCAGCAGCCCTTGAGTTTCAGATTGTTCCACTGAAATAGTCTATCCAAATGAGCAAGAATCAGAAAAGTAATTCTGGTATTATGACAAAACAAGTTTCTATAACACCCCCAAAAGACCACACTAGCTCCCAGCAATGGATCCAAACCAAGAAGAAATCTCTGAATTGCCAGATTAAAATTTCAGAAGGGTGATTATTCGGCTTCTCGAAAAGATACCAGAGAAAGAAATTTTAAAAAACAATACAGAGTATGGATGAAAAACGCTCCAGAGAAATAGATATCATAAAGAAAAAACTATCACAACATCTGAAAATGAAAGACACATTTAGAGAAACACAAAATGCACTTAAAAGTTTCAACAACAGAATCAAACAAGTAGAAGAAGAACTTCAGAGCTCAAAGACAACTCTTTTAAATTAACCCAATCAGACAAGGACAAAGAAAAAAGAATATTTTAAAAAAATAAACAGGCCAGGCACGGCTGGGATTACCCAGCACTTTGGGAGGCCGAGGCAGGCAGATTGCCTGAGGTCAGGAGTTCGAGGCCAGTCTGGCCAACATGGTGAAACCCCGTCTCTATGAAAAACACAAAAAAATTAGCCGGGTGTGGTGGTGTGCGCCTGTAATCCCAGCTACTCAGGAAGGTGAGGCAGGGGAATTGCTTGAACCAGGGAGGTGGAGGTTGCGGTGAGCCGAGATCAGGCCACTGCACTCCAGCCTGGGCAAGAGAGAGAGACTCCATCTCAAGAAAAAAAAAAAAAAAAAAGAACAAGACCTCCAAGAAACTTGGGACTATGTTAAACAGCCAAATCTAAGAATAATTGGTGTTCCTGAGGAAGAAGAGAAATCTAAGAGTTTGGAAAACATGTTTGAGGGAATAATCAAGGAAAACTTCCCTGGCCTCACTAGAGATCTAGACATCCAAATACAAGAAACTCTAAGAACATCTGGGAAATTCATCAGAAAAAGATCATCACCCAGGCACATAGTCATCAGGTTATCTAAAGTCAAGACAAAGGAAAGAATCTTAAGAACTGTGAGGCAAAAGCATCAGGTAACCTATAAAGGAAAACCTATCAGGTTAACAACAGATTTTTCAGCAGAAACCTTACAAGCCAGAAGGGACTGGGTTTATCTTTAGCCTCCTCAGATAAAATAATTGCCAGCCAAGCATTTTGTATCTAGCAAAACAAAGCTTCATAAATGAAGGAAAAATAAAGTATTTTTTAGACAAAAAAAAATGCCAAGAGAATTCACCACTACCAAGCCAGCACTACAAGAATTGCTAAAAGGAGTTCTAAATCTTGAAACAAAACCTTGAAATATACCAAAATAGAAACTCCTTAAGCATAAATCTCACAGGGCCTATAAACCAATAACACAATGGAAAAAAAAAAACAAGGTATTTAGTCAACAACTAGCACTATGAGTAAAACAGCACCTCACATCTCAGTACTAATGTTGAATGTAAATGGCCGAAATGCTCCACTTAAAATTTACAGAATGTCTCAAGGATCCAGAACTAGAAATACCATTTGACCCAGCCATCCCATTACTGGGTATATACCCAAGGATTATAAATCATGCTGCTATAAAGACACATGCACACGTATGTTTATTGCGGCACTATTCACAATAGCAAAGACTTGGAACCAACCCAAATGCCCATCAATGATAGACTGGATTAAGAAAATGTGGCACATATATACCATCGAATACTATGCAGCCATAAAAAAGGATGATTTCATGTCCTTTGTAGGGACATGGATGAAGCTGGAAACCATCATTCTGAGCAAACTATCGCAAGGACAGAAAACCAAACACCGCATGGTCTCACTCATAGGTGGAAATTGAACAAGGAGAACACTGGGACAGAGGGCGGGGAACATCACACACCGGGGCCTGTCGTGCGGTTAGGGGGAGGGGGGAGGGATAGCATTAGGAGATATACCTAATGTAAATGACAAGTTAATGGGTGCAGCACACCAACATGGCACATGTATACCTATGTAACAAACCTGCACATTGTGCACATGTACCCTAGAACTTAAATTATAATAATTTTAAAAACTATTTTAAATAATTTTAACAGCTTTAAATAATCTATTATATGCCAATACATAAATAACAACATTTCAAGTTAAAAAAAAATTTTTACAGAATGACAGAATGGATAAAAATCCACCAAACAATTATCTGCTGTCTTCAAGATACTCACCTGATACATGAGGACTCACATAAATCTAAGAGAAAGTGGTGGAGAAAGATATTCCCTGCAAATGGAAACCAAAAGTGAGCAGGAGTAGTTATTCTTGTATCAGACAAATTTTAAAGCCACAACAGTTTAAAAAGATAAAGAGGGACATTATATAATGATTTAAAAAATCAGTCCAACAGGAAAATATCACAATCCTAAATATATATGCACCTAACATGGGAGGTCCCAAATTTATGAAACAATTACACTAGACATAAGAAATGAGATAGATGGCAACATAATAATAGTGGAGACTTCGGTACTCCACTAACAGCACTAGACAGGTCATCAAGACAGAAAATCAACAAAGAAACAATGGACTTAAGCTATACCCTAAAAGAAATGGACTTATCAGATATTTATAGAACATTCTACCCAAAAACTGCAGAATATACACTCTTTTCATCAGCACGTAGAACATTCTCCAAGATAGACCATATGATAGACCACAAAACAAATATCAATAAATTTTTTCAAATTGAAATTATATCAAGTACCCTCTCAGACCACAGTGGAATAAAACTGGAAATTCACTGAATGGTAATAGGAACACAACTTACCAAAGCCTCTGGGATACAGTAAAAGTGGTGGTTAGGAGGGAAGTTCATAGCATTAAATGCCTACATCAAAAAAACTGAAGAGCACAAATAATCTAAGGTCACACTTCAAGAAACTAGAAAAACAAGAACAAACCAAACCCAAACCGAGCAGAAGAAAATAAATAACAAAGATCAGAGCAGAACTAAATGAAATTGAAACCAAAAAACAATACAAAAGATAAATGAAACAAAAAGCTGGTTCTTTGAAAAGATAAACAAAATTAATAGACCATTAGCAAAGTTAACCAAGAAAAGAAAGATCCAAATAAGCTCAATTAGAAATGAAACAGGAGATATTACAACTGATACCACAGAAATACAAAAGATCATTCAAGACTACTGTGAACGCCGTTACACACACACACTAGAAAATCTAGAGGAGACAGATAAACTCCTGGAAATATACAACCCTCCTCGATTAAACTAGGAAGAAATAGAAACTGAACAGACCAATAACAAGCAGCAAGATTAAAACAGTAATTTTTAAAATTGCCAACAAAAAAAATGTCCAAGAGCAGATGGATTCACAGCTGAATTCTCTCAGGCATTCAAAAAGAATATACCGAGCATTCATTCAGGAAGCACTCATGAAGAGCCTACCAGGTGCCGGCCCTGGCCTGGGGCTGGGCTTAGAGCCGGGGCAGGATGGCCCGGCATCTGCTCCATGGAGCTCACAGCCCAGCCTAGGCTGGCAACTCCAGTCTGCCCCAGTTTCCAGTTCTGTCCATTCCCCTTGCAGCTCAGCATGGATGAAGCTTTGAAATCCAGCTCTCCCTCTCCCTCTCCCTCTCCCGTCTCCCCACGGTCTCCCTCTCCCTCTGTTTCCACGGTCTCCCTCTCATGCCGAGCCGAAGCTGGACTGTACTGCTGCCATCTCGGCTCACTGCAACCTCCCTGCCTGATTCTCCTGCCTCAGCCTGCCGAGTGCCTGCGATTGCAGGCACGCGCTGCCACGCCTGACTGGTTTTCGTATTTTTTTTGGTGGAGACGGGGTTTCGCTGTGTTGGCATGGCCGGTCTCCAGCTCCTAACCGCGAGTGATCCGCCAGCCTGGGCCTCCCGAGGTGCCGGGATTGCAGACGGAGTCTCGTTCACTCAGTGCTCAATGGTGCCCCGGCTGGAGTGCGGTGGCGTGATCTCGGCTCGCTACAACCTCCACCTCCCAGCCGCCTGCCTTGGCCTCCCAAAGTGCCGAGATTGCATCCTCTGCCCGGCCGCCACCCCGTCTGGGAAGTGAGGAGCGTCTCTGCCTGGCCGCCCATCGTCTGGGACGTGAGGAGCCCCTCTGCCTGGCTGCCCAGTCTGGGAAGTGAGGAGCGTCTCCGTCCGGCCGCCATCCCATCTAGGAAGTGAGGAGCGCCTCTTCCCGGCAGCCATCCCATCTGGGAAGTGAGGAGCGTCTCTGCCCGGCCGCCCATCGTCTGAGATGTGGGGAGCGCCTCTGCCCCGCCACCCCGTCTGGGAAGTGAGGAGCACCTCTGCCCGGCCGCGACCCCGTCTGGGAGGTGAGGAGCGTCTCTGCCCAGCCACCCCGTCTGAGAAGTGAGGAGACCCTCTGCCTGGCAACCGCCCCGTCTGAGAAGTGAGGAGCCCCTCCGCCCAGCAGCCGCCCCGTCTGAGAAGTGAGGAGCCTCTCCGCCCGGCAGCCACCCCGTCTGGGAAGTGAGGAGCGTCTCCGCCCGGCAGCCACCCCCTCCGGGAGGGAGGTGGGGGGGGTCAGCCCCCGCCCGGCCAGCCGCCCCGTCCGGGAGGGAGGTGGGGGGGTCAGCCCCCCACCCAGCCAGCCGCCCGGTCTGGGAGGGAGGTGGGGGAGTCAGCCCCCCGCCGGCCAGCTGCCCCGTCCGGGAGGTGAGGGGCGCCTCTGCCCGGCCGCCCCTACTGGGAAGTGAGGAGCCCCTCTGCCCGGCCAGCCGCCTCGTCTGGGAGGGAGGTGGGGGGGTCAGCCCCCCGGCCGGCCAGCCGCCCGTCCGGGAGGGAGGTGGGGGGGGTCAGCCCCCCGCCCGGCCAGCCGCCCCATCCGGGAGGGAGGTGGGGGGGTCAGCCCCCCGCCCAGCCAGCTGCCCCATCCAGGAGGTGAGGGTCGCCTCTGCCCAGCCGCCCCTACTGGGAAGTGAGGAGCCCCTCTGCCCGGCCAGCCGCCCCGTCCGGGAGGGAGGTGGGGGGTCAGCCCCCCGCCCGGCCAGCCGCCCCGTCTGGGAGGTGAGGGGCGCCTCTGCCCGGCCGCGCCTACTGGGAAGTGAGGAGCCCCTCTGCCCGGCCACCACCCCGTCTGGGAGGTATGCCCAACAGCTCATTGAGAACGGGCCATGATGACAATGGCGGTTTTGTAGAATAGAAAGGGGGGAAAGGTGGGGAAAAGATTGAGAAATCGGATGGTTGCCGTGTCTGTGTAGAAAGAAGTAGACATGGGAGACTTTTCATTTTGTTCTGCACTAAGAAAAATTCTTCTGCCTTGGGATCCTGTTGATCTGTGACCTTACCCCCAACCCTGTGCTCTCTGAAACATGTGCTGTGTCCACTCAGGGTTAAATGGATTAAGGGCGGTGCAAGATGTGCTTTGTTAAACAGATGCTTGAAGGCAGCATGCTCGTTAAGAGTCGTCACCACTCCCTAATCTCAAGTACCCAGGGACACAAACACTGCGGAAGGCCGCAGGGTCCTCTGCCTAGGAAAACCAGAGACCTTTGTTCACTTGTTTATCTGCTGACCTTCCCTCCACTATTGTCCTATGACCCTGCCAAATCCCCCTCTGTGAGAAACACCCAAGAATGATCAATAAAAAATAAATAAATAAATAAATAAATAAATAAATAAAAGAATATACCAATCTTACTTAAACTGTTCCAAAAGATAAAGAGGGAATCCTCCCTAAATCGTTCTGTGAAGGCAGTATCACCCGAACACCAAAACCAGGAAAGGACATAACAAAAAAATAGAACATTACAGACCAATATCCTTGAAGAACATAGACGCAAAAATCCTTAACAAAATACAAGCTAACCGAATCCAACAAATACTAGCTAACCAAATCCAATACTAGCTAGCCGAATATCAAAATGATAATCCACCATAATCAAGTGGGTTTCATACCAGGGATGCAGGAATGGTTTAACATATACAAGTCAATAAATGTGATACATCACATAAACAGAATTAAAAACAAACATCATATGATCATCTCAATAGATACATAAAAAGCATTTGACAAAATCCAGCATTGCTTTATAATTAAAACCCTCAGCAAAATCAGCATACCGCAAGGTAATAAAAGCCATCTATGACAAACCCACAGCCAACATTATACTGAATGGAGAAACATGGAAAGCATTCCCCCTGAGAACTGGAACAAGGCAAGGATGTCCACTTGCACCACTTCTATTCAACATAGTACTGGAAGTCTTAGACAGAGCAATTAGACAAAAGAAAGAAATAAAGGGCACCCAAATCGGTAGTGGAAGCCAAACTGTCACTGTGTGCTAATGATATGATCATATACCTGACTGAGAATAGTGGCTCACGTCTGTAATCCTAACACTTTGGGAGGTCGAGGCACATGAATCACTTGAGGTCAGGAGTTTGAGACCAGCCTGGCCAACATGGTAAAACCCCATCTTTACTAAAAATACAAAAACTACCCAGGCATGATGGTGGGCACCTGTAATCCCAGCTACTTGGGAGGCTGAAGCAGAGGAATCTGCTTGAATTCAAGAGGCGCAGATTGCAGTGAGCTGAGATTGCACCACTGCACTCCAGGCTAGGTGACAGAATGAGACTCCATCTCAAAAAATAAAAATAAAGTAAAAATAAAAATGATCATATACCTAGAAAACCCTAAAGACTCATCCAAAAAGCTCCTAAATCTGATAAATGAATTCAGTAAAGATTCCGGATACAAAATTAATGTATGCAAATCAGTAGCACTGCTATACACCAACAATGACCAAGCTGAGAAATCAAGAACTCAACCCATTTTACAACAGCTGCAACAAAAAAAATAAAATACTTAGGAATATACCTAACCAAGGAGGTGAAAGGAAGACTATGAAACACTGCTAAAAGAAATCATAGATGACACAAACAAATGGAAACATGTCCTATGCTTACAGATGAGTAGAATCAATATTGTAAAAATAAATATACTGCCAAAAGCAATCTACAAATTCAATGCAGTTCCCATCAAAATAGCATCATCATTCTTCACAGAACTAGAAAGAACAATCCTAAAATTCATATGGAACCAAAAAGGAGACCACATAACGAAAGAAAGACTAAACAAAAATAACAAATCTGGTGATATCACATTACCCCCACTTCAAACTATGGTACAAGTTTATAGTTACCAAAATAGCATGGTACTAGTATTAAAAATAGGCAGGTTGGCCGGGCACAGTGGCTCACACCTGTAATCCCAGCACTTTGGGAGGCTGAGGCAGGCGGATCACCTACCTGAGATCGGGAGTTCGAGACCAGCCTGACCAACATGGTGAAACCCCCATCTCTACTAAAAATACAAAATTAGCCAGCCGTGGTGGTGCATGCCTGTAATCACAGCTACTCCGGAGGCTGAGGCAGGAGAATTGCTTGAACCTGGGAGGCAGAGATTGTGGTGAGCCGAGATCGCGCCATTGCACTCCAGCCTGGGCAACAAGAGTGAAACCCTGAATTTGGGGGAGGAGCCAAGATGGCCGAATAGGAACAGCTCCCGTCTACAGCGCCCAGCGTGAGCGACGCAGAAGACGGGTGATTTCTGCATTTCCATCTGAGGTACTGGGTTCATCTCACCAGGGAGGGCCAGACAGTGGGCACAGGCCAGTGGGCACGCCCACCGTGCGCAAGCCGAAGCAGGGCGAGGCATTGCCTCACCTGGGAAGTGCAAGGGGTCAGGGAGTTCCCTTTCCCAGTCAAAGAAAGGGGTGACGGACGCACCTGGAAAATCTGGTCACTCCCACCCGAATATTGCGCTTTTCAGACCGGCTTAAAAAACGGCGCACCACGAGACTATATCCCACACCTGGCTCGGAGGGTCCTACGCCCACGGAGTCTCGCTGATTGCTAGCACAGCAGTCTGAGATCAAACTGCAAGGCGGCAGCGAGGCTGGGGGAGGGGCGCCCGCCATTGCCCAGGCTTGCTTAGGTAAACAAAGCAGCCAGGAAGCTCGAACAGGGTGGAGCCCACCACAGCTCAAGGAGGCCTGCCTGCCTCTGTAGGCTCCACCTCTGGGGGCAGGGCACAGACAAAAAGACAGCAGTAACCTCTGCAGACTTAAATGTCCCTGTCTGACAGCTTTGAAGAGAGCAGTGGTTCTCCCAGCACGCAGCTGGAGATCTGAGAACCGGCAGACTCCCTCCTCAAGTGGGTCCCTGACCCCTGACCCCTGAGCAGCCTAACTGGGAGGCACCCCCCACCAGGGGCACACTGACACCTCACAGGGCAGGGTATTCCAACAGATCTGCAGCTGAGGGTCCTGTCTGTTAAAAGAAAAACTAACAAACAGAAAGGACATCCACACCAAAAACCCATCTGTACATCACCATCATCAAAGACCAAAAGTAGATAAAACCACAAAGATGGGGAAAAAACAGAACAGAAAAACTGGAAACTCTAAAAAGCAGAGTGTCTCTCCTCCTCCAAAGGAACGCAGTTCCTCACCAGCAACGGAACAAAGCTGGATGGGGAATGACTTTGACGAGCTGAGAGAAGAAGGCTTCAGACGATCAAATTACTCTGAGCTACGGGAGGACATTCAAACCAAAGGCAAAGAAGTTGAAAACTTTGAAAAAAATTTAGAAGAATGTATAACTAGAATAACCAATACAGAGAAGTGCTTAAAGGAGCTGATGGAGCTGAAAACCAAGGCTCAAGAACTACGTGAAGAATGCAGAAGCCTCAGGAGCCGATGCGATCAACTGGAAGAAAGGGTATCAGCAATGGAAGATGAAATGAATGAAATGAAGTGAGAAGGGAAGTTTAGAGAAAAAAGAATAAAAAGAAATGAGCAAAGCCTCCAAGAAATGTGGGACTATGTGAAAAGACCAAATCTACGTCTGATTGGTGTACCTGAAAGTGATGGGGAGAATGGAACCAAGTTGGAAAACACTCTGCAGGATATTATCCAGGAGAACTTCCCCAATCTAGCAAGGCAGGCCAACGTTCAGATTCAGGAAATACAGAGAACGCCACAAAGATACTCCTCGAGAAGAGCAACTCCAAGACACATAATTGTCAGATTCACCAAAGTTGAAATGAAGGAAAAAATGTTAAGGGCAGCCAGAGAGAAAGGTCGGGTTACCCTCAAAGGGAAGCCCATCAGACTAACAGCGGATCTCTCGGCAGAAACCCTACAAGCCAGAAGAGAGTGGGGGCCAATATTCAACATTCTTAAAGAAAAGAATTTTCAACCCAGAATTTCATATCCAGCCAAACTAAGCTTCATAAGTGAAGGAGAAATAAAATACTTTACAGACAAGCAAATGTTGACAGATTTTGTCATGACCAGGCCTGCCCAAAAAGAGCTCCTGAAGGAAGCACTAAACATGGAAAGGAACCCCCGGTACCAGCCGCTGCAAAATCATGCCAAAATGTAAAGACCATCGAGACTAGGAAGAAACTGCATCAACTAACGAGCAAAATAACCAGCTAACATCATAATGACAGGATCAAATTCACACATAACAATATTAACTTTAAATGTAAATGGACTAAATGCTCCAATTAAAAGACACAGACTGGCAAATTGGATAAAGAGTCAAGACCCATCAGTGTGCTGTATTCAGGAAACCCATCTCACGTGCAGAGACACACATAGGCTCAAAATAAAAGGATGGAGGAAGATCTACCAAGCAAATGGAAAACAAAAAAAGGCAGGGGTTGCAATCCTAGTCTCGGATAAAACAGACTTTAAACCAACAAAGATCAAAAGAGACAAAGAAGGCCATTACCTAATGGTAAAGGGATCAATTCAACAAGAAGAGCTAACTATCCTAAATATATATGCACCCAATACAGGAGCACCCAGATTCATAAAGCAAGTCCTGAGTGACCTACAAAGAGACTTAGACTCCCACACATTAATAATGGGAGACTTTAACACCCCACTGTCAACATTAGACAGATCAACGTGACAGAAAGTCAACAAGGATACCCAGGAATTGAACTCAGCTCTGCACCAAGCAGACCTAATAGACATCTACAGAACTCTCCACCCCAAATCAACAGAATATACATTTTTTTCAGCACCACACCACACCTATTCCAAAATTGACCACATAGTTGGAAGTAAAGCTCTCCTCAGCAAATGTAAAAGAACAGAAATTATAACAAACTATCTCTCAGACCACAGTGCAATCAAACTAGAACTCAGGATTAAGAATCTCACTCAAAGCCGCTCAACTACATGAAAACTGAACAACCTGCTCCTGAATGACTACTGGGTACATAACGAAATGAAGGCAGAAATAAAGATGTTCTTTGAAACCAGCGAGAACAAAGACACAACATACCAGAATCTCTGGGACGCATTCAAAGCAGTGTGTAGAGGGAAATTTATAGCACTAAATGCCCACAAGAGAAAGCAGGAAAGATACAAAATTGACACCCTAACCTCACAATTAAAAGAACTAGAAAAGCAAGAGCAAACACATTCAAAAGCTAGCAGAAGGCAAGAAATAACTAAAATCAGAGCAGAACTGAAGGAAATAGAGACACAAAAAACCCTTCAAAAAATTAATGAATCCAGGAGCTGGTTTTTTGAAAGGATCAACAAAATTGATAGACCGATAGCAAGACGAATAAAGAAAAAAAGAGAGAAGAATCAAATAGACACAATAAAAAATGATAAAGGGGATATCACCACCGAGCCCACAGAAATACAAACTACCATCAGAGAATACTACAAACACCTCTATGCAAATAAACTAGAAAATCTAGAAGAAATGGATAAATTCCTCGACACATACACTCTCCCAAGACTAAACCAGGAAGAAGTTGAATCTCTGAATAGACCAATAACAGGAGCTGAAATTGTGGCAATAATCAATAGTTTACCAACCAAAAAGAGTCCAGGACCAGATGGATTCACAGCCGAATTCTATCAGGGGTACAAGGAGGAACTGGTACCATTCCTTCTGAAACTATTCCAATCAATAGAAAAAGAGGGAATCCTCCCTAACTCATTTTATGAGGCCAGCATCATTCTGATACCAAAGCCGGGCAGAGACACAACCAAAAAAGAGAATTTCAGACCAATATCCTTGATGAACATTGATGCAAAAATCCTCAATAAAATACTGGCAAACCAAATCCAGCAGCACATCAAAAAGCTTATCCACCATGATCAAGTGGGCTTCATCCCTGGGATGCAAGGCTGGTTCAATATACGCAAATCAGTAAATGTAATCCAGCATATAAACAGAGCCAAAGACAAAAACCACATGATTATCTGAATAGATGCAGAAAAAGCCTTTGACAAAATTCAACAACCCTTCATGCTAAAAACTCTCAATAAATTAGGTATTGATGGGACGTATTTCAAAATAATAAGAGCTATCTATGACAAACCCACAGCCAATATCATACTGAATGGGCAAAAACTGGAAGCATTCCCTTTGAAAACTGGCACAAGACAGGGATGCCCTCTCTCACCACTCCTATTCAACATAGTGTTGGAAGTTCTGGCCAGGGCAATTAGGCAGGAGAAGGAAATAAAGGGTATTCAATTAGGAAAAGAGGAAGTCAAATTGTCCCTGTTTGCAGACGACATGATTGTATATCTAGAAAACCCCATTGTCTCAGCCCAAAATCTCCTTAAGCTGATAAGCAACTTCAGCAAAGTCTCAGGATACAAAATCGATGTGCAAAAATCACAAGCATTCTTATACACCAACAACAGACAAACAGAGAGCCAAATCATGAGTGAACTCCCATTCACAATTGCTTCAAAGAGAATAAAATACCTAGGAATCCATCTTACACGGGATGGGAAGGACCTCTTCAAGGAGAACTACAAACCACTGCTCAAGGAAATAAAAGAGTATACAAACAAATGGAAGAACATTCCATGCTTATGGGTAGGAAGAATCAATATCGTGAAAATGGCCATACTGCCCAAGGTAATTTACAGATTCAATGCCATCCCCATCAAGCTACCAATGCCTTTCTTCACAGAATTGGAAAAAACTACTTTAAAGTTCATATGGAACCAAAAAAGAGCCCGCATCGCCAAGTCAATCCTAAGCCAAAAGAACAAAGCTGGAGGCATCACACTACCTGACTTCAAACCATACTACAAGGCTACATTAACCAAAACAGCATGGTACTGGTACCAAAACAGAGATATAGATCAATGGAACAGAACAGAGCCCTCAGAAATAACGCCGCATACCTACAACTATCTGATCTTTGACAAACCTGAGAAAAACAAGCAATGGGGAAAGGATTCCCTATTTAATAAATGGTGCTCGGAAAACTGGCTAGCCATATGTAGAAAGCTGAAACTGGATCCCTTCCTTACACCTTATACAAAAATCAATTCAAGATGGATTAAAGATTTAAACGTTAGACCTAAAACCATAAAAACCCTAGAAGAAAACCTAGGCATTACCATTCAGGACATAGGCATGGGCAAGGACTTCATGTCCAAAACACCAAAAGCAATGGCAACAAAAGACAAAATTGACAAATGGGATCTAATTAAACTAAAGAGCTTCTGCACAGCAAAAGAAACTACCATCAGAGTGAACAGGCAACCTACAAAATGGGAGAAAATTTTCGCAACCTACTCATCTGACAAAGGGCTAATATCCAGAATCTACAATGAACTCAAACAAATTTACAAGAAAAAAACAAACAACCCCATCAAAAAGTGGGCGAAGGACATGAACAGACACTTCTCAAAAGAAGACATTTATGCAGCCAAAAAACACATGAAAAAATGCTCACCATCACTGGCCATCAGAGAAATGCAAATCAAAACCACAATGAGATACCATCTCACACCAGTTAGAATGGCAATCATTAAAAAGTCAGGAAACAACAGGTGCTGGAGAGGATGTGGAGAAATAGGAACACTTTTACACTGTTGGTGGGACTGTAAACTAGTTCAACCATTGTGGAAGTCAGTGTGGCGATTCCTCAGGGATCTAGAACTAGAAATACCATTTGACCCAGCCATCCCATTACTGGGTATATACCCAAAGGACTATAAATCATGCTTCTATAAAGACACATGCACAAGTATGTTTATTGCGGCATTATTCACAATAGCAAAGACTTGGAACCAACCCAAATGTCCAACAATCATAGACTGGATTAAGAAAATGTGGCACATATACACCATGGAATACTATGCAGCCATAAAAAATGATGAGTTCATGTCCTTTGTAGGGACATGGATGAAATTGGAAATCATCATTCTCAGTAAACTATCGCAAGAACAAAAAACCAAACACCGCATATTCTCACTCATAGGTGGGAATTGAACAATGAGATCACATGGACACAGGAAGGGGAATATCACACTCTGGGGACTGTGGTGGGGTGGGGAGAGGGGGGAGGGATAGCATTGGGAGATATACCTAATGCTAGATGACGAGTTAGTGGGTGCAGCACACCAGCATGGCACATGTATACATATGTAACTAACCTGCACAATGTGCACATGTACCCTAAAACTTAAAGTATAATTTAAAAAAGAAAAAGAAAAAGAAAAAAAAAAGCAGCTTCCATAAAAAAAAAAAAAAAAAAAAAAGAGTGAACCCCTATCTCAAAAAAAAAAAAAGAAAAAAAAGAAGAAAAATAGGCACATAGGCCAATGGAACAAAATAGGGAACCCAGAAATAAAGCCAGATATTTACAGGCAACTGATCTTCGACAAAGCAAACAAAAACATAAAGTGGGGAAAGGCCATCCTATTAAACAAATGGTGCTGGGATAACTGGCAAGCCACATGTAGAAGAATGAAGCTGGATCCTCATTTCTCACCTTATACAAAAATCAACTCAAGGTGGAACAAAGACAAACCTAAGACCTGCAACCATAAAAATTCTAGAAGATAACTTCGGAAAAACTCTTCTAGACATTGGCTTAGGCAAAAAGGTCATGACCAAGAACCGAATAGCAAATGCAACATAAAGAGAAATAGACGGGACCTAAGTCAACTAAAAAGCTTCTGCACAGCAAAAGAAGTAATCAGCAGAGTAAACAGACACCCCACAGAGTGGGAGAAAATATTCACAAACTGTGCATCCGACAAAGGACTAATATCCACAATCTACAAGAAACTCAAATCAGCAAGAAAGGAAACAAATAATCCCATTAAAATGTGGGCAAAGGACACAAATACATAATTCTTAAAGGAAGACATACAAATGACCAGCAAACATATGAAAAAATGCCCAACATCACTAATTATCAGGAAAATGCAAATTAAAACTGGGATGAGATACCACTTTACTCCTGCAAGAATGGCCATAATTAAAAACTCAAAAAATAACCGATGTTGGCATGGGTGTGGTGAAAAGGGAACGCCTGTACACTGCTGGTGCGAACATAAACTAGTACAACCGCTATGGAAAACAGTAGGGAGATTCCTTAAAGAACTAAAAGTAGAGCTACCATTTGATCCAACAATCCCACTAGTCGGTGTCTACCAAGAGGAAAAGAAGTCATTGTATGAAAAAGACACTTGCACAAACTTGTTTATAGCAACACAATTCACAATTGAAAAAATATAACCAGCCTAAAAATATAGAACCAGCCTAAATGCCCATCAGCCAACAAGTGGGTTGGTTGTATACCAGAAAATGGGGCATATGTATACCATGGAATACTACTCAGCCATTATTTCATTTATATGAAATAATGGCATTCTCAGCAACCTGGATGGAGCTGGAGACCATTATTCTAAGTGAAGTAACTCGGGAATGGAAAACCATGTATCATATGTTCTCACTTACAAGCGGGAGCTAAGCCATGAGGTCACAAAGGCATAAGAATGATATAATGGACTTTAGGGACTGTGGGGGAAAGGTGGGAGGTGGGTGAGGGATGAAAGACTACACATTGACACTGGATGCAGTGGCTCACGCCTCTAATCTTAACACTTTGGGTGGCCAAGGCAGGTGGATCACTTGAGGCCAGGAGTTAGAGACCAGCCTGGCCAACATGGTGAAACCCCGTCTCTACTAAAAATACAAAAATTAGGTGTGGTGATGCGTGGCTGTAATCCCAGCTACTCGGGAGGCTGAGGAGCAAGAATCACTTGAACCCGCGGAGAGGGCAGAGGTTGCAGTGAGCCGAGATCACGCCACTGTCCTCCAGCCTGGGCACCAGGGCAAGACTCCATGAAAAAAAAAATACTACATATTGGGTACAGTTCAGTGATGGGTACACCAAAATCTCAGAAATCACCACTAAATAAGTTTTTCATGTAACCAAACACCGCCTGACCCTAAAAGTATTGAAATAAAATTTTTTTAAAAAAAATTTTAAAGAAAAAAAAGAGCGAGAGAGTGATGACACCCCTCTCTCTCTTTCTCTCTCTCTTTCTTTCAAAACCTAGCTGACCTTCCCCTGAAAGTAGGTCATGAGATCCTCACTCCAGATAAACGGCTTCTCCTTATACCCAAAGGAAAGAAATGTTCTCGAGACACAGTGGCACCAAGAAGAATCTCAACAAATAGGTTTTGCTAAGTTCCCCCAGTTTACTACCATTAGATGACATCCATCTGTCATCCAATCATACCTCTGCAGCCAAACCGTCCTGAAAAATACACAACTTTCCCTATTTCTTTAAGTCTTTATTTCTGCAGGTTCCTGTGTAATCTAAAATTTATATTAAATAAATTTGTGTGCTTTTCTCCTGTTAGGAAAAAAATGGCTGGGCACGGTGACTCATGCCTGTAATCCCAGCACCTTGGGAGGCCAAGGCAGGTGGATCACTTGCTGCCAGGAGTTCGAGACCAGCCTGGCCAACATGGCGAAATCCCATCTCTACTAAAAATACAAAAAAATTATATGGGCATGGTGGCCCCTGCCTGTAGTCCCAGCTACTCAGGAGGCAGAGGCACGAGAATTGCTTGAACCTGGGAGGCAGAGGTTCAGCGAGCTGAGATCATACCACTGCACTCCAACCTGGGCCACAGAGTGAGACTCAGCCAAAATAAAATAAAATAAAATAAATAAAATAAAATAAAATAAAATAAAATAAAATAAAATAGAACCGAGACACAAAAGGCCACATACTGTATGATTCCATTATATGAAATATCCAGAACAGGCAAATGTATAGAGACAGGAAGTAGGTAAGTGGTTACCAGGGGCTCGGGGAAAATTGGAATGGAGAGTGCATGCTTAATTGGTAATGGGGTTTCCTCTTGGGATGATGAAAAGTTCTGGAGCTAGATAGTGGTGTTCATTGTACAACATTGTGAATGTACTTAATGCCATTGAATTGTGCACTTTAAAATGCACAAGGTGGTAAGTTTTATACAGTATTATTTATACTTTGCCACAACTTTTTAAAATGTTACTTTGCTGTGGTTTGGATTTACATTTATCCAAATACAATTGAAGTTGAGCATCTCCTCATATATACTTGAACCATATGTGTTACTTTGCCTGTGACACACCTATTGATATTTTGTGCCTGTTTTTCTATTGGCTTGTCTTTTTCTTTACTTATTTGCAGGAGTTCTTTATATACTTTTTCTCTATGCATTTTTTAGATTTATTTTTTAAATTGGCACAACTGTACATAATTATGAAGAACATAGTCATGTTTCAATACATATAATGTATAGTGATCAGATCAGAGTATTTAGCATACGTCATCCCAAACATTTATCATTTATTTGTGTTGGGAACATTCAGTATCGTCTCTTCTAGTTACTTGGAAAATATATATAATATGTCATTGTTAACTAAAGTAACACTACAGTGCTATAGAATACTAGAACTTATTCCCCCATCTAGCTGAAATTTTGTATCTTTTAACAAATCTCTCCTTATCACCCCCACTTCCCTCTACCCTTCTCAGCCTCTAGTAACCTCTGTTCCACTATTCTATAAAATCAACTATGCTGGATTCCACATATGAGCGAGCTCATACGATATTTGTCTTTCTGTGTCTGGCTTATTAACATAATGTCCTCCAGGTTCTTCTGTATTGCCACAAATAACAGGATTTCATTCTTTTTTATGACTGAATAGTATTCGCATGTGTGTGTGTGTGTGTGTGCACGTGCACACATTTTCTTTATCCATTCATCCGTTGAAAGACACTTAGGTTGCTTCCATGTCTTGGCTATTGTGATTACTGCTACAATAAACATGGAGGTGCCAATATTTCTTTGACAAACTGACATCCTTTCCTCTGGATAAATACCTAGTAATGGGATTGCTGGATACTATTCCTTTATTAGTTGATAATTTGCAAGTATCACCCACCAATTTGTATCTTGCCCTTTCACATTAAGGAGTCTTAATGAATAGAAGCCTTAATTATATTTATTAAATTTTATTTTATGATTATCATTTTTACCTTAAAAACACTCTTGTACTCTGTCAGAATAAATATCCATATTTTCACATAAAAGTGTAAAATTTTTGCTTTTTATCCTAAGCAAAAAGAACAAAGTTGGAGGCATCAAGCTACCTGACTTCAAGCTATACTACAAGGCTACAGTAACAAACACAGCATGGTACGGGTACCAAAACAGAGATATAGACAAATGGAACAGAACAGAGACCTCAGAAATAACACCACACATCTACAACCATCTGATCTTCAACAAACCTGACAAAAACAAGCAATGGGGAAAGGATTCCCTGTTTAATAAACGGTGCTGGGAAAACTGGCTACCTTTATGCAGAAAACAGAAACTGGACCCCTTCCTTACATCTTGCACAAAAATTAACTCAAGATGGATTAAAGACTTAAATGTAAAACTCAAAACCACAAACACCCTAGCAGAAAACCTAGGCAATACCATTCAGGACATAGGCATGGGCAAAGACTTCATGACTAAAACACCAAAAGCAATTGCAACAAAAGCCAAAATTGACAAATGGGGTCTAATTAAACTAGAGAGCTTCTGCACAGCAAAAGAAACTATCATCAGTGTGAACAGGCAACCTACAGAATGGGAGAAAATTTTTGCAATCTATCCACCTGGCAAAGGTCTAATATCCAAAATCTACAAGGAACTTAAACAAATTTATAAGAAAAAAACAAACATCCCCATCAAAAAGTGGGTGAAGGATATGAACAGACACTTCTCAAAAGAAGACATTTATGCAGCCAACAAACATATGAAGAAAAGCTCATTATCACTGCTCATTAGAGAAATGCAAGTCAAAACCACAATGAGATACTATCTCACGCCGGTTAGAATGGCGATTATTAAAAAGTCAGGAAACAACAGATGCTGGAGAGGATGTGGAGAAATAGGAATGCTTTTACATTGTTGGTAGAAGTGTAAATTAGTTCAAGCATTGTGGAAGACAGTGTGGTGATTCCTGCAGGATCTAGAACCAGAAATACCATTTGACTCAGCAATCCCATTACTGGGTATATACCCAAAGGATTATAAATCATTCTACTATAAAGACACATGCACATGTATGTTTATTGCAGTACTATTTACAATAGCAAAGACTTGAAGCCAACCCAAAAGTCCATCAATGATAGACTGGATAAAGAAAACGTGGCACATATACACCATGGAATATTATGCAGCCACAAAAAAGAATGAGTTCATGTCCTTTGCAGGAACATGGACGAAGCTGGAAACCATCATTCTCAGCAAACTAACACAGGAACAGAAAACCAAGTACTGCATTTTCTCAATCATAAGTGTGAGTTGAACAATAAGAACACATGGACACAAGGAGGGGAACATCACACACCAGGGCCTGTCAGGGGGTGGGGGGCAAGAAGAGGGAGAGCATTAGGAGAAATACCTAAGGCATGTGGGGCTTAAAACCTAGAAGACAGGTTGGTAGGTGCAGCAAACCACCATGGCACATGTATACCTGTGTAACAAACCTGCACATTCTCCACATGCATCCCAGAACTTAAAGTAAAATTTTAAAAACTAAAGAAAAAAAGAAAAAGAAATATAAAAGAAATTTTTAAAAAATTGCTTTCGATGTTTAAGTTCTTTATATAGAACTGAAAGTTTTGTGTATAGCAGGAGGTAGGGATCCAATTTTTCCCCATATGGATAACCAGTTTTCTCAGTTCCATTTCTCCACTGACCTACCATGCCACCTTCATCATATATTACATTTTCATGTGTCGGGTCTCTTTCTAGGCTCTTTAGCTATTGTATTGGCTAATTTATCTATGCCTTGCTAAAAACACTATTTTAATTACTATAGCTTTATACTAAATTTTAATATATGAAGAATTTACCTGTCCTCCGTATTCTTCTTCAGAAGAATCTTAGCCATTTTTTGCCCTTTTATCTTCCACGTAACTATTAAAATCAACTTGACAAGTTCCCTGCCAAAGACCTGTTGGGTTTAGGTCACCATTGCATTAAATCTATAGCTCAATGTTAGGTGTCAAGGGCTGGGGGAGGTTGACATATTTACTATATTAAGGGTTCCTAAAACTGACTATGAATATATACCCATTTACTTAAATCTCCTTTAATGCTATTCAGTAAAGTTTTATGACTTTCTACATATAAGTGTGGCTTAATATTTTGATGGATTTATTCCTAGTTTATTTCTAATATAAATGGTGTCATGGTCTGATAGTTAGGGCTTTTAAATCGTTTGTTACTGGTGTATGACACTGATCAAAGCTAGGCTGTTCTGTTTGAAGAAAGGATGGAGGGAAACCAAGAGCCTGCCTGCTTGGCCTCCCCTCATGATCAAACTCTCTCTCTTCACCAAAGCTGGCACCTCTTTGGAACCAAAGAGTTCTGCCATACAGTTTGAAAACACTGCTCCAGAAGACTAAATAGTTAAGAATAGTCAGTAACTTTTTTTAAAAAAGAAATACATTTTTGTAATTTCCGGACATTGAAAAATTATAAACCCATAAAAATTTTGAAATGTGTTATGCTGAGAAACCAGACTATAGAACAAAATTAAAAGTCAAAATACTAATCATAGTTTATCTAAACCATAAAGTGGTTTAGATAAAGTATCTAAACTATAGTTTATCTAAACTATAATGTGATAAATGTAGCATTTCTAAATATTAAACAAAGAATGGCTTTTTCAATAAGTGATGTTTTTCAATAAGTCATTAACATCTTGGGAAACTTGACTACGTAATGAAACCAATGGTATAGTAAGTAGTTAAAACTCAGCATTAGTCTGCTAGCTTGTGAATTCTGCAGAGCATAACGTGGCTTTTTCATCTTTGTGTCCAGGCAGTGCCTTACATATACAGTAGACACTCCACAAATACTTGAGCTGTTGAATTTACTTCTTTGAGAAGGGATATCCAAGATAGACTAGATTTAAAAGTTGCTATCATGCAAAAGTTTTCTCTGTAGGGAATGGATTGGATGATACATAATTAACTCTTAGAAGCTTTGTGTCTTTGGTAAACTCGGTGATCCAAAGTTGCCTAGTAGCTATCAGAATATTATGCTACATTTTCTTTTCTCTTTTTTTTTTTTTTTTTGAAACGGTGTTTCACTCTTTTTGCCCAGGCTGCAGTGCAATAGTGCACTCTCGGCTCACCGCAACCTCCGCCTCCCAGGTTCAAGTGATTTTCCTGCCTCAGCTTCCTGAGTAGCTGGGATTACAGGCATGTGCCACCATGCCCATCTAATTTTGTATTTTTAGTAGAGACAGGATTTCTCCATGTTGGTCAGGCTGGTCTCAAACTCCTGACCACAGATGATCCACCCACCTTGGCCCCCCAAAGTGCTGGGATTACAGGTGTGAGCCACCGCGCCTGGCCTGTGCTACATTTTCATAAGTTTCCTTCATTCATTCAAGGACTAAGGGAGCCCATACTAGAGCACAGGCAAGAAGTGATAATACATCTCCATCATACCTAGCCAAATACAAACCTGCGCTTGGGGAAACTCTATTTACAATACAGAACTGAAAGCTGTCCCTGAAATCTGCATTGGCAGCAAACAAATATAATTCATTATAGAAAAAATGACCAGAATTAGAAGACATTTATTCCAAAATTTTATCCTAATTACTGTTAATATTTAATATATGATAAGCCTGAGGAAACATCATTGATGAAAGATTATGGAAACAAATGTGGTTGTGACAGTTGGATATCAGGCTGGAAGAGAAATGACTTGGATCTATAGCTTACCCTATATATTACCATTGCCAGGTGAATCAGAGTTAAAGCAATAAGGAGGAATGAATAAGTGGACCATAGAATTTTTAGGACAGTGAAACTACTCTGTGTAGCACTACAATGATGAATGCATGTCATTATACATTTGTCAATACTCATAGAATGTACACCTGAAGTGAACCCTAATGTCAGCTATGGACTTTGGGAGATAATGATGTGCTGATGTAAGTTCATCGATTGTAACAAATATGTCCCTCTGGTGGGATGGTGATAGTAGGGGAAGCTGTGCATGTGTGAAAATGGAGCATATGGGAATTCTCTGCTTTCTGTTCAATTTTGCTGTGAACCTAAAAATGCTCTTAAAAAAAGTATATTAATTTTTTAAAAACTAACAGAAAACAATATTTGTTCCAAAAAGAGAAATACACTAGTGAAGAGATGCAGATTATTCTTCAGGACACAAAGGAGAGGCAGAAAAAAATTTTTTTTTTTTTTGAAACAGAGCCTCACTCTGTTGCCCAGGCTGGAGTGCAGTGGTGCCATCTCGGCTCACTGCAAACTCCGCCTCCCAGGTTCAAGCAATTCTCATGCCTCAACCTCCCGAGTAGCTGGGACTATAAACATGCACCACCACACCTAATTTTTGTATTTTTTTTAGCAGAGATGGGGTTTCACCATGTTGCCCAGGATGGTCTGGAACTCCTGACCTCAAGTGATCTGCCCACCTCGGCCTCCCAAAGTGCTGGGATTATAGGTGTGAGTCACTGCACCCATCAGAGAAAAATTTTTGAATGCAAGTGTTTTTATATAAATATATAGGCATAAAAGATATAGGCAAAATATGTGGTAACAACTGATAAAACTTAAAATATATAAGATTGATACCTTAAACAGTTTTATGGCCAACCACATATTTAGATAAGTAATACACATGAGTTATTTAGCCATTAGAATGCATTTTCTCTGCTTATTGCTTCGTAACTGATTTCTTTGTCTTGAACTCCTGGCCTCAAGTGATCCTCCTGCCTTGGCCTCCCAAAGTGCTGGGATTACAGGCATGAACCACTGTGTCCATCCTCTAACTGGTTTCTTGTATGTAAACTACTTGACCATTTATGAAGTAGAATCTAAGTATTTAGGAAATAATCCAAAGTGAGGAAAAAAGTAACCCTTAGAAAAATCTTCACAGTAGAAGTTTGAAAATGACCAAAATGTTACTTGGTAAGCATTGTATTAATGCAGTGAAATCCCATGTAATTGTTAAAATAGCAGGAATGTGTGCCATATTGATAAATGAAAATGTTTTAAAAATATTGTAAGAGTCTAATTAAATTTTATTTTGTTAGAATTTGGAGGAGAAAATTACTTAAGTGATTGTTCAATTATGAACTTAAGAAACTATAGTTCCTTTTCCTAAAGGTAAAAATAATTCCTTAAGGACCTACTGATGTACCACATTCGTTCAGTCATCAGCTCTCTACTGGACTATTGCATTTACCCTCTTGACTGGTCTCCATTCTTGCTCTAAGTAAAACCATCTTCCTGAAATCAGCCACAGTAACCAATCTAAAAGGCAAACTGATATCACTTGCCTACTTCAGACTCCTCACTTGATTATTCCATTTGATTATTTGATTCACCTTTGTTGCCTACAAAATAAAGTCCAAATTCCCTTTGTATGGTAGACAAGTTCATTACAGCTTACCCCTTGCCTCCCTTACAGCTTAGTCTTTTCTCACTTTTTATGTTCTAGTAATTGTCAACTGTTTCGTGTTCCTTCGACATGCCATACTCTTTCATGATTCCATGATTTTGCTCATGCTTTTCTCTTCTGGCACATGCTACCCACCTTTCTTTATCACCTTAAAAATATTTATCCTTGAGGACAACTCAGACATCATCCTCCAGGCTGAGTTAGAGGCCCCATCTTGAGTTTCTATAGCATCTTTTGCATACTTTTATTTCAGCATCTACCAAATTACATTGAAATTATCTGCAGATAAGTTTGTATTCCCCATTACACTATAAGTTTCTTTAGGGCAGAGGGCATGTTTAATTATCTTTTGTACCAGCACCTAGTTCAGTGGCTGGAATATAGCATGCATTTAATAAATATAATGGGTACTTAAATAATCTTCCAGGCACTTCAGTAGATGCTAGTGACCTTCAAAGATTCCATTTCTGCCATACAGGACCTCACAGCCCACCATACCAAAGAGGATACGGAAAATGACAGGCATGAAAGTACTGTGAACAGTCAGATGAGTCACACTGGGTCAGAGTTGGCTGTCTTTTTAGTCAAATTGCTTACCACCGACAGTGCTCATCCTGGAGCATGAAAGACTGTGGAATTTTTCTCTAAGACTTTTCTGAGAAATAAAACATTTAAAGGCAAGGAGGCAGTAGGAAAAGAAAAAAGGTAATAGTGATCTATAAAATAAAGGATCCATCCCCCTTTTGAGAGTTTTCATGCTCAGGCTTCAATGTGATTGAAAAAATTTTTCAGGCTTGTATTCTCTAGAATCTCAACTGTGATAAGGGTTTATTTTGTAAATAATGGAAGCAGTGGCAGAATCACTTCCTTCCTATTCCTACTCCCAACCTGTTTTATAACGTACACGCATCAACAAATGTATTTTGTGCTATTAGCCAGGCCTAGTGTTAACATATGAGATAAGATTATCTCATTCAGCCTTCATAACAAGCCTATGTAGTAAGTACCATTTACAGGGGAGGAAGTTGAAACTTGAAGAGGTCAAGTAACTTGCCCAAGATTACATCTCTAGTAGGCCTAAGAAGCAGGATTTGAACCCAGGCAGCCTGATTCCAGGGCTCACAGTTTTGATGAGCGCACCATACTTCCTGACCTGTAAAGGGTAAAATACAATAAACGTTCATTACAATTGGTCCATTATAAATTATTCTTGACCTCCGGTAAATGGCAGTTTATAAGACTGAATGGCCCTGGTGCAGTGACTCACACCTGTAATCCCAGTACTTTGGGAAGCCGATCCAGAAGGATCACTTTAGCTGAGGATTTCAAAACCAGCCTGGGTGACATAGTGAGACCCTATCTCCACAAAAAAATACAAAAATGAGCCAGATGTGGTTGCATGTGATTCTGCCACTGCTTCCATTATTTACAAAATAAACCCTTATCACAGTTGAGATTCTAGAGAATACAAGCCTGAAAAATTTTTTCAATCACATTGAAGCCTGTGGTCTCAGCTACTTGGGAAGCTGAGGTGGGAAGATGGCTTGAGCCCGGGAGGTCGAGGCTGAAGTGAACCATGATTTTGCCACTGCACTCTAGCCTAGGTGACAGGCAAGACCACATCTCAAAAAAAAAAAAATTAAATGAATCAAGTTGTCAGTTTTGTTTTATTTTTTAATTAAGGATACTTTGAGACCTATAGAAGTATTAGTTGCTATCATAAGCCTTCTAATAGTAGAGTGTTTTAAACTATTTAAGGATGTTGGGGAAACTAATTACACACATAACTGTCTCTCCTTTGCAATTAAGTAAAGTCTTTTTTATAAAAATATTTTAATATAAATTTTTTATACTTTGCTGTTTTAATTAGCATATGATTTTTTCCAACAGAAAGAAACTTCATATGGAAAGAAATCCTCAAAAGTACTAACTAAAGACTTAAAGGGCTGTTTTTTTAAACTTTACTTTCCTCCTTTTAGACTCCAGAAATAGTTTCCTCATAAAGCTGACTTCCTTTCTGGAAATGATTTTTGTTTCTAAATATGTTGAGAATCCACTCTTTTCATTTTTCTCTTTCTTTCTTTCTCTCTCTCTCTTTCACTCTCTCTCTCTCTTTTTCCCTCTCTCTCTCTGTCTCTCTCTCCACCCCCCTACTGCCTCTCTCTCTCTCTCTCCTTTTTCTTTCTTGGTAGTAGTTGAGAGGAAGGAGGGTAGGCGCAGGACAGAGAGGAGAGGGAAAACAGAAAAAGAATTGTGTGCCACTATGTCTGAATATATCTTCTACTTGTAGATAATTACATCCAAGTTGCCCTTTTGCCTTTTTATTTCCGTTTTTGGACACCTCTTTTTATCATCCAGCCAACTGGAATAGACAAAGCACCGCTGGTGCCCTGAGCGACAGAACTCTGGTAGGGGGCTGGCTGTAAATTGACGTGGCATGGAAATTCTCCGCTAAGTTGTAGCAGCTTGCATGTTTCTCTAAGATCAAGCCCAGCCTCCTGGAGCTGTAGCTTAATCATGGGTTCAATGACTTTACAGAAAAATGGATAGAAAAATTCTTCAACTCCTTTCTTTGGACCCAGATGGTTTTTTTTGGGTTTTTTTTTTTTTTTTGGTTTTTGCTTTTTTTTTTTTTTTTGGTTATCTATAGTTTAGCTGAAAACAAAATCAAAGCAGTTAAGTCTGTAACTTTCTTTTTGCAGCTTAAACAACAGAATTTGCTGCTCTCCCTCCCCTTTCCTGCAATTTAATTCCTTACAGATTTTGCCATGGGGTGCGGACTTAGAAAGCTAGAAGACCCTGATGATAGCAGCCCTGGAAAAATATTTTCTACCCTGAAGAGACCGCAAGTGGAAACAAAGACAGAATTTGCTTACGAATATGTATTGCTGGATTTTACTCTACAAGGTACTTTTTGCTTCTATTTTGTTTGTTAAATGTTTCAGAGATGAGACTACTAGTCATTTTTAAGTGTTGACTTAATAAATTTTTAAACTGTTCTTCATAATGAGATTGTATATTCAAACAATAATGCTTCGCTTCTTAATTATACTTTGTAAGATTTTTGTTTTGTTGATTGCTTCGTATTTTGGTAACATGGCTCATATGTACCTTCTAAAATTAGGGAAATTGCTTGGAAATACTTCTTTCATTTTTAAATCAAATACTTATTTATAGAAGGATTTATGAAAAATGCTTGATTTCCAGGACAAATAGCTATATAGCCTTAGTGACAGTTTGTATTTTGAAAAAGATTTGAAAATCACAATAAGGTATTATGTAGTAAATATTACTTGCATCATATCGTGGAAGAGTGTTTGCTAAGACAATTCTGAGGCTTCCAATTGTGTTAGACTCTGTGATTATGGTAGTCATTTGATATTTTTGACCAAACTAAACTATAAGTTTTGAAAATGTAGTTAAAAAAAAAAAAAAGATAGCCTTCTGTAAGACACTTCCTTTGCTCAGTGCCCTGTCCCTAACAGAGAAACTCTCTGTTCCAGAAAGTTGGAAACACAAATAAACAAGCCCAGATGGCAGCTCTGTGGAAGGAATCGAGGTGGCTCGATTTCACAAATACTTTGCCTCATTTCTTTTGGAAACTTTAGAGTACTGTACAACTGCACAGACAAAGCAGCTTTTTAAAAAAGCTATATCTTTAATTATGAAGTAGTAAAAATGAAATTTAGAGTGCTTTGCTTGCTGTTAAAGTTATCAGATATTAGTAAAATTCTTATTATAGTTATATTTTTAATTCTAATGAGCCACACATTTTATCAATTCACAAAAAGTTTATACTAAATTATCATGTTGAATATTATCTTAATTTTTTTCCAAATTTTTTGTTTACACACATTCTTTTCTTTTTTTTTTTTTTTTTTTTTTTTGCTTTGCTCTAGAAACAGTGCATCTTTGTGCAAGAAGCAAGAGCAGCCCATTTTTCTTTGTCAAAAATTAAGCTGGCCAGCAAACAAACTCCCTTCCAGGGACATACACAAAATCTGTACATAGACTTTTAACATGTTCATATCCTATTTTTGTTTAAAGCTAAGGCTACCAAAAGAAAAAAATTAATATTCTTAATTTCTTAATTTTCTTTTAAATTATGAATGTTAAAAATGGATTAAGATAATAGCAATTATCAGAGAAGTAACCAAACAACCGTTTGAATTTTTTCTATACTTTTTCAAAAACCTTCATTTGAGAAAATATTTGTAATGTGGTGCTATGTTCACACCATTGATTTTCCTCATCAATTTTTTTTTAGGACTCGTTTCTGTACATCCATAGGAGACAGACACATACTCTCCTTAACCTTGAAACACTGTGTATTCATGAATTTAGGTCAGAACCATTTTGATCTGTACTTTAGGATTCTCTGCACAACCCATTGTAGGATCATAGGGTTTAAAGTAACTTGAAAAGTTTTTCTGATTCATTTCCTTCCAACAATGTTAACATCTCAAACAAATTTGTATAAATGCAGTCATCCTTGAATCAGAAAGATCTGCAGCTTTATTCAAAAGTCACTTGGGTTTTGTTATTCTCAGAAGCCCTTCTCTCTGTGAAAGGAGTATAATTTCTACCTTCCACTCTAGGTGCTTAGAAGAGATAACAGAGTATTACACTGTAAAAGTTTAAGTATGGGCAGAGTGTGCAAATGTTAACACATAAAGCAGGCACATACTTTAAAGCTGCACCTGGATCCTATTTGGTACAGGCGCCTAGTCTCCTGGTGCCCCATTGCGCTCCAATTTTTCCCCATGTTTTTGTTTTAGTTTTTTCTTTGTTTCTGTCTTCCCCATTGCCTTTGCTTCAGAAGCCAGGACTCAGCATCAGCCCAACTCCGCAAACTACCTTCCAGGTCATAGTTTCCCTGCTGCTCTTCTGTTGTCTCTGACCTCCGGCTGCCACTCCAGTGTATATAGGAGTGGGTCATGGGTGGGTTAAAACATGCCAGCTTTCTGTTTGGCACCGGTAATTCTGTCCTGGGTTGCTGGGAGGAGGCTTGAATAGTGGCACCTCCTGCCTGTCAGAGGCCACCATGGAATGAGCAACCTTTCAGGAAATAAAATGGCCTGGTGACAGCTGTGTGTGCTCATGATGAGCCTGTCTCTTACATTATTTTCCTCTGTTTTTTCCAAATAGAGGCCATGGCACAGAAAGTAGATCCAATGGGGGCAGGAGGAGGAGACCCTCTGAAAATCCACAGTGCCCTGTCCTGCATTATGGTGGTTATAACTTTCTAGAACAACTTATTTATTTTCCATTCAATTATATATCACTTTCAAAGCTCCACCCAGAAAACAAAACAACTTACACCTCCCATTCTCTCCTTATCTCTCTGTCTCTGTCTCTCTCCCTCTCCCTTCCCCACACTTTTCTTTTTCTTTTTGGCCTTTGAATCATTATTTACATCTCTATAGGAGAAATCATAGCATAGACTTGAAGCATACAAAACTCTGGAGTCATAGTTTTGGGGTCCTGAATCTAGGCTGAAAACTGTGGCAAATTTGTAAATGTTGCTCTATCTCAGTTTCCTCATCTATAAAATGGGTATTCTCATGGTGCTGACGTCACAGAGTTGTTTTAAGGATCAAAGGACCTAATATAAGATGATCTACTTGGAAAGGTATCTGGCAGTTAGTAAGCACTTGATAAAGATTAACTGTTATGATCCTTCCTCTGAGAATACCCTCTGTCTCCACATTCCTCCTTTAAACCCAGCTCCTGCAGGATGCTTTTTGACCAACCTATTGAGGTCATTAAAATAATTCCTGCATTTCCCCTCTGATACATAATCATCAAGTATTGGTTACTTATATGTTCTCTTCAAAGGTTCATACACATTTTTCTTATTCTGGCCATAAAATTATTAGTTTGTGCAACTACAACTCGACAAATGTGTTTGGAGTAGCTCCTGATTGCGCTGCTATGCTGGGTATCTTAGGTACTATAAAAGAAATAAAACACATAGCCCCTTCTTTCAAGAAATTTAAAGTTTCATCTAGGTAGGCCGAATTTTTCTGGAACTTTATGCCAAGTCTACCAACTGCACTAATGAGGTTTTGGTAAAATGTTTATATTTTTCTGGATTATTGTATAGTAATGATTTCTTTCACTGTATTATGATAAAGTAACAATTCATTATTCCTGCTTATTAGTGAAAATTCAAAATAGTCTAGAGATTTCTTATAGTATATCCATTTATATGTGTTTATGAGAGCATATGATGTATGTATATGAGTATGTTACAGGGTTTCTTAACAAAAAGTTAAAATAACTCTACAAGTGATCCAAAAGGATTAATTTACCTCCTTGTATAATTCCAGGAAACAATCTGAATAATAGTAGCCTTAAGAATTTTTACAGCATTTATAGCTTTATGAGTAAAAAGAGGTTCTACAATACTAAAACCCAACAGAAAATTGGATGGTAGCTTCCTTATCTGAATTTCTGGTAGAATTACATAAAATGTGAGTGAAATTTTGCTAGCCTCTAGCTTGCTTCATTATTATTAGAACAAGAAATTCTATTTGTCTTTCATCATCACCATTAACAGGAATTGTACTCTGTAAAAAATGCTGATTAGCATTGGAAATATAAAAAAGAATAAGACAGTTTCTGCCCTCGGATATTTTGTATTCAACTCGGTCAAACTGGACAAGGTCATGAACTCATCAAGGTTAGGAATTATATCATCTCCATCTTTGTACACCCTGTGTCCAGCACGATGTTTGGAATATGAGTGATGGTCAATATTCTTTGTTGAATGAGTGAATGAACAAAAAATTACAATACAAGGTACATGTGGAGGAAATAGTGTGCTACAACAAGTATCAGAAAAAGGAGAAATCAATTTTGAGTAGGATCAGTTGGAACTAGAGTTAGGACTTTAACTGACCCTTGAAGAAAGTGGCTTAAACAGAAAAAGATTAAGAGATTGGAGTAAGTTCAAGGGCTGGTGAACAGAGCAGTGAGCTAAAGGAGGTTTTCTAGGGAGGAAGCAGGAAGTAAGATTCTAAACTGATGGGAAATGGGAAGGTTCTGGCTTAGCCAGGGAGTTAAGACCTAATTCTATGGAAGATAAATGGCAGTAAAGGCTTTTTGAACAAGTAGTTGATAGATGCAGAAGAGTGTTTTAAGAAGATTCATGTGGAATTGCAGTGAGAAGGGATGGAGGCAAGAAGTCAAGGCTAATGATGATGAGGACCTGTGGGTGAAGGGCAGTAACAGGGATAGGATACAAGGGGTAGATATGACAGATGTTACAAAGGAGGAACTTAGCCTGTGACTGGCTGGATTTGAAGGGACAGAAAGAATGAGGAATCCAGGATGACTTCCCAGTTTTGAGCCTGAGTGGCTATGGAAATAATGAGTCCTCTTACAGAAGGAGGGGCACTCCAAAGGGAGTCCGTCTGTGGTCAAAGAGCAATTTCATTGCAGTCATGTTGCATTTGAGGTGGCAGTGGAAGATCTTAGTAGAGGCAGTTTATAGATGCACAGCTGACTGTGAAAATTTCAAGAAGGAATTGAAATAGATTTTTTTTTTGAGACAGGGTCTCACTCTGTCACCCAGGCTGAAGTGCAGTGACTCAGTCACAGCTCACTGTAGACATGACTTCCCAAGCTCAAGCAATCCTCCTGCCTCAGCTGCTGGAGTAGCTGGGACTACACATGTGCCACCATGCCTGGCTTATTTTTTAATTTTTTGTAGAGATGGAGGTCTTGCTATGTTGCCCAGACTGGTCTTAAACACCAGTGTGGGTAAACTGTTAGAATCATTGAGGGAAAAAATTGTTTGGCATTATCTACTTAGCTAAAGATATACCCAACAGAAATGAGTGTACATGTGCATCATGAGGCACTACAAGAATGTTCATAGAAGTGTTGTTTGTAATAGCCCAAAGGTGTAAACAACCCGGAACTCCAAAAAACAAAAGAATGGAAAAATAAATTGTGGTATACTCACACAATACTGCAGAAATCAGCAAATACCCTTAAAGGGTTGGATGGTAAATATG
Organism: Homo sapiens; assembly: GCF_000001405.40. NCBI lineage: Eukaryota > Metazoa > Chordata > Mammalia > Primates > Hominidae > Homo > Homo sapiens. The sequence goes on along the minus strand of NC_000002.12, from coordinate 197,670,202 downwards.
AGGTCTCTGTCACAACTATTCAACTCTCCTGTTGTAGCGCTAAAGCAGCCATAGACAATATATAACAAAACAGACCACAGGCCACAGTTCGCCAACTCTTAGCACACTGCAGTGGAAACAGAGGAACTACAATTACACAAGATGAATTCCACAAGCATAATATTGAGTGAAGACAGACACACAAGTCCATGCTATATGCTTCCCTTTATATGCTCAAACGGAAGTATAGTGTTTAGGGCTGCATTCTGGGAAGTAAACTAAGAAGAAAGGCAAAAAAAAGTCATTATCATAAAAATCAGGGTATTACGGAGGGGACAGGAGCATTGTGATGGGAAAGGGTAAAGGCTTCTGAAGTGCTGGCTATTTTCTAATTTTTGAATGGATAGTGGTTACCCTAGTGCAGGGGTCCCCAGCCCCCAGGCTGCAGACTGGTACTGGTCTGTGGCCTGTCACGAACAGGGCCACACAGCCAGAGGTGAGCAGCAGGCCAGTGAGCATTACTGCCTAATTAGCAACGGCATTGGATTCTCATAGGTTCTCATAGGAGCATGTATTGTGAACTGCGCGTGCAAGGGATCTAGGTTGCAAACTTCTTATGAGAATCTAACTAATGCCTGATGATCTGAAGTGGAACAGTTTCATCTCAAACCGTCCACTCCCCACCCACATCTGTAGAAAAACCGCCTTCAATGAAACCAGTCCCTGGTGCCAAAAAGTTGGGGACCGCTGTCCTAGTGTTAGTAGTTTTAAGCATGTTTTGTGTCTTTTTCTTTTATATGTTACATTTCCACTCACCCCAACCCCAAAAAAATTTGAAAAAAAAAAAGGCTGAATAGGAAGTGAGTAGGGATAAGGCAAACATGGCTGAAAGACAAGATATACAAATACTCAGAAGAGAGAAAACTCTGTGGTCTGTCTGGAAACTGAAAATAAAACAGAATGGTAGGAATGTAGCATATTAAGAAGATAGCAGTGAAACATAAGACTTCAGGAGTTTGGTCATAATTTGGTCCTTCATATATCTGCCTATAACCATGAAATACATAGTTCAATAGAATTTTATTGTATTTTAAAACTGCAGTTAGGAAGAACCAAAACAGTGAGTAGATAATCACACATTGAGTAGATCATCCAAGAGAGCACACTGGAATTCCACAGAAAAGTGACAAGAAATATCTAAAACAAGGAAGGAGAAGGAAGTGAGGCAGCCTGTTCAGTTGGGATCAGCTGAGGCCTGAGAGAGACTCCCCAGTATGGGGAAAGGTTAAGTGAGAGACCCTCAGTACTTCACCTTCCCACTGTGGACCCCTGCAATTCTAACCATGGGAGAGTTCCTCAATCCTTGAGGGCCCTGAAACTAACAGAGGGAGCTGCCAAGAGATTGTGCCACAGGACTGTCCCAGGGAGGAAGGGCATACTGGGTCCCAAACACTTCCCGAGACTTAGGCAGCTACAGCAAGGCACCATTTTAGAGCCCCATCCCTAATAGACCAAGTACTGTCCTAGATCTAGTGATGCTAGGGCTGAGCCACAAGAGAAATGCAGACTGTTGCCCTATGACTGAGGCACAAGCGACTGCATGCAGGCTACTGCAGCCAGGCCTGAGGTACAACCCAGGTGCAGGCTACTGCCAGGTGCAGGTACATGCCTCTGGGCTGAGGCATCAATGACCACAGGCTACCACGCCCAGGGCTGAAGTGCTACCAAGGCATAGGCTATCACAGCAGAGGCCGAGGCACAAGCATCACATATGTTCCCCACCTGTCTAGGCTGCTACCACTAAAGGCAGCACCTCCCTCCCCAGTGGCAGGACAGCAGCATGGCCACTGCTGCCCCCAATCTGAACATTCCACTGCTGGCCTGGGGAACATCCCACTCCTGCCTACCATGACTGGTGCCTGCTCATGCTATCAGAGGACTGAGGACAGCCCCTCTAGCCTAGCTTCACTCCCCTCAACATGCCAGAGCACACAGCCCAGAGGTCAGGGGATGGTTCAGCTAAGTTCACCACCATTGCTACCTGAACACTCCTTCCAGAGACCTACCCACCTGGCTGCTACCACCATAGCTGGCACCTATCTGCATGCACCCACCTGCAGGCCTAGAGACTGGCCTACACAGCCCACCACAGACACTGCCAACACCAGGGTGCACTGCTTGCAACCCAAAGGTTGTCCCATCACTATCACTGAAATCACCCATGCCACACTGGCTCCCCAGGGGGCCAAGGACCCTCCTACCCACCCAGCCCACTGCTACCACTACTGGCAAAACTAAGTTACCTAGAAGTCCAAGAATTGGCCCACCTGGACCTGCTAACACCAGTGCCAACATGTGCCTCACTGGGTCCCAAAGACAGGCATGCTCAACCCACTGCTGCCACCACTGGGGCCCAAAGACTGGCCTACCTGGCATCCCAGTTCCCAAGAAAACCTCACCACAGCATCCACTAATAACCATACTGTAAGCCTCTATGGAAATCACAGCTACAACTGATGTTGTTTACAGCCAAATAAGTCATACAGAGACTACACTATTCCATGCACCCAGAATCAAAACCAAAGCATCCTACCCAACCGACACCATAGATACATCCTCAGGAAAAACCTTTTCCACAAAAGCAGTTCAAAAAATTGGAAGAAGTGGCTGTTACACCAGATGCATAGATATCAACATATGAATGCAGGACACATGAAAGTACAAGGAAATGTGACACCTCCAACTGCAATAATCCTCAGGCAACAGATCACAAACAAAAAGAAATTCATGAAATTCCAGAAAGAGAATTCAAATTATTAACTCTAAGGAAGCTCAGTGAAATACAAGAGAATTCTGAAAAATAATACAAATAAATCAGAAAAACAATTCAGGATATGAATGACAAATTTACCAGAGAGATAGATATAAAAATAAACCCAGCCAGGTGCCATGGCTCATGTCTGTAATCCCAACACTTTGGGAGGGTGAGGCAGGCAGATCACTTGAGGTCAGGAGTTTGAGACCAGCCTGGCCAACATGGTGAAACCTCGTCTCTGCTGGAAAAAATAGAATAAAATTAGCTGGACATGGTGGCACATGCCTGTAATCCCAGCTACTCAGGAGGCTGAGAAAGGAGAGTCACTTGAACCCAGGAAGCAGTGAGCCGAGTGCCACTGCACTCCAGCCTGTTAGCCTGGACAAGTGAGAACTTGTCTCAAAAAATAAAAATAAAAATGAACCAAACAGAAATTTTGGAACTGAAGAATTCATTGAATTAAATACAAAATACATTCAAGAGCTTCAACAATAGACTAGATCAAGCAGTAGAAAGAAACTCAGAACTTGAAGACAAGTCTTCTGAAATAACCCAGTCAGACAAAAGTAAAGAAAAAAAAGAATTTAAAAGGATGAACAAAGTTTTCATGACATATGGAACACCATGAAGTTACCAAATACTCGAATTATTGGAATCTCAGAAGGCAAAACAAGAATGAAAGGGTTAGAAGACCTATTTAATGAAATAATAGGTGAAAACTTCCCAAGATTTAGACATTCAGGTATGGGAGACTCTGAGATCCCCAAACACATACAATGCAAAAAGATCTTCTCCAGAGCACATTATACTCAAACTGTCTAATGTTAAATACAAAGAGAGAATTCTAAAAACAGCAAGAGAAAAGTATCTAGTCACCTATAAAAGAACCTCCATCAGAATAACAGCAGATTTCTCAGCAGAAACTTTACAGGCCAGGAGAGAATGGAATGACATGTTCAAAGTGCTCAAAGAAAAATACTGCCAGCCAAGGATACTACATCCAGCAAAATTAGCCTCATAAATGGAGAAATAGGGCTGGGCACAGTGGTCCATGCCTGTAATCCCAACACTTTGGGAGGCCAAGGCACTTAAGGTCAGGAGTTCAAGACCAGCCTGGCCAACATGGTGAAGCCCTGTTTCTACTAAAAATACAAAAATTAGCTAGGCATGGTGGCAAACACCTGTAGTCCCCACTACTCAGGAGGCTGAGGCAAGAGAAACGCTTGAAGCTGGGAGGCAGAGGTTGCAGTGAGCCAAGATCACACCACTGCACTCCAGCCTGGGTGACAAAGTGAGACTCCATCTCAAAAAAAAAAAAGAAGAAGAAACAAAGTCTTTCCCAGACAAGCAACAGCTGAGGGATTCACAACCACTAGTCCAGCCCTATGAGAAATGTTCAAGGGAGTTCTAAACCTGGAAAATGAAAGGACAACATTTACCATCATGAAAATACACAAAAGTATAAAACACATTGGCAAAGTAAACACATAAATGAGGAAGAGAAAGGACTCAAATAGCACCACTACAGAAAACCACCAAGCTACAATGATAAACAGGAAGAGCAAAACAAAGGAACAAAGAACATACAGAAAACAATTAACAATATGATAGGAACAAAAACTCACATATCAGTAATAACCTTGAATGTAAGTAGATTAAATTCTCCACTTAAAACATATATACTGGCTGAATGGACTTAAAAATATGATCCAATTACATGCTGCCTATAAGAAATGCACTTTACCTATACAGACACATACAGACTGAAAGTAAAGGGGTAGAAAATGATATTCCATGTAAATGGAAACCAGAAGTGAACAGGTATAGCTATACCTATATCAGCTAAAACAGTCAAAACAGTAAGTCGAAAACAGTAAAAAAAAAAAAAAAAGGCAAGGTACATAATGATAAAGGAATCAATCCAGCAAGAGGATATAACAATTCTAAACATATATGCGCCCAACACTGGAGCACCCAGATTCATAAAGCAAATATTGCTAGATCTAAAGAGAGAGATAGACTTCAATGTGAGATTAGTAGAATACTTCAACCCACTTTCAGCATTAGACAGATCATCCAGACAGTAAATAACAAAGAAACATTGGATTTATTTATTATAAACCAATAGATTTTAATTTTGAGCAGTTTTAGTTTTACATAAAAATTGAACAGAAAGTATAGAAGGTTCCCTCATATCTCTTCACTGCTCCCCCCACCACCATTTCCCTGATTAGTAACTTTTTAAAATAATGTCAATTTTTATTTTAGATTCAGGAGGTACATGTGCAGGTTTGTTACACGGGATATTGCGTGATGCTGAGGTTTGGGGTTCAACTGATCCAGTCACCCAGGTAGTGCGCATAGTGCCCAACAGTTAATTTTTCAATCTTTGCCCCACTCCCTCTCTCTAGTAGTCCCAGTGTCTATTGTTGCCATCTTTGTGTCCATGAGTACCCAATGAAAGACTGGATTTAAACCGGACGTTAGACCACATGAACCTAACAGACATTTACAGAACATTTATCCAACAACTTCAGAGTACACATTCTTATTAGCACATGGAACATTCTCTAGAATAAATCATATGTTAGGCCAGAAAATGAGTCTCAACAAAATTTTTTTTTGAGATAAGTTCTCGCTCTGTTGCCCAGTCTGGAGTGCAGTGGCACAATCATGGATCACTGCAACCTTGACCTCCCAGGCTCAAGTGATCCTCCCACCTCAGCCTCCCAAGTAGCCGGGACCACAACCATGTACCACCACACCCAGCTAAATTTTTTTTTTGTAATTTTTGTAATTTTGTAGAACTAGGGGTCTCACTCTGTTGCCCAGGCTGGTCTCAAACTCCTGGGACAAGCAATCCTGCCTCAGCCTCTAAATTGCTGAGAGTACAGGCATAAGCCACTGCACCTAGCCAACTTTTTTTTTTTTTTGAGATGGGGTCTCCCTTTGTCTTCCAGGCCGGAGTACAGTGGCACAATCATGAATCACTGCAGCATCAACTTCCTGGGCTCAAACAATCCTCCCACCTGAGCCTCCTGAGTAACTGGGACTACAGGCACACACCACCACATCTGGCTGATTTTTGAATTTTTTTTTGTAGAGACTGGGTTTTGCCATGTTGCCCAGGCTGGTCTTGAACTCCTGACCTCAAGCAATCTGCCCACCTCAGCCTCCCAAAGTGGTGGTATTACAGTCATGAGCCACCATACCCAGCCACAATTTTTTTTAAAAATGGAATCATATCAAATGTCTTCTCAGACCACAATGGAATAAAACTAGAAATCAATACCAAGAAGAACTTTGTAAACTATACAAATAAATAAAAATTAAACAGCATACTCCTGAATGACTATTGGGTTAATGAAGAAATTAAGAAGGAAATTTAAAAATGTCTTGATATTAATGAAGATGAAAATATAACATATCAAAAACTGTGGGATACAACAAAAGTGATACTAAGTAGTATATAGCAATAAATGCCTACATCAAAAAGTAGAAAGATTTCAAATAAACAGTCTAATAATGTACCTGAAAGAACTAGAAAAGCAAAACAAACCAAACCCAAAATTAGTAAAAGGAAAAAATAATAAAGAGTAGAACTAAACAAAATACAGACAAAAACAATACAAAGGATCAATAAAAAAAGCAGCTTCTTCAAAAAGATAAACAAAATTAATAAACTGCTAGCTAGACTAACCAAGAAAAGACCCAAATCGGAAATGAAAAAGGAGACATTACAACTGATAACCACAGAAATACAAAAGATCATTACAGACTACTATGAACAACTATACACTAACAAACCGTAAAACCTAGAGGAAATAGATAAATTCCTGCACACATACAACCTACCAAAATTGCATCAGGAAGAAACAGAAAATCTTAACAGATCAGTAATGAATAGCAAGATTAAATCAGTAATGAAAAGTCTCCCAACAAAGAAACTGGACAGATTCATTACCACAGAACTGGACAGATTCACTACCACATTCTACCAAACATACAAAGATGATCTAATACCAATCCTCCTCAAGCCATTTCAAAAACTTGAAGAAGAGAGAATTCTCCCTAATTCATTCTGTAAGGCCAACACAACAAAAAAAGAAAACTACAGGCCAATATCCCTGATGAATATAGATGCAAAAATGCTCAACAAAATACTAGCAAACCAAACTCAATAGCACATCAAAAAGATAATACACCATCATCAAATGGAATTTATACCAGTGATGCAAACATGGTTTAATTTATGCAAATCTATAAACATGACACATCACATCAACAGAATGAAGGACAAAAAACATATGATTATCTCAATAGATGCAGAAAAAAACATTTAATAAAATTCAACATCCCTTCTTGACAAAAACTCTCAACAAACTCGGCATAGAAGGAACATACTACAAAATAATCAAGGCCATATATGACAAACCCACAACTACAAGAAAACTACAAAACACTGAGGAAATAAATGGAAGGGGGCCAGGTGCAGTGGCTCATATCTGTAATCCCAGCAGTTTGGGAGGCCATGGGAGGATCACTTGACTCAAGGAGTTTGAGACCAGCCTGGGCAACATAGTGAGAACCCATCTCTAGAAAAATTTTAAATTTTTATAAAAAAATTTTTAAAGAACGAAATGGAAGAGGACACCAAACAAAAGAAAAGACATCTCATGCTCATGGATTGGAAGAATTAATACTGTTAAAATACTGCCCAAGGCAATCTACAGATTCCATTCAATCCCTATCAAAATACCAGTGTCATTTTCACAGAAATAGAAAAAAAAAATACCAAAATTTTTATGGAACCACAAAAGAGTCAGAATAGCCAAAAAATTTTAGGAAAAAAAGAACAAAGCTGGAAGCATCACACTACCTGACTTTCAAATATATTAGAAGGTTATAGTAGCCAAACAGCATGGTATTGGTATAGACCAATGGAACAGAATACAGAACCCAGAAATAAATTTGCATATTTACTGTCAACTGATTTTCAAAAAAAGTGTCAAGAGCATACACTGGGGAAAGGACACCCTCTTCAATAAATGGATATCCATATGCAGAAGAATGAAACCAGACCACTATCTATCTGTCACCATTACAAAAATCAACTCAAACTGGACTAAAGACTTAAACATAAGACCCAAAACTATAAAACTACTAGATAAAAATGTAAGAAAAACACTTCAGGACATTGGCCTAGGAAAGATTTTATGGCTAAGACCTCAAAAGCACAGGCACCTAAAATAAAAATAGACAAATAGGATTATACTAAACTGAAAAGCTTCACAGCAAAGGAAGCAATCAACAGAAAGAAAACTTACAGAATAAGAGAAAATATTTGCAAATTATTCATCCAACAAGGGACTAACATCCAGAATATACACAAGGAACTCAAACACGTCAACAATTTTTAAAAATCACGTTAAAAAGTGGGCAAATTACATGAATAGACAATTCTCAAGAGAAGACATACAAATGGCCAACAGGTATATGAAAGAATGCTGAATATCACTAATCACCAGGGAAATGCAAATGAAAAACCACACTGAGATGTTATCTCACCCCAGTTAGAATGGCTGTTACTACAAAGACAAAAAGAGATCCTGTGGAGATGAGGATGTAGAGAAAAGGGAACTCTTATACACCGTTGGTGGGAATGTAAATTAGTAAAACCACTATGGAAAAGAGTGTAGAGATTTCTCAAAAAACTAAAAATAGAACTACTAAATGATCCAGCAATTCCACTACTAGGTATCTATCCAAAGGAAAAGAAATCAGTATATCAAAGGGATACTTGCACTCACCTGTTTATCATAGCGCTATTCACAAAAGCAAAGGTATGGAGTCAACCTAAGTGTACACCAACAGAAGAATGGATAAAGAAGATGATACATATGTACATGGTGGAATACTATTCAGCCATAAAAAAGAATGAAATCCCAGCCTGGGCACCATTGTGAGACCTCATCTCTACAAAAATATATATGTATATATATATTTAAAAACTACCAAAACATGGTAGCATGCACCTGTAGTTCCGACTACTCTGGAAGCTGAGGTGGAAGGATCACTTGAGCCTAGAAGGCGGAGGTTGCTGTGAGCCTTGATTGTGCCACTGCACTCCAGCCTCGGCAACAGAGCTGGAGTCTTGTCTCAAAAAAAAAAAAAATTAAATTAAATTAAATCACGTCATTTGCAGCAACATGGATGGAGCTGGAGGACATTATGTTAAGTGAAATAATCCAGGCACAGAAATACAAATATGGCATGTTCTCACTCATATATGGGAGCTTAAAAAGTTGATCTCATACAGGTAGAGAGTTAAATGATGGTGACCAAAGGCTGGGAAGGATGAGTGGGTGTGAGCAGGGGATAAAGAAATGTAGATTATCAGGTACAAACATACAGTTAGATAAAAAAATATGTAATATTGTTCAACAGTGGAATAAAGTGACTCTAATTAACAACAATATACTGTATATTTTAAAATAGCAGTAAGAGAGGACTTGAAATTGTTCCTAACACATAGAAATAATAAATACTTGGCCGGGCGCAGTGGCTCACACCTGTAATCCCAGCATTTTGGGAGGCCAAGGCAGGCAGATCACTTCAGGCCAGGAGTTCAAGACCAGCCTGGTCAACATGGAGAAACCCTGTCTCTACTAAAAATACAAAAATTAGCCAGGCGTGGTGGTGGCGCACACCTGTAATCCCAGCTACTCGGGTGGCTGAGACACGAGAATCACTTGAACCTGGGAGGCACCACTGCATCTTGTTGCCTGGGTGACACAGTAAGACTGCCTCAAAAAAAAAAAGAAAAAGAAAAAAGAAATGATAAATACTCAAAGTAATGAATACCTCAGATACCCTGACTTCATTATTACACATTCTATGATTGTAACAAAATATCACATATACTTCATAAATATGTAAAATACTATGAATTAATTTTTAAAACTGCAGTTATATTACTTCAATTAATACATAAATGAGTGACTACAAGGATGGAAGCTTTCATGGAAAAACATAAACAATAATAATTTGATGTTATTTATATAGTAGTTTATATTTCTAAGTTATTGAAAACATTTTGATAAGTAACATAAATTAGATACTCCTTCTAATATCCATACATTAAATTGCTTAACAATTTATTATGGTTTAAAAGCTTTAACCCAGCTCATGTCGGAATTTTATTTTCACAAATTCTGAATTAATATGATCCAGATCAATGAAGTTTTCCTTCTCTGCAGGCACTAGAGCACACTGGCTCTGGACTCACTCTGTCTGGGTTCAATCACAGCCTCACCACTTACTAGCAGTTTGGGCCAGTTACCTAGTCCCTTTCTTTCTTCCTGAGTTTCCTCATCTGAAAATAATGATAATACTTACCTTATATGATTTTTGTAATGAGTAATTAAGAATTGGCACATAAAACACTTCACATATTGGCTCGCACAAAATATGCACTTGTTATGTTACTTATTTTTTACTATAATTGCTAGATAAAATATGGAGATTGACAGTCTATTCCCTTTTGAAAATGTGGACTTGCTAGTGTTTATACATAGCATTTTTTTTTTTGAGACAGAGTTTTTGCTCTTTTTGCCCAGGCTGGAGTGCAATGGCATGATCTCAGCTCACTGCAGCCTCTGCCTCCCTGGTTCAAGCAATTCTCCTGCCTCAGCCTCCAAAGTAGCTGGGATTACAGGCACACGCCACCACGCCAGGTTTATTTTGTATGTTTAGCAAAAACAGGGTTTTACCATGTTGGCCAGGATAGTCTTGATCTCCTGACCTGCAGTAATCCACCCGCCTCAGCCTCTCAAAGTGCTGGGATTACAGGCATGAGCCACCACACCCAGCCTGTACATTGTATTTTTATCTGAGGAAATAATATTTCTTTTTTTTTTTTTTTTTTTTTTATGAGATGGAGTCTTGCTCTGTTGCCAGGCTGGAGTGCAGCAGCACGGTCTCGGCTCACTGCAACCTTTGCCTCCTGGTGCCTCCCAAGTAGCTGGGCCTACAGGAGTGTACCACCATGCCGGGCTAATTTTTGTATTTTTAGTAGAGACGGGGTTTCACCATGTTGACCAGGATGGTCTCGATCTCCTGACCACCTGATCCACCTGCCTCAGCCTCCCAAAGTGTTGGGATTACAGGTGTGAGCCATCATGCCTGGCCCTAATATTTCATAAGTATTTCAAAAATACACACCAGTCATCAGAGGTAAATTGGTGGAAAGAACATATGTATGTCTTGGACTATTTTCATAGAGTTACATCATCAGAGCAAAACTTTTAGCATTGAACAAAGTCTTAGCTTTAATATATGACTTTATATTAAAGTCATAGTATATGACTTTTTCTATTTTTAAAAATTTGATCTTTGTCTATGAAGCTTTTAAGCAAAAGAGCATAAAGTCTTTGATGTTTATTTTAGAAACTATAAGAATAAATGAAAAATGTTACTTAACATTCAGCATGTTTTAATTTTAATAATAACATTCACTTTGCACAGTTTTCAAAGTAATTGCAAAATGCTTTCTTTCATGAGTTCCTCATGATAGCCTTGCAAGATATATAAAGCTCTTACAAATAATGTAGCATCAATTTAACAGTAACCAACCACACTCATTAAAGCTGTAAACAACCCCATTTGTTTCTTCCCCTAAAGAACTGAGAAAGAACTGCTGGTGGTTGGGGAGCTAAGAAGAGAAGAAGGATTGCAGCTACTGCTAACCACCTGTGCTGTTCAAATTCTAGCCAAACTACCATTACCTCTCCCTTAATTTCCTCTGTTTAAAAAGTAATAGGGGCCAGGCACAGAGGTTCATGCCTGTAATCCCAGAACTTTGGAAAGTCTAGGAACGAGGATAGCCTGAGTCCAGGAGTTCAAGACCAGCCTGGGCAACATGGAGAAACCCCACCTCTGCCAAAAAAAAAAAAAACAATAATACAAAATATTAGCATGGTGTCATGGCATGCGCCTGTGGTCCCAGCTACTCAGGAGGCTGAGGTGGGAGGATCACCTGAGCCCAGGAGGTCGAGACTGCGGTGAGTCAAGATGGCGCCATTGCAGTCCAACCTGGGCAGCAGACTATGTGCATGCTTAGGGGTCACACATCCCTCATAAGTAAGGTTTATGAAGACCAGGCATTGGAAGGAAGTCAAATCCAAGTCCTTAAAGGATACTCATTTTTTTTTTCTAAAAAAAAAAAAAATATTTTTTAAAAATAGTCTTAGACAAGGTAGCATGAGGGGGAAAAAAACATAATAGAGGCTCTGATATTACTGCCCCAGCATAAGAACATCAAATCAAAGACTTGGCCTCAAACACTGAGCCTATCGTGGAAACATAATTATTCACTCTGGTGAGCTCTGATGAAAATTCCTGACTCTATAGGCACAGCTCTCCCCTTCTTCACATCTCTAAACTGAAGAAGGTTTGAATACCTAGCAAGTTCCTAACAGCCCTCCAATCTCATTTCTGCATGGTTTTAAACATTATTAAGAACCAGGGGAATTACATGAAAGAAAGTTCTCAACAAAATTCCCACATTTATTGCTCCTCTTCTTGCTCCTGGGTTTACCTTCCTTGAATGATGATGGCATGTTTACAGTAACTCCCAGTGTTTACATTACAACTCCCAATGTTTACACTCCTTTTGTTTACATCAGGTCCCAATAATGAGGACAACTTTCTTATAGAGTGAACCTCAGTCCCCCATTACCATCACTCTCCCATCCCTACAAATGAGGAAAATTAGAAAAATGTTTAAATAACATAATGTTTAAAACCATGTGTAAATGAGATTGGAGGGCTGTTAGGAACTTGCTAGGTATTCAAACCTGCTTCAGTTTAGAGATGTGAAGAAGGGGAGAGCTGTGCCTATAGAGTGAGGAATTTTCATCAGCGCTCACCAGAGTGAATAATTATGTTTCCACAATAGGTTCAGTGTTTGAGGCCAAGTCTAGGAAAACTAGATCACTTTTTCTGTATCCTAGAAGGCTGAACACTGTCTCAAATGGTCTAGGCAAGCTCTGGTCTACAGAATCCCTGGGGTGACCCAGGGCAGAAGTTACAAACTAATGAGACTCAGGCTGTATTTAGCCTTCAGACAGGTCTCCTTTGGGATGGACAGTATTAAATATTTTAATTAATTGTCACTTTTTTTAAACTGGGAAATATTATATAAGAATTGGATTTAGGGGTTTTCTTAAAAATTAGAAGATGCTTGGCCAGGAATAGTAGCTCATGCCTGTAACCCCAGCCCTTTGGGAGGCCGAGGCAGGAAGATCACTTTAGGCCAGGAGTTCAGTACAAGCCTGGCCAAATAGCAAGACCCCATCTCTACCAAAAAAAATTTTTTTTTTTATTTTTTTAACTGAGAAGGTCCAGTGACCTGGGCCCACAATTCCACATGGCAGCACTGGGCCCAGGGATGGTGCACTCTTTGGATGAGGCTTTGAGTGTTCTCCAGGTCCTGCAGCCTCCTCCTGTGTAGCTCCTTTCTTTGTTTTATCAGCCTAGTACCTGTGAGGCATTTGAGTCAAGGACTCTATGTAGTAGATCAGTTTGAGCTAGAGACCACTGATCTTAGATCTAGGGACTCTTGATCTAAGTCTCAGTTAGAGACCCAAGATCTAGAGCATGAGTTCAAGATTTCTGCTCTAGAAAGTGAGTTAGAGACCTCTAATCCAGAGTTCTGTAGTTTGGGAACGAGGCCATATTTTTGGAATATATTCAAATCCCTACCATGATCTTCCCAGAGATTTTTTAAACCAACAATGACTTATCTTTAAGGGCAACTTCATTTGAAACTATCTTCTCAGAGCTGGACCATCAACAAATGGGCAAATCACCGATGTCTATTTGCGTGTTTACTTGCACCAGGCCCTGGGCTCATGTTTTACAGTTATTTTCACAATAACTCTATGAAGTTAATATTATTCTTTATTCTTGTTTCAGAAAGGAAAGGTAACTTGTTCTAGATCACATGCTTAGTAAATGGCATAATCAGGATTCAAACCCAGGTGAATTGCTTCCAGAGCCTAATGCTCTTAAAGAGAATAGTGTACTGCCTCTCTTTCTACATAAGAGGACCTCATTACAAAGCAACCAATGGTTGTAGAGCACTTACTGTGTGCCAGACACTCTCTAGGAACCAAGATTAATTTATTAATCCTCCTAACAACCATATAAGGAGGATTCTGATTATTCCCATTTTGCAGATGAGGAAACTACGGCACACAGAAGGGAAATACCTTACTAGGTGTGGCAGAGCTAGGATTTGGATCCCGGAAGTCTGGTGCTGGAGTCTATGGCCTAAACCACTGCTCCATGAGTACCCTGGAGCTCTGTTTGTGAAATATATTAATAGTACGCCCAAGTTTTCTTTCAGTGGGTCTTTTAATAAGTATTTTTAGGTACTTACCGTAATGTCATCTCTGTGCTGGGTGCTACAGTTTTATCAAAAGACATTGACCTCCAGATAGGAGAACATGCACATTTGAAACAGTTGAATATTAATGTAAAGCAGTGGGCCCAAAACAAATATGAGTTGTTTTGTTTTTTTTTGAGACGGAGTCTCACTCTGTTCCCAGGCTGGAGTGCAGTGGTGTGGTATCGGCTCACTTCAACCTCCACCTCCTAGGTTCAAGCGATTCTCCTGCCTCAGCCTTCTGAGTAGCTGGGACTACAGGCACACACCACCATGCCTGGCTAATTTTTGTATTTTTAGTAGAGACAGGGTTTCACCATGTTGGCCAGGATGGTCTCGATCTCTTGACCTCGTGATCTGCCTGCCTCGGCCTCCCAAAGTGCTGGGATTACAGGCGTGAGCCACCAAGCCTGGCCCCATGATCTTTACATAAGCTTATGTTCAAATATGTTTATTAGCACTGATGTACAACATTTGTTCTCCCTTTCTAACTTTTCTGGATTTCTCAGTTTGTAATTCCTCCTGAAACTTTTATGTGTGTGTGTGTGTTTCTTGCATTAACATTTCTACTATGGTAAGACTTAAGACAATATCCTTACTTTATTGAGAGTGCAAGAAGATGTGGATTAGACCAGAAAAGCAGAACTTATTCCAATGATGCAAAATTTTTCTGACATCACCAGAAACGAGGTATTTCTTGGGAACACATTCTGCACCTAAACAGGAACCTCTTTAAGCATCAATTTTATTCTATTATAGCTATCTTCTTTGTGATTATTTTAACATGTTGTATAATTCTGCTTTTAAAAACTGTTCTGAAACAACAGAATGAAAGGGGGATGACTTCATTATTGTTATTGGTTTAAACTAATGACATATGTAAAGCCCTTTAAGTGGCCCCAGACTAATGTTTGTATAGTTTTTTGTTTTTTTGTTGGTTTGCTTGTTTGTTTGTTTGTTTTTTGAGACAGAGTCTTGCTCTGTGGCCAGGCTGGAGTGCAGTTGCCCCATCTTGGCTCACTGCAACCTCCGTCTCCTGAGTTCAAGCAATTCTCATATCTCAGCCTCCAGAGTAAGTGGGATTACAGGCATGCACCACCACTCCAGGCTAATTTTATATTTTTAGTAGAGTTGACGTTTCACCATGCTGGCCAGGCTGGTCTCTAACTCCTGACCTCAAGTGATCCTCCCACCGCGGCCTCCCAAAGTGCTGGGATTACAGGCATGAGCCACCATGCCCAGCCTATATTTGTATAGTTATTTTATCCAGTTTTGTAATTCATTTTATTCCCTCTGGTGTCATCTGTCTCTTTTGCTATTATCATTGTGTCCTTGCTACTTCTAACCCAGTGGGTCTCCAAGCTTCCACCAAAAGGCACTGGACATGAGATGCTCTTCGGCTGTATATACAGACACAGAATTAAACATTGGATCACTTAAACAGAAGAGTATGCCCTTTTCCATCTTATTTAAGCCTTCCCATCAGTTTGGAGTTAATATGTCTTTAACACCCCTCTAATGGCTAATTTTTCTCCTTTTTTGTTTTTGATTTTTTTGTTTGTTTTAAGACAGAGGCTCACTTTATTGTCCAGGCTGGAGTGCAGTGGTGCTATCATGGCTTACTCAAGAAGTTGCAGCCTCAAACTCCTGGGCTTAAGCGATCCTCCCACCTCAGCCCCCAAGTAGCTGGGACTTACAGGCATGTGCAATCACGCTCAGCTAATATTTAAATTTTCTGTAGAGACAGTGTCTCATTATAGCCCAGGTTCGTCTCAAACTCCTGGCCTCAAGTGATCCGCCCACCTCAGCCTCCCAAAGTGATGGAATTGCAGACATGAGCCACCATGCCCAGCCTAATTTTCCTTGGCCAGGCCTGTGGCTCAGTCTTTGGCAAATAACATTATCTAGCTAGAATGTAATAAGTTTTCTTTTCATTGTATTTATTTGTATGACAGCTTTCTACTTAAGATAAATGATCCTGGTTTTATGTTATATGAGTGATATAAATTCTTTTTGAAATAAATTTATTTTGCTTAAAAATTAAAATTAGAAGAAAATTTTAAGGATATGACCAAAATTGTGAAAGTGTACTTAGACAACTAAAGTTTGGGAAACACCACCCCAGTTCAATGAGCAGTTGGTTGAGAGAGTTGTTAAGGGGAGGTGGCTCCATGCCTTTCTTATGGAAAAAGTGGATGGACTTTTTCAGAACTTTTTTTTGGTAAATTGAGGTTATTTCTACTGTTCTGTTATTGCAAAAGTAATTGCTTTGCCATTGAAAGCAATGGCAAACACCATAATTATTTTTGCACCAACCCAATAGATTTTTGAAGTTGCTGGCAGTCTGCTTTCTAGTAAAGTTGAACAAAAATCTCTTTCACCTCTATTGTTTTAGCCTTTTTTTTTTTTTAACTAACCAGATAGATATTTTTTAATGAGCATGTCAGAGTCTCACTCTGCCCTGCCACATGCAGTTTGGGGGAGTATTCCCATGGGTAACTGAGTCTTCCATTGCTTAGTCAGTGTTCTACCTGCCAGCCTCTTCTGTGTGACAGCCCTTCAGATATATCCAGATGGTGCCCTGTTCCTCACATATTATTTTGCACAGTTGAAAGACACCCGTCAGGTCTCCAGACCCCTCATTATCCTGAGCACTTTCTTTTGAATGTACTCCAGCTTGTTACTGAATGTCTCTAATTTCACCCCTAAATTGAAAACAGTTTACTTATCCATTCAACAGATATTAATTGAACATCTGTCTGCTAGGCAATACTCTAAGTATAGAGATACGGCACTGAACAAAGCATGAATATCCCTGCCCTCACAGAGCTTTCATCCTGCCCTTGTGGGGGAGGCAGATATTAATAATATAATTAGGTAAATAGTATATTCTGGTTATTATTATTTGGATAGTTATTAATGCTAAAGCAAGGAATATACTAATGAGATGGTCTGCTCAATAAAGAACTTAGTGAGCCTCCTGCCTTTGGAGGTAATTTTTTTCCAGATAGCCAACGATCACATTAGATTAACTCTTGGCTTATAATTAGTTTGCAGTCAGCTACAGACCACAGGATTTCCCCTGCCCCCTTCAGTGAAAATATATTAAATCAGAATTCTGTCACTCTGTGTTTTGAACTTAGACTTTATCCCTGTTAGATTTTTTTGTTTGGGAGACCTTTGTACCACCAAACAAAGAGCTCTTCAAATCTTCATTCTCTTAGCTAATATATACACCATCCCTTCTTTGCTATATAATTAACTCTAAGACACCATTGATTATAAAACACACTATTATTTTATGTACCATTAAGAAAGAAAAATGCACCAATTAAACTATAACTATTTTCTTTCAGTAATTTTAGTTTTTACCCATGGCAAAAGCTCTTTTAGACATTTTAAACATAAGTATTTCATTATATATCTCTCTTACATACATAAGAAAAGGAAATTAAGTGAAATGAAGATATTTCTAAAAGTTCCTCACACTTAAGACCTGACTCTTCTGAATCACTTTTAGAACTTAGAGCCCTCATTTCCCCATTTTTCCACGTAATCTTCCTATGAGCGGTCAAGAGTATTGGTAATGCTGCATTTCTTAAGCAAGTGCTAGGGTTTTCTTTCAAGTAGCTGACACCCATTCTGCTAAGTTTGAGACTGGGGCTTTCCTCATATTGCCAGAGGCTACCAATGGAAAGTTTTCAAGCAGCCACCAGGACTCATATTCTTTTCTTAAGTGATCCTTGAACAGTTTGTTGACTGAAACTTCAAGCACTCTGGGTTGTCCAGCCATGCCACATGGAAAAACAATCAACTTTGCACAGGTATTGACAAGCACATCATAATTACCACCCGGCCTACAGTATTGAAAGATACCAAGAGGATTTCCAAGACCTATTATTGGGTTCAATTTTATAATTTATAAAGACACACCTTCACAAAAATGAAATGCTCACCTCTACTTATATTTGTAATCAACCACAATCTATGGACTTTTGTGTTTCACTTTAGTCATGTAAATATTATTTTTTAAATAAGCCTTAAAATTCCTTACACCATCATTGCTTTTTAGGTTTTCATTTTGCAACCTACGTTGCTGGATAATCAAGTAAAACTGCCAGGAAAGTATCAAAGTTCTTTATTTTTCTTGCATCATTTTTGAGGAAGAAAGTATATGCCTTTTTAACCAAAAAATAGATGCCATTGTACTTTTTAAAAATTGTTGACTTAAACATAAGAAATAAACCTATAAAACTCCTAGAAGAAAACAGAAGAAAAGCTTCATGACACTGTACTTGGCAATGATTTTTCTTTTTTTTTGTTGTTTTTGTTTTTGTTTTTTTGAGATGGAGTTTCACTCTTATCACCCAGGCTGGAATGCAGTGACACGATAGCTCACTTCAACCTCCGCCTTCCGGGTTCAAGCGATTCTCCTGCCTCAGCCTCCCAAGTAGCTGGGATTACAGGCATCTGCCACCATGCCTGGCTAATTTTTGTATTTTTAGTAGAGAAAGAGTTTCACCATGTTGGCCAGGCTGGTCTCAAACTCCTGATCTCAGGTGATCCACCCGCTCTGGCCATTGAAATTGCTGGGATTACGGGCGTGAGCCACTGCGCCTGGCCTGACAATGATTTCTTGGATATGACACCAAAGCACAGGCAAAAAAAGTAAAAATAGATAAATGGGACTATATCAAACTTAAAAGCTTTGGTGCATCAAAGGACAGTCAACAGAGTGAAAAGTCAATATGTGGAATGGGAGAAAATAATTTCAAATCATATACCTGATAAAGGGTTAATATCCAGAATATATAAATAACTCCTACAACTCAACAACAAAGAAACAACCCAATTTTTAAATGAGCAAAGGGTTTGAACAGACAGTTCTCCAAATGGCCAATAAGATGTGAAAAGATTCTCAATATCACTAATAATTAGGGGAATACAAATCAAAACCACAATAAGTTATCACCTTATACCTGTTAGAATAGCTACTATCAAAGAAACAAGTGTTAGTGAGGATGCAGACAATTAGAACACTTGTGTACTGTTGGTGGGAATGTAAAATAGTTCAGCCATCATAGAAAACAATATGGAGTTTCCTCAAAAACTTATAAATAGAATTACCATATGATCCAGCAATCCCACTTCTGGGCATGTATTTAAAATAATCAAAAGCAGGATCTCAAAGATATATTTACACACCCATATTAATAGCAACATTATTCACAATAGTCAAGAGGTGGAAACAACCCACATGTTCATAGACAGATGGATAAACAAAATGTGGTATATATATTCAATGGAATATTATTCAATCTTAAAAAGGAAGGAAATCTTGTAACATGCTACAGCGTGGATGAACCTTGAGGACATTACACTAAGTGAAATAAGCCAGTCACAAAAAGGCCTACAGTGTTGTAAAGATACGAGGAAGATTCCCAAGCCAAGGCACATCCCTTATTCTTAGATTGAATTTTACAATTTTCAAAGGACACACTTTCACAAAAATGAAGTGCTCACCTCTATTCATATTTTTAAAGTTATCAACCACAATCTATGGACTTTTGTGTCCATATGATTTTGTGTCAATATGATTCCTCTTATATGAGGTATCTAATGTAGTCAAATTCATAGCAAAAGAAAGTGGAATGATGGTTACCAGGGTCTGACAGGAAGTAATGGGGAGTTGTTTAATGGGTATAGGGTTTTATTTTTTCAAGCTGAAAAAGTTCTGGAGATTTGTTTCACAATAATGCGTGTATACTTAACACTACTGAACTGTACACTAAAAAATGGTTAAAATGGCAAATTTTTGTTTTTCCTACAATTTTTATACATTTTAATATATATTATATATCTTTTTATTGTAGTAAAACATACATGACATGAAATTTACCATTTTAGCTATTAGTAAGTGTACAGTTCAGTGACATTAAGTACATTCATATTGTTGTGCAGCCATTACTACAATCCAACTCCAAATGACATTTAATTGGGTAGTGAAGGGGGTATTATGGAGCTAAAATAAAATTAATTACTAACTGCTGAGTATCTGGTAAAAATACAGAACCATTGAAATACTTTCAAATAATCTATATGTAGTAGCAACTTAAGTGCCTCTTTGAACTTCGTAGGTGCCTTTTTTGTGTGGGCTTCTGCCGTTCTTCACTATCTGGGATGACAGTAAGATTGCAAAGAACAGAGTGTTGAGCTGCCTAAATTTCCCTGAAGTCTAACCCAAAGCTCTGGGAGGGTGGACTTTTCTCAACCCTGAGTTCTTGATTTCTGGGGTTTCCTTCCAATCAGTGGTGCTAAGGTAGACGAGGTAGGCAACATGAGGCAACATGTGCCCTGACAGTGACTCCAACCAAGTCAGCAAGAGCAGCAAGGCCAGCAGTATCCAGAAGTACTCCCAAGCCCACAAGCTCATGTGAACTTTTCTGAATAAAAGCCACATTCTTCCCCTTCATTAAATCATTATTTGTGGTACAATCTTCTCCCAGATTTCTTTCTGGATTTCATTCAAAGATGGAGCTAATTAAATCCCATTAGCTCCACCTCTAAGTATTTTTTCTTCATTTGCAACATGGCTTTTTCTCATTGTAATATCATTAAAATGAGGAACATGTGGTGAAGCCTTATGCTAGAGACTCCTGAAGTAAATATGACCTTTACCTCTATTTATTTGGATTCTCAGTATGTTCTTAACCATCCCCACTTCCATGATCAAAAGAATTTTTACAAATTCCACGTCACTGCCTATGTTTTTCTCTGTTTTGTCTCTCTTCTCCAAGGCCTAGATAGTGTGAACAATTGTTCCTGAAATTGCTAACCTAACTTTTTTTATTTCCACTAGCTAATCTTGATTGCTTGCCTTTTTTATGCAATAACTTCATTTCTTAATTCCCCTTATGAGCAGTATTTCCAATTTAACATAGTGACCTAAGGAACATGCTAGACATAGAAAGACATGAATACAGTAGGTTCCTTTCCCTTAAGGAATTCTCAGTCTAACAGCCAAGACATATAAACAAATAACTATAATACAATCTGATAAGCACACTAATAGAAGGACATGCAGCCCAGAGGAAGGAATAATTAACTCAGGCTGGGAGAACAGGGAAGGAAATGAAGGCCTGGTGGCATGAAACAGAGTGGCAGGTTCAGAAACACCAAGTCCTTCCAGCATCCCAAAGCAAGACACGTAAGAGAAAGACTAACACGCGTGGAGGCTGAATCAAGAGGCAGAGGCCAGACTATGAAGATTCTTTTGTATTACACTAAGACATTTCCACTTCCTGCAGTAAACAATTTTCTTTAAATTTTTTTAAGATTAGTATATAGTTCTAAAAATAAGTTTAGGTTATGTTTCATTCCTTAGTGTTAAGAGTTGCTTCCATTTTGTTATAGTTTTTCAGTTCCTTTGTTTAGAAATCAGAGTTGGTAGTCAAAATACTAAAGAGCAAAACCAAATGAATCACAGAATTGCCACACCAACAAGCAGAGCTGGGCTGTTTACAAGGAAGCCCAGCTGTTTCTTCAAAGTCCAAGATCATTCTCTTTGTTTTCATTCCTATTCATAATGATGAAGAAGATATATTGTAAATAAAATATTAATTTAAATCCAAAAGAGGGTGAAAATTGGAGGAAGTGGACCCTTCCTGGTTTATATAACTTTTCTGTTGAGCGCTTATTTTAGTTTTTGAAGTTGGCGTGAATACCCACTGATGGTGGATTTGTCTCATCATGTGGATACTGATGTAAGGGGAGGAGGGGATTTCCTCTGGCCCTTCCTCCTCATCTGCTTCTTAACCTCCTTCCTGTGCTCAGGCAATCAGCCGCAGTTCTTTGCCAGACACCACTCACCACACTGACAGAGGTCAACAGCCAACTAGGCTCATATCTGGAATTAATTTCATATGTCTTGTTACTTAAGAGATAATCAAAATGCAGGTCTATTTCTAGGTATTACTTCTTGATTGTTTTTCATACAATGAGAAATATTGTTGTAGCAAATAAAGTTGTTATTTAAATTAATACTGCTGGATCATTAAGAACATTTTCTCAAATAACACACTCTTTTCCTTTTACTACTCTAAAGTCTGTACAGATAGTGCTATTCTATAGTTTCTACAGATTTGCTATCCTTCAAGGAATGGTTTAATTGCAAATCAATTTTGCATTTAAATTTCCACTACGTTTAGAATTTTTATTTATTAAAGAGACTACTGGATATCTGTACTTTTTCATTCACCTTTACTCAAGCATTTACATAAGCACCATGAGAAATTATATGTTTAGCTTCCCAGATAAACTTAAAACACAGTGCTTTGAAAGAGTAATTAGAAATAAGAAAGCCTTGACAAGTGCTGCCTAATAAATGCCATTTCTCCCATTTTTAGTTATTAGATTGGTATGAATTTTATTTTTAAGAAATTATGCATCTCGGCTGGGAGCGCTGGCTCACACCTATAATCCCAACACTTTGGGAAGCCAAGGCAGCAGGCTTGCTTGAGCTCAGGAGTTTGAGATCAGCCTGGGCAACATGGCAAAACCTCGCCTCTACAAAAAATACAAAACTCAGCCGGGTGTGGTGGCATGCACCTATAGTCCCAGCTACGTGGAAGGATTGTGTGAGCCCGGGAGGTGGGGGCTACAGAGAGCCACGATTGTGCCACTGCACTCCAGCCTGGGGGACAGAGTGAGACCCTCTCTCAAAAAAGAAAAAAAGAAAAGAAAAGAAATTATGCATCTCATCTTGTTTAGTCATAAAAATGACTGGCTCTTCAAATTATTGTATCTCCTATGTATGTCTTCAATATCTATTAATGGAAATATAGTCACTCAAATGAAATCCTAAAAAATGAAACTGACCTAATTGAAAAAACTCATAAGACATTGTATTTCTGCTTTAGACATATGGGTGATATTATGTATCTACTAATTTGTAAGGTCACTTTTCCTTTTTTCTGAAATGACTTTAAAAATGTATAAATACATGTTAATGTAACTTTATCTGAGATTAAGCCATTGGAGTTTTTTTTTTTTTTTTTTTTTTTGTAGAGACAATGTCCTACTATGTTCCTGTTATGTTGCCCAGGCTGGTCTCAAACTCCTGGGCTCAAACAATCCCCCTGCCTCAGCCTTCCAAAGTGCTGGGATTACACGCATGTGCCATTGCACCCGGCCAAGATCTTTTCCTATTCATTAGTATTATCACCCATAGGTAGAAATAATGTATAATTCAATCTTAAGAATATGCAAATTTCTCTTTGCTTTTGATATTTCAGCTTCATCAAACCCAGAAGTCATCAAGATAAATTCAATTCTGGATATAGTAACAAAAGTGGAAAACTATTATCTTAAAGGATATATTGTCGGGGCTATTCATCCTGTTATACAACCTGTGGGGCAGCGAAAACACCTACCTGCAAGTTACCTATACAGAGTGGTGCTATTGCGCTTGAAATTAAGGTAAGCACACTATTCAAGAAAGAGGCAGGTGAGGGTGACAGTTCTCTTTGTCTAAAAGAAAAAAAAATTTGAATCAAGTGGCAGAGAATAAAGGACACATGGGGGTTTTAGTTTAAAGCACATTTTCCAGCAGTGGAACCTGGATTGAAGCAAGGAAATGTTACACCTCCTTCCTTAAAACTCCTGATTGATTTTTGCTTCTTGCAGACAAATGTGTCCTAAGTGAGGATGTCAGTGAACAAAGGGAAAGCAAAATAGATTCCAGAGGCACCTAGAAGCTCCTGTAGCCACTTCAGCAGATGCAGGAGAAGCAGTGAGCTACAGATACTATCACTAGGCTAAAGAGCTGACCAGACCTACCAAGTCCACTTTCACTGAGCTTTCTGACTGTCCTACATTGTTTTATTAATAGTGGCAACAGAAACTATCTCTACATTCTAAAACTTTTTTTTTTTCAAGACAGAGTTTTGCTCTGGTTGCCCAAGCTGGAGTGCAATGGCACCAACTCAGCTCACTGTAACCTCTGCCTCCCGGGTTCAAGCGATTCTTCTGCCTCAGCCTCCCAAGTAGCTGGGATTACAGGCTCCTGCCACCACAGCCAGCTAATTTTTTGTATTTTTAGTACAGATGGGGTTTCACCATGTTGACCAGGCTGGTCTCGAACTCCTGACCGCAGGTGATCCACCCACCTTGGCCTCCCAAAGTACTGGGGTTACAGGCATGAGCCACTGCACCCAGCCCATTCTAAAACTTTTAACGACAGAAAGACCTACTATGACAAGTTCTAACAAATTAGATAGACCTCTTGTTAACCTTTTTCCAAAATCTAATTTAAAAGCTAACCATTGTAGTGTTTTTTATTTTAATAGCTACTTTTCCAAACAATACTGCAACCATTTTTGCCAGCCTAGATTGTAAATTTGATAGTTTTCATGGTAAAATACTGTTGTTCTTTCCAATTAAGAATAAAAATAACCAGACAAATATCTTAGATTAACACATTAAATTTTTTTACACAACCCTTTAATTAATATGTTGCTTAATGACAGGGATGCATTCTAAGAAGTGTGTCCTTAGGCTGCTTTGTCATTGTGTGAACATCATAGAGTGTACTTACACAAACCTAGATGGTATAGCCTACTATACACCTAGGCTATATGGTATAGCCCATTGCTCTGAGACTCCAAACCTGTACAGTCTGTTACCGACTGAATACTGTAGGCAATGGTATCACAATAATAAGTATTTGTGTAGCTAAACATACCTAAAGATGGAAAAGGTACAGTAAAAATACGTTACTCTATAATCTTACGGGACCACCGCTGTATATGCAGTCCATTGTTGACAGAAACATCATTATGCAGTGCATGACTGTATATCAAAACCATCCTAAAGACCAGGGAAAAAACTGCATTTTCTCTTTACAGTGATGGATCAACAACAATCACTTTAAGAGAGGGCTAAGCAGAGAAGGAAAAATGAAAGTAGAGGAAAACTAAGAAAATAGGAAAATTTCAAAAAACAAGAAAGAGACTTAAAAAAATTCCAGGTGTGATTTTAAGAAACACTATCTCCCATGGAGTAATTGCCTACTTTAACATGTCTGGCAGGGTGTGTACAGGCTTCAGCTTTCACTAGAATATGAAGCCTCATCAGATATTTACTAGTTTAAGCATTACTAAGCAAACATGACATTTTTGCATAGTAGGATTGCTTATGTCCTAATTACAAATCTTATCAACCATGTGTGAATTATCTTTTCTGCTTTTAGGATTACTTCAGACAGATTTAGCAGTACCCTGGCAAGCCGAAGAATAAGCAAAGAAAAAAGATCAGAAAAGAAGAAAAAGGGAAAAGGGCAATATTTATTTGCATTTAAATGGAATTTTTACTTCTGCTTTTGTTCGATAAGATATAACAACAATCTAAAATTATTTCTTATAAGTTTATTAAAACTACAGACATGAAGCTTTTCTTTCTTTCTAACTGACAAATTAAATTAATAGCAGTTTAAATTAAGGAAATTTGAATTAATAGAAGTTATTGTGCTTTTCTGGTATTTTTATATAAGAAGATAGCCATCAGGTTTGAAATAATAAAAAATGATTACCTTGACCCTGTTTGTGAGTTGCTCACTCATTTTCACATGAGCATATTAGCTGAAAAGCAGCAATTGGCCTCCAACCATAAACATATTCCCTCTGTTACAGCCCAAAGAATTCGGCAGCACCCAGTGGACAAAGACGCCCAAGGCTCGTGATTGAGGAATGTCCCCTAACTTCTGAGGCACAAACAAATGACGCAGCAAAAGAACTGATAGAAAAGGTACTAAATTTATGCACTTTTTCATGGGATATTGACAAACATTTGGTATTTCATCTTCATCAATTCCCTTTTTTACCCTAAAAAGAATAAGGAAATGACAGGTAACTTTTCTACCAGAATTTAAAACATATCGAAGTACTTGTGCCAAATGGTAAAGCGTTTAAAACAGAAATACAAGCCAGTGAAACAAAATGGACAACCAGAACTAAATTTAAACAAATATAAGAAGTTTAATGACAAACCTGATGAAATAAAATGGAGGAACAACCATTATTTAATGAATGCTGTTGGGAAAGTAGGCAATTGTTCTGCAGAGAATAAATTCCACATTTCAGATGAGATAAAGAGGTAATTTTTTAATATAAAAAAACAAAAGAAAATGGAAGAGTAAATATAGTCAATGAATAGATTAAGGAGTTTGAGTATATAAATATAACTTAACTGTACTAGGAAAACTAAGCTTAAAAAAGAAGAATCAAAGAGAAATCTGCAACAGACATGTCCTATAGGAGGTTCGTTTTCAAAATATACATTACAGGAAAGGAATACAAATTCATGAAAGTAATATGCCGTCTTAAATGGACAGAGAGAGACAATGGACAGCAAATATAAAAGAAAGAAACGTCAATAATTAGGAGACAGTTGGTAACAGGTTCAACCTAATAATGTTTAATGTAAATAAAAACTGAGAACTAATACCTCACCAGTATTAAACCAGGAAATTTAATTAAAATCCAGTATTAGCAAAGCTTTAAGACAAGTTAAGGCCAGGTGTGGTGGCTCACACCTGTAATCCCAACACTTTTGGAGGCCGAGGCAGGAGGATCACTTGAGGCCAGGAGTTCCAAGACCAGCCTAAGCAACATAGCAAGACCCCCAACTCTACAAAACCTGAAAGAAAAAAAAATCAGCAGGACGTGGTGGCACATGCCTGTAGTACCATGTACTCAGGAGGGTAAGACAGGAGGATCACCTGAGCCTAGAAGTGAGCCTGCAGTGAGCTGTGATCAAGCCACTACACTCCAGCCTGGGTGACAGAGCAAGACTCTATCTCTAATAATAATAACAATAATAAAAACAAAGAAAAGCTAACATTCATAATACAACTGGCATTGTAATTAATGCAGTATTCCTGAATATCTATTTAGTAAGAAGAATCATAAATCCCATTTTGTCTTTTTTTGTTGTTGTTGTTAAAGAAAATAGGCTGGAGTATAGTGGCACAATCATAGCTCGCTGCAGTCTCGAACTCTTGAACTCAAGCAATTCTCCTGCCTTAGCCACCCTGGTAGCTGGGATTGTAGGCATGGGACACCACGCCCAGCCAATTTTTTTATTTTGTAAAGACAGGAGTCTGTATTGCCCAGGCTAGTCTTAAATTCCTGGGCTCAATCGATCCTACTGCCATGGCCTCCCAAAGTGCTGGGATCACAGGTGTGAGCCACCATGCCTGGCCATAAATCCCATTTTATTTTTTAATCCCCTCCTTAGGAATTGATTTTAAGAAAATAATTGAAAAGGGGAAGAAATAATTTTTATACAAAGATATTTAACCAACAGTGAATAAGGGTCCAAATTCTCAATAACTGGAAGACTTTGAAAAAGACAATGATGGATTAATATAATAGAATATTTTATAGGCATTAAACATGACAACTATATTGACTGTCAAGAGAGAAAAGTCTATACAATATAACTTAATTGAAACTTAAATGAAAAGTTAAATGTTGTATATGTATTGATTAAAACAAAAAAGTTGTACATTCATAAATATTCTAAATTGATGGGATTTTATGGTGAAAGGTGTTTCTTTTCCACTGCATTGACATATTTATAAGGTTTTACTTTTTATTTAAATACATACAGCTAAAATCTAAAGCATTTCCTTTCAGGTAAGAAACTGAAATGTGTTCACTTGTTTCTCTAGTTGTTTCCAAGCGTTAAATACTATGTATGTAAGATTATCTGTGGTTTGGGGATAGTCAGTTATAGTTGCTAATGATTATTTCCCATTTAGGCACAAAGTCACTATTCAATAAGGGTTTTTAGTCTTTGAGACTAAATTTTATAAACAAACTACGCATATTGTTTATTAGCACTATTCTGGGAAATTTTTTTTCTGGTAATAAATCCACTCCAGCAAATTTCATTTGAAAACAAAAATGTAGCTACTAATTTAGTCTTAATAGATTACCGTCAGAGCCCTTGTTTTGCATTTGACTTCCTGGACACAGTTAAAGATCTATTTAAACAGGAAAGTACTGTTATTTCAGCAATTAGAGCAACAGGGTTATTTCATTAAGAGAAAAGCTTCAGGAAACATAGCACATGAAATATTTGAGCATTGCTCCGGGTATGAACAAGAGCCATAGATGAATTGCCAAATATTATTTTTGAGCGGCTGCCTTGTGTAAAGAGTTGGTTGTTGAACAGCTAACTTTTAAGTCAAGTTCTAACATTATACCAGTGTTCACTCTAATTTTAAAATTCAGTTTGTAAGTATTTTTCTCAGAATTTTAAACTAAAAATAACATTTTAAAAATATCAATCCTCCAACTTAAAAATGGAAAAAAAATTAATACTTTATTTGTTACCAGTCCTTTCCAGATAAAAGTTCCTAGTAATAGAAAAAAGTTTTTCTGCATCTTTTCACTCAAATCAACTAACAAGACCTAGAGGAAGCACTGACGGTAAATGCACCCATTTCTACCTGCAGAATATGCCATATCTCTATCCCTCCCTCTTCTTCTCTCCCAGGACAACTGATATAAAGGAAAATTTGTGGTTGTTTTAAATGGTTACAATCTCAATATGTTAATTCATAGGAACAAATGCTGTTTCACCAGCTCCAGTCCCTTGTCCTAGCTCCACACACCCACACTCTCTCCCCGCTCTCAGAATTCTCCTGCCTCACAAGCTGGAGCTGAGTGAATTAAGTTGCCCCCATTGACTGGGCATTGCTCTCTGTTCTGCCCCAGTTCTTCCTGGCTTTTCTCACTCCATTTCATTCTGACTCTAAATGTTTGCATTTGCAACCTCCATCATAATTCTTTTTCTTTCTTCTCCTCCCAGGTAACATTTACAACATTTAATTTAAATGTTTAAAACAGTAGCCATATAAAAGACATTGCTATTTCTTCATTTAACTAATTTAACAAGTACTTATAGAGCACCTATGAGTAGAAAACACTGCAATACAAAGAAGGATAAGACACAGTCCCCTACGTCAGCCTTCAAAGGAGCTGCCAGTTGAACACATGAAGAAAATAGAACAAAGAAACGAAGTAAAAGCAGAGAGGAACAGGCCTTAGGTTTTTGGCTGTTACATTTCAACAAAAGCTAACTCTTACCGATATGTCAATGGGAAAAGTGCTGAGTGTAAAAATAAGCATTCCTGGGGGAGGAGCCAAGATGGCCGAATAGGAACAGCTCCGGTCTACAGCTCCCGGCGTGAGCGACGCAGAAGA
Organism: Homo sapiens; assembly: GCF_000001405.40. Lineage (NCBI taxonomy): Eukaryota > Metazoa > Chordata > Mammalia > Primates > Hominidae > Homo > Homo sapiens. The sequence continues at coordinate 197,640,690 of NC_000002.12, read as the reverse complement.
CGGGTGATTTCTGCATTTCCATCTGAGGTACCGGGTTCATCTCACTAGGGAGTGCCAGACAGTGGGCGCAGGTCAGTGGGTGCGCGCACCGTGCGCGAGCCGAAGCAGGGCGAGGCATTGCCTCACTTGGGAAGCGCAAGGGGTCAGGGAGTTCCCTTTCCGAGTCAAAGAAAGGGGTGACGGACTCACCTGGAAAATCGGGTCACTCCCACCCGAATATTGCGCTTTTCGGACCGGCTTAAAAAACGGCGCACCACGAGATTATATCCGGCACCTGGCTCGGAGGGTCCTACGCCCACGGAGTCTCGCTGATTGCTAGCACAGCAGTCTGAGATCAAACTGCAAGGCGGCAGTGAGGCTGGGGGAGGGGCGCCCGCCATTGCCCAGGCTTCCTTAGGTAAACAAAGCAGCCAGGAAGCTCCAACTGGGTGGAGCCCACCACAGCTCAAGGAGGCCTGCCTGCCTCTGTAGGCTCCACCTCTGGGGGCAGGGCACAGACAAAAAGACAGCAGTAACCTCTGCAGACTTAAATGTCCTTGTCTGACAGCTTTGAAGAGAGCAGTGGTTCTCCCAGCACGCAGCTGGAGATCTGAGAACGGGCAGACTCCCTCCTCAAGTGGGTCCCTGACCCCTGACCCCTGAGCAGCCTAACTGGGAGGCACCCCCAGCAGGGGCACACTGACATCTCACACGGCAGGGTATTCCAACAGACCTGCATCTGAGGGTCCTGTCTGTTAGAAGGAAAACTAACAAACAGAAAGGACATCCACACCAAAAACCCATCTGTACATCACCATCATCAAAGACCAAAAGTAGATAAAACCACAAAGATGGGGAAAAAACAGAACAGAAAAACTGGAAACTCTAAAACGCAGAGCGCCTCTCCTCCTCCAAAGGAACGCAGTTCCTCACCAGCAACAGAACAAAGCTGGATGGAGAATGACTTTGACGAGCTGAGAGAAGAAGGCTTCAGACGATCAAATTACTCTGAGCTACGGGAGGACATTCAAACCAAAGGCAAAGAAGTTGAAAACTTTGAAAAAAATTTAGAAGAATGTATAACTAGAATAACCAATACAGAGAAGTGCTTAAAGGAGCTGATGGAGCTGAAAACCAAGGCTCGAGAACTACGTGAAGAATGCAGAAGCCTCAGGAGCCAATGCGATCAACTGGAAGAAAGGGTATCAGCAATGGAAGATGAAATGAATGAAATGAAGTGAGAAGGGAAGTTTAGAGAAAAAAGAATAAAAAGAAATGAGCAAAGCCTCCAAGAAATATGGGACTATGTGAAAAGACCAAATCTACGTCTGGCTGGTGTACCTGAAAGTGATGCGGAGAATGGAACCAAGTTGGAAAACACTCTGCAGGATATTATCCAGGAGAACTTCCCCAATCTAGCAAGGCAGGCCAACGTTCAGATTCAGGAAATACAGAGAACGCCACAAAGATACTCCTCGAGAAGAGCAACTCCAAGACACATAATTGTCAGATTCACCAAAGTTGAAATGAAGGAAAAAATGTTAAGGGCAGCCAGAGAGAAAGGTCAGGTTACCCTCAAAGGGAAGCCCATCAGACTAACAGCGGATCTCTCGGCAGAAACCCTACAAGCCAGAAGAGAGTGGGGGCCAATATTCAACATTCTTAAAGAAAAGAATTTTCAACCCAGAATTTCATATCCAGCCAAACTAAGCTTCATAAGTGAAGGAGAAATAAAATACTTTACAGACAAGCAAATGTTGACAGATTTTGTCATGACCAGGCCTGCCCAAAAAGAGCTCCTGAAGGAAGCACTAAACATGGAAAGGAACAACCGGTACCAGCCGCTGCAAAATCATGCCAAAATGTAAAGACCATCGAGACTAGGAAGAAACTGCATCAACTAACGAGCAAAATAACCAGCTAACATCATAATGACAGGATCAAATTCACACATAACAATATTAACTTTAAATGTAAATGGACTAAATGCTCCAATTAAAAGACACAGACTGGCAAATTGGATAAAGAGTCAAGACCCATCAGTGTGCTGTATTCAGGAAACACATCTCACGTGCAGAAACACACATAGGCTCAAAATAAAAGGATGGAGGAAGATCTACCAAGCAAATGGAAAACAAAAAAAGGCAAGGGTTGCAATCCTAGTCTCTGATAAAACAGACTTTAAACCAACAAAGATCAAAAGAGACAAAGAAGGCCATTACATAATGGTAAAGGGATCAATTCAACAAGAAGAGCTAACTATCCTAAATATATATGCACCCAATACAGGAGCACCCAGATTCATAAAGCAAGTCCTGAGTGACCTACAAAGAGACTTAGACTCCCACACAATAATAATGGGAGACTTTAACACCCCACTGTCAACATTAGACAGATCAACGAGACAGAAAGTCAACAAGGATACCCAGGAATTGAACTCAGCTCTGCACCAAGCGGATCTAATAGACATCTACAGAACTCTCCACCCCAAATCAACAGAATATACATTTTTTTCAGCACCACACCACACCTATTCCAAAATTGACCACATAGTTGGAAGTAAAGCTCTCCTCAGCAAATGTAAAAGAACAGAAATTATAACAAACTATCTCTCAGACCACAGTGCAAACAAAGTAGAACTCAGAATTAAGAATTTCACTCAAAGCCGCTCAACTACATGGAAACTGAACAACCTGCTCCTGAATGACTACTGGATACATAACGAAATGGAGGCAGAAATAAAGATGTTCTTTGAAACCAACGAGAACAAAGACACAACATACCAGAATCTCTGGGATGCATTCAAAGCAGTGTGTAGAGGGAAATTTACAGCACTAAATGCCCACAAGAGAAAGCAGGAAAGATACAAAATTGACACCCTAACATCACAATTAAAAGAACTAGAAAAGCAAGAGCAAACACATTCAAAAGCTAGCAGAAGGCAAGAAATAACTAAAATCAGAGCAGAACTGAAGGAAATAGAGACACAAAAAACCCTTCAAAAAATTAATGAATCCAGGAGCTGGTTTTTTGAAAGGATCAACAAAATTGATAGACCGCTAGCAAGACTAATAAAGAAAAAGAGAGAAGAATCAAATAGACACAATAAAAAATGATAAAGGGGATATCACCACCAATCCCACAGAAATACAAACTACCATCAGAGAATACTACAAACACCTCTATGCAAATAAACTAGAAAATCTAGAGGAAATGGATAAATTCCTCAACACATACACTCTCCCAAGACTAAACCAGGAAGAAGTTGAATCTCTGAATAGACCAATAACAGGAGCTGAAATTGTGGCAATAATCAATAGCTTACCAACCAAAAAGAGTCCAGGACCAGATGGATTCACAGCCGAATTCTACCAGAGGTACAAGGAACAACTGGTACCATTCCTTCTGAAACTATTCCAATCAATAGAAAAAGAGGGAATCCTCCCTAACTCATTTTATGAGGCTAGCATCATTCTGATACCAAAGCCGGGCAGAGACACAACCAAAAAAGAGAATTTTAGACCAATATCCTTGATGAACATTGATGCAAAAATCCTCAATAAAATACTGGCAAAACGAATCCAGCAGCACATCAAAAAGCTTATCCACCATGATCAAGTGGGCTTCATCCCTGGGATGCAAGGCTGGTTCAATATACACAAATCAATAAATGTAATCCAGCATATAAACAGAGCCAAAGACAAAAACCACATGATTATCTCAATAGATGCAGAAAAGGCCTTTGACAAAATTTAACAACACTTCATGCTAAAAACTCTCAATAAATTAGGTATTGATGGGACGTATTTCAAAATAATAAGAGCTATCTATGACAAACCCACAGCCAATATCATACTAAATGGGCAAAAACTGGAAGCATTCCCTTTGAAAACTGGCACAAGACAGGGATGCCCTCTCTCACCGCTCCTATTCAACATAGTGTTGGAAGTTCTGGCCAGGGCAATTAGGCAGGAGAAGGAAATAAAGGGTATTCAATTAGGAAAAAAGGAAGTCAAATTGTCCCTGTTTGCAGACGACATGATTGTATATCTAGAAAACCCCATTGTCTCAGCCCAAAATCTCCTTAAGCTGATAAGCAACTTCAGCAAAGTCTCAGGATACAAAATCAATGTACAAAAATCACAAGCATTCTTATACACCAACAACAGACAAACAGAGAGCCAAATCATGAGTGAACTCCCATTCACAATTGCTTCAAAGAGAATAAAATACCTAGGAATCCAACTTACAAGGGATGTGAAGGACCTCTTCAAGGAGAACTACAAACCACTGCTCAAGGAAATAAAAGAGTATACAAACAAATGGAAGAACATTCCATGCTCATGGGTAGGAAGAATCAATATCGTGAAAATGGCCATACTGCCCAAGGTAATTTACAGATTCAATGCCATCCCCATAAAGCTACCAATGCCTTTCTTCACAGAATTGGAAAAAACTACTTTAAAGTTCATATGGAACCAAAAAAGAGCCCGCGTCGCCAAGGCAATCCTAAGCCAAAAGAACAAAGCTGGAGGCATCACACTACCTGACTTCAAACTATACTACAAGGCTACAGTAACCAAAACAGCATGGTACTGGTACCAAAACAAGAGATATAGATCAATGGAACAGAACAGAGCCCTCAGAAATAACGCCGCATATCTACAACTATCTGATCTTTGACAAACCTGAGAAAAACAAGCAATGGGGAAAGGATTCCCTATTTAATAAATGGTGCTGGGAAAACTGGCTAGCCATATGTAGAAAGCTGAAACTGGATCCCTTCCTTACACCTTATACAAAAATCAATTCAAGATGGATTAAAGACTTAAACATTAGACCTAAAACCATAAAAACCCTAGAAGAAAACCTAGGCATTACCATTCAGGACATAGGCATGGGCAAGGACTTCATGTCTAAAACACCAAAAGCAATGGCAACAAAAGACAAAATTGACAAATGGGATCTAATTAAACTAAAGAGCTTCTGCACAGCAAAAGAAACTACCATCAGAGTGAACAAGCAACCTACAAAATGGGAGAAAATTTTCACAACCTACTCATCTGACAAAGGGCTAATATCCAGAATCTACAATGAACTCAAACAAATTTACAAGAAAAAAACAAACAACCCCATCAAAAAGTGGGCGAAGGACATGAACAGACACTTCTCAAAAGAAGACATTTATGCAGCCAAAAAATACATGAAAAAATGCTCATCATCACTGGCCATCAGAGAAATGCAAATCAAAACCACAATGAGATACCATCTCACACCAGTTAGAATGGTGATCATTAAAAAGTCAGGAAACAACAGATGCTGGAGAGGATGTGGAGAAATAGGAACACTTTTACACTGTTGGTGGGACTGTAAACTAGTTCAACCGTTGTGGAAGTCAGTGTGGTGACTCCTCAGGGATCTAGAACTAGAAATACCATTTGACCCAGCCATCCCATTACTGGGTATATACCCAAAGGACTATAAATCATGCTGCTATAAAGACACATGCACAAGTATGTTTATTGCGGCATTATTCACAATAGCAAAGACTTGGAACCAACCCAAATGTCCAACAATCATAGACTGGATTAAGAAAATGTGGCACATATACACCATGGAATACTATGCAGCCATAAAAAATGATGAGTTCATGTCCTTTGTAGGGACATGGATGAAATTGGAAATCATCATTCTTAGTAAACTATCGCAAGAACAAAAAACGAAACACCGCATATTCTCACTCATAGGTGGGAATTGAACAATGAGATCACATGGACACAGGAAGGGGAATATCACACTCTGGGGACTGTTGTGGGGTGGGGGGAGGGGGGAGCTATAGCATTGGGAGATATACCTAATGCTAGATGACAAGTTAGGGGGTGCAGCGCACCAGCATGTCACATGTATACATATGTAACTAACCTGCACAATGTGCACATGTACCCTAAAACTTAAAGTATAATAAAAATAAATAAATAAATAAATAAATAATCCTTAAAAATAAAAAAAAAATAAAAAATAAAAAATAAGCATTCTTAAGTTCCCAAAAATTATTTCACTGATATTATATCATGTGCTTCAGAATCCTATTCTTTAACTGATAGGATTTAATCTAATCCTATGTGTTTGGCCCACATAGGAGACAATACCATAAAGACATAAGCCGATCAGAAAGCTTTGTAAGAGTAGTGGTATAAATTGGGCTTGTGCTTTATACCTACACATTCGTCAAGAATCAGTCTTTTAACATTTTTCTTTGATACCATCAAACAAGCAAAACTATATGTATTTTGCTTTTAATTTAATAAACCTTTATTAATGAAGATGTATTTGGTAATGTTATTTTTAGGAATTTCTTGGAATAGGTTTTAATTTTGCTCCAACTGGAGACACCATTGTTAAACGGTCTGCAAAAATCATGCTACAGAATTATTAGTTCTTCCCAAACAGTGGCCCTTCAGGGAAAAATAATTCCTGTTTTCATAATTTCTAAAGTATATTTGGTTCTGTTTGAAGGTCATGATGATCATGTGGCATGGTCTTGGGGGCAGTGCTATTTTACAGGTGATTCATTAGTTTATGAATGAGTCTTGTCACTGGTCAAGTTACTCCATCTTCTAGTGGATTTCCTCAATAAGCCTAAAGGTTAATTGATAAAGTAATCAATGAAAATAGAGTTTACATTTTGTTCTGCCATCTCTTTTTAAATATCAGATTAATGTCGCTGCTAAAAGAGGAATGAAATTTGTTGGATTCATATCACAGCATTATTCTCCATCTAAATTCTGCAATGGAACCAACCATGATGGAGATATAGAATCGATGCTACATGTGAGACACGGTTCAGATGAAAACTGTAGAAGTTGGAATGAAGGGACGTTAAGTGGGCAGTCATCTGAAAGCGGAATTGAGGAAGAACTTCATCATGAAAGTGGACAGTATCAAATGGAACAAAATGGCAGCCCTACTTCCTCTAAATCAAGAAAGGGAGAAGGTAATAGACAAGATTAGTAGAAAGAGAATATACTATAGTTTAAGCAAAATAAGTTTTTGAGGTTTTTTTTAGAAATATGAGTCAAAGTAAATTGCTAAAGATTATAATGACTAAATGAACTAATAAAAACCTCATGATTTTTAAAAGTTATTACAGCTAGCAATAAGGCAGGGCAGTTTTTTAGACAGTTGTCTCTGGCAGAACATAAAATGCCATCCACATAATGAAACTTTGTGTTGAAGATTGGTTTCTATTTAGTCATCCAAAACTCCCTCATAAATTGGAGGCTGTACATGTGTACCAAATAAGTGAGTCTATTAGGTCTAAAAAGCTGTTCTGATTTATGTTTGTACTAATAAACAGCATGTGAGAATTTTCATTTTGGCCTTTCCCATTTCATGGATGGTTTTAACCTTTGAAATTAATTGGCTTTCTTTGATCATCAACTAGAATGTGAAACTGGCACATCATAATGAAACAATTAATATAACAATAGTGCCTGCATCCTAAAATAACTTTGAACAACAGTTGTATTCTTCTGTGCCAGCTAGCAAGTCTTCCAAAGAAACTGAGAGTATTTTATTCATGCATTTGGGACCATTCAAAGTTTTCTGATACCTTTGTGGGCATGCTTTAAAAAAGCACTATCAGAGAAAAGCAAAGGCTACATATACCTTAGCATTAACAACATGGGCTCTGGAATCAGATACCTCAATTTCTTTATAAAAAGGGGTAATAGTAAGAACTCCCTCATTGGGTTGTTGTGAGAAGTAAATAAGAAATGTCTACAAAGTGTTTGACCCAGTGCCTGGTACAGAATAAACTCTATATTAACTGCTATTAACTGATCCTTCCATCAGTGTTGGCACTGGAGGAGCACGCCTTGGTGTCAGGCTTTCTGGGTTATGTTTTGATGTGCTTAGCATCCTATACATGGCAGAGATTCATTTAGCCACATAAGCTCCACCTCCTGAAGAAATAACTGGGAGCATTTACCAACTTAGATCGCACCCATCTCCACCATCATCACCACCACCCTCCTCTTTTCTCACCCATTCCCTAGCTAACAATGTCCCTGATTTTTCTGCAATGTAAAAAGTATAGGAATGTGTATTAGTCTGTTCTCATGCTGCAAATAAAGAAATACCCTAGACTGGGTAATTTATAAAGGAAAGAGATTTAATTGACTCACAGTCCAGCATGGCTGGAGAGGCCTTAGGAAACTGACAATCATGGCAGAAGGGAAAGCAAACATGTCCTTCTTCACATGGTGGCAGGAGAGAGAAGAATGAAAGCCCAGCAAAGGGGGAGGCCCCTTATAAAACCATCAGATCCTGTGAGAACTAACTCACTGTTATTAGAACAGGATGGGGGAAACCGCTCCCATGATTCAACTATCACTATCTGATCCCTCCCACAACATGTGGGGATTATGGGAACTACAATTCAAGATGAGATCTGGGTGGGGACACAGCCAAACCGTATCAGAATGTAAAAGTGAACAAGAGGTATCAGAATTATGGTCAGAGAGCTATTCACTATCTTCCACCCATTCCTACCTTTAAACTCCATGTGAGTTCCCACCCTTACTTTGAGCAAATCAGATGTCTATTTCTATTCCTTTAAGTTCTAAATCCAATATAGTACTTAATGTAACTATCAATCTTTAGATTCCTCTCTCTCAGTATTTTTAAAGTATGTACTTCTCAATAACTTTTCTGTAGCAGTGGTTTTTAATTAGAAGAGGGAGAATGGGGGTAGCAATAATTCACAAAAGACCTCTTTGAGTATCTGGTGAAATCCATGGAATCCAGATACTTTTGTCTGTCATACCGGTGATGTTAAGCTTCCTAAAACACAAACATAGGTGTGGATCCACTGACCCTACGTTAAGAATTTGCCAATTCCTAGTAAAGCAGAAGATATGATCCAGCATTTCCATGTCTGTTCTAGGGTCACTCTCACACATGTCCAAAGAGATACAAAGTTGGTAATAACAGAAAAATTGGAAATATTGCATATGTCCACCAAAAGGAGACTAGAACATTGGCATACTATGTAGCAGTTAAAATAAACGAATAAGATCTATATGGTTATTTACATTTCAAAGGCATGTTGAACAAAAGGTCAATTCATATCTACAGTAGGATACCATTTTTAAAAAAATTTTCAAACTGTAAAATGTTACACATCATTTATGGTTATATAAGTGTGTATTAAAAGATTAAAAGCTTGCATGAGAATGATAAACACCAACTTCATTATAGTACTTATTTCTGGAGAATAGAATTAGAGGATACCACATAGTAGCCTCAACCGTATCCATTTCTCATTTCTTTGAAAAAATAGTCTGAAACAAATATAGCATATTATTGACATTTGATTAAGCTGAGTGCTTGTTTGTATGCTTGGAATATCTCATGATTAGTGAAAAAATTAAGAATCTTTGATCAACAAAATTATAATTTTCCCCTTTTTTCTCCTTCTGAATGCCTAGCCTCAGATAACAAATTGTATACAGTCTTCAATGCTTTTGATGATGATTCAACCTCCTGGGCCTATCAGGAAGGCATCCTGTCAATGAAAGTAACAAGAAAAGGATCAGTCATTAGTACACTTGATGCTGATTGGCTGGAGTTAACTACCTTTTATTATAAACAAGGCTTGTCTTTAATTGATTCTTTTGTATTCTGGGAAACATCTAAAGGTAAGTTTTATGTTAATGATATTTTATATCTGAGGAATTTGAACTTGTATCAAAATCAGTGAAAATGTTTTTACCTCTCAAGTTCTATGGCTGAAAGGACAGATACCATTCCTAAGGAAATAAATTCCAGCTGTTACACAGATATGTAGCTTTAATTTAAAAGCTTAAAGCTCCTTCAGCACAATGGACACTTAAGGAGTGTGGGCAGAAATATAACGTAAAATGTTCACTGTTGGGTTGTAATTGGGAAACCACTGTGTGATTGACTAGGAGAATTTTCCAAATAAGATGTACTATAATAGTCCAAACGGGAGGTTTATGATGGCATTTCGTGTTTACTATTCATATTTATTACATTATCCCAATTTTGAACACTATCTACCATGTATATAGTCAGTCTATACCTGATTCTTTCTATAATTTGTACAGAAAAATCATCTTTGGTTTAGAAAGTGACGTTGGCTCTGTTCTTACTTCTGTCTTCACCTTGTCTTTCATCCCTCTCTAGCCTTCCTCATTTAGTTACAGTGGAGTATGTAATTATTTGTGTCTATCACAAAAATAAAGACAAACTATAAAATATTATCAAAAATGACTTTCTAGGAAGTTTTTTTAAGAGATGAGGGTTAAAAAAAGAAAAAGGAAAGGTAGTAATGAGACTAGAAAAATGCATTAGGAAAGGTGAAGTTTAGGAAATCCAGGATAATTAGGAACTCTTAAATCTATGAGGTTAGAGGAAAGAATGAAAAGCAAATAAGATCTCCCTATACCTTACTATTGTTAAATCAGCCTAGTATTTATTACCTTAACTGATCCAACTACAGACTTTGGATGATATTTTAAATTATCAGGAGTCATGTTCCAATAGGCCCTTTTAACTAGCAGTATTAAGGACCAAACGAATTGGAGCACCCAGAAATACAATACCTTGCGTAATGCTTAGCACATAGCAGGTGCTAAATAAACATTTCTTAGTATTTTTCAGTAGGCCAGGCACTGTGGCTCACACCTGTAATCCCAGCACTTTGGGAGGCCAAGGCAGGCAGATCACTTGAGTCCAGGAGTTCGAGACTAGCCTGGGCAATATGGCGAAACCTCATCTCTACAAAAAATGCAAACGTTAGTCAGGCATGGTGGCAGCCACCTGTATTCCCAGCTACCCAGGAGGCTGATGTGGGAGGATCACCTGAGCCCAGGGAGGTCAAGGCTGCAGTGAGCCATGATTGCACCACAACATTCTAGCCTGGGTGACAGAGTAAGACACTGTCTCAAAAAAAAATAAAATAAAATAAAATAAAATAAAATAAATATGTGTGTGTGTGTGTGTGTGTGTGTATAAAAATTAAAAATATTTCTTCATATTTTTTGGTTATTGGAAGCCTCTTCCACTTGGTCTTTTATTTATTTTTTATTATTATTATACTTTAAGTTCTAGGGTACATGTGCACAATGTGCAGGTTTGTTACATAGGTATACATGTGCCATGTTGGTGTGCCGCACCCATCAAATCGTCATTTACATTAGGTATTTCTCCTAATACTATCCCTCCCCCATCCCCCTGCCCCATGACAGGCCCCAGTATGTGATGTTTCCCACCCTGTGTCCAAGTGTTCTCATTGTTCAGTTCCCACCTATGAGTGAGAACATGTGGTGTTTGGTTTTCTGTCCTTGCGATAGTTTGCTCAGAATGATGGTTTCCAGCTTCATCCATGTCCCTACAAAGGACATGAAATCATCCTTTTTTATGGCTGCATAGTATTCCATGGTGTATATGTGCCACATTTTCTTAATCCAGTCTATCATTGATGGACATTTGGGTTGGTTCCAAGTCTTTGCTATTATGAATAGTGCCACAATAAACATACGTGTACGTGTGTCTTTATAGCAGCATGATTTATAATCCTTTGGGTATATACGCAGTAATGGGATGGCTGGGTCAAATGATATTTCTAGTTCTAGATCCTCGAGGAATTGCCACACTGTCTTCCACAATGGTTGAACTAGTTTACGGTCCCATCCACTTGGTCTTTTATAGCAATAGCAAAGTTTCATAGGAAGGACATGGGCTTTAGAATCAGACAGACCAAGGTTTAAATCCTATGTCTTCTACTTATTAGCTGTGTCATCTTCGGAAGTTAGTTGAGCTCACTGAGTCTCAGTTTCTTAAAGAGGAATAAAAATACTCCTACTTTTTCTGTTGTGATGATGTAACAAGATATAATAAATGTAAAGTGACTCCCAGAATGCCTAGCCTACAGTCAGAGTTCATTTTCTGGTGTTAGTTTTCTTTCCTGCCACTTGTTATGTGCAATTACAGTACTTTTAGTGTGGATCATCTATTTAGAGGTTGGTTTATGCTTCATAATATCTCTCTCTCTCTCTCTTTCTCTTTCTCTCTTGTTTCTCTTCTCTCCAAAAAGTTTAGTTGAAGCCATTTCAAATTTTGGTGTGTGACTAACTGCTGAACAGAAAAACAAAACATACACTTTTCACAATCTCTCTCAGGCATCCCTGCCTTGGGTCTTGCCTGATGAAAATAAAATTAGCCACAGCAGTTGCCAGCCAGGCTCTGTGTGGCTTTTGTTCTTAAAGCCTCAGAAGCTATTTAGAGAGCCCCAGGGAGACTCCCTCTCTCAGCAGCTCATGGGGTGGAGGGGGTCACGGAGACGGGGGTGCAGAATCTTCCCCTCTCAGCAGCTCTGGAATGTCTCATTAGACATTTGACATTGCAGGCTATGGCAAGCCCCTCACAAGCCACGTCAGTCTATGGGGTCTGGCAACTGAGCATGTCATTTGGGACTTTCCTGGGAGTACACAGGGAAGTTGCCAAGGGGAAATTGTGACCAATATCTGTGTCACTGTGAGAAGCATTCAGAGGAAGCAGGGCTGAATTGGTCGCTTTGTTTTGGTATGTTTGATGCCTGACATCTAAAGCACATGGGGAGGGTGGTGGGGGCAGACAATGCATATTTTGTTTGGTCTTGCTTCTGTCCTCTTCCAAAATATTGTCAGAAGTTAGCCCACCATGAGGAATGGAAGAACAAAACCAGACAGCGCTCAGAAATTTAAATATATTACCCCACAAATCACGCTGAATAAAATACCTCCTTCCAGAAACACGGGGGGGCGGGGGGGCGGGGGACAGATGTTCAAAAAGTTTTCTACTTCAGCAGAGTGTAAAAGTTGTAAGATCTGTGAAATTCCTTCTCAGTGTCCCTCCACACTCACTCTAACAGCCTTTTCTGCTGTGAAGCACACCCTGGGACACACACACAATTAGCCTCGAGGTTCCTACACTTCCCCAGCCTCCAAATGCCCCACCACCGCCAGAGCATAGTCTTTCCCCACCTTAGGATACCACATCTTAAGGCTACATTTTGATTTTTTAAGAATTCTTTTCAGACTTCACTTGTTATTCATTTCAATCTTTCCACTCCTATAAAAATGTTTGTGTGGCACTAGTAGAGGAGAGGTAGCACAATGAAGAGTGAGGATGGAGTTATAACATTGAAACTCATTTCATATATGCCAGGACCCATGCCAAGCACTGGGTTTATAATACTCTTCCCTACTTACAAGGCGCTAGCCGTATGGCATCGGGCAGTCAGGCAGTGAAAGTGTCAAAACATATATATCTAATTTCAAAACTAAGAAAATTGTGTAACATGACCATAGAGGATATTATGGCGAGAGTACCAGGGAAGAACTCACTTAAAGAGGTGGTCGGGAGGTCCCCTCTGAGAAGGCAGCAATCACACTGAGACTGGGCAGCTGGAGAGGAGCAGACCTGTGAGAACCAGAGGTAGGCCATTCTAGGCCGGAGAAACACATCTAAATGTACAAAGACCTTAGGGCAGGAAAGAGGAACTGGGAAAAGGTCTGTGTTTCTGGAGCAAGGCAAGCAACAGTATGGCTCTGGACACAATGGAAGAGGTAGGCAGCAGCCAGTCCCTACAGGGTCCTAAACAGGAAGAATGCAATGACAGCAGCTAACATCTATTTTGTACTTGCTATACACCAGCGTTGTGCTAAGCATTTTGCATTCATTAACTCATTTAGTCCCCACAGCAACCTGTGAGGTAAAGATGATTATGGCTGGGCATGGTGGCTCACGCCTGTAATCCCAGCACTTTGGGAGGCTGGGGTGGGCGGATTACGAGGTCAGGAGTTTGAGACCAGCCTGGCCAACGTAGTGAAACCCCGTCTCTACTAAAAATACAAAAAATGTGCTGGATGTGGTGGCGGGCGCCTATAGTCCCAGCTACTCAGGAGGCTGAGGCAAGAAAATCGCTTGCCAGGAGGCAGAGGTTGCAGTGAGCCGAGATCACACCACTGCACTCTAGCCCAGGCGACAGTGCAAGACTCCGTCTCAAAAAAAAAAAAAAAAAAAAAAGAAGATTATTCCTTTTTTTTATTTTAACTTTATTTATTTATTTATTTATTTATTTGTAGATGGGGTCTCACTGTCACCCAGGCTGGAGTGCAAGGGCACAATCATAGTTCACTGTAGCCTTGAACTCCTGGGCCGAGGCAATCCTCCCACCTCAGCCTCCCGAGTAACCAGGACTATATGCACGCCACCACACCCAGCTAATTTTTTAAATTTTTTTGTAGACATGGTCTCGCTTTGCTGCCCAGGTTGGTCTCAAACTCCTGGCTTCAAGTGATCCTCCAGCTTTGGCCTCCCAAAGTGCTGGGATTCCAGGTGTGAGCCATCGTGCCAGGCCATGCTTATTCTCCTTTTACATATGAAGGAACTGAAGCACAGAGATTTTACATAAGGTGCCTGCATTCACACAACTAGAAAGTGGTAGAGCCACCTAGATGGAGTGTGTGCTTTTACCAAGATATTTATTCCAATTCATTCATTAAAGATTTAAACAGGGAGTCATAATCTCATTTGCAATTTTTAAAGAATTTCTAGCAAGGTGCGGTGGCTCACGCTTGTAATCCCAGCACTTTGGGAGGCCAAGGCAGGTGGATCACTTGAGGTCAGGAGTTCAAGACTAGCCTGGCCAACACGGCAAAACGCTGTCTCTATTAGAAATGCAAAAATTAGCCGGGCATGGTGGGTGCCTGTAGTTCCAGCTACTCAGGAAGCTGAGACAGGAAAATCTCTTGAACCTGGGAGGTGGAGGTTGCAGTGAGCCGAGATCACACCACTGCACTGCACTGGGCAGTGCAGCCTGGGCAACAGAGTGAGACTCCATCTCAAAAAAAGAAGAAAGGAAAGGAAAAGAGAGGAGAGAAAAGAGAAGGGAGGGGAGAGGAGGGGAGGGGAAGGGAGGGGAGGAGAGGAGAGGAGAGGAGAGGAGAGGAGAGGAGAGGAGAGGAGAGGAGAGGAGAGAGGAATTTCTTTGCCCTCATTATGAGAAATGGATCACAGAGGGCAAGAGTGGAAGTGTGGTGGGGAGGCTGTTAAGAGGCTGTTGCAGTGCTCCCTAGAGAGATGATGGTGGAGATGGAAAGAAGTGGATAGGCTAAGATTCTTTTTAGAGTTACCATATGTGCCTGCCCTCTACTTCAAAGATGCTCCCGGGCCCACCTCTGGGCAGTTGAATACCAAAAATGACAGGGGAACCAAAAAAACTAAAATGGAGTGTTACCTCTCTGCACCTTTACAGGAATGTCAATATCATATCCAGCTAAAAGACAAGACATGTCCAGAAAAGTAAACCATTCCCTGGGAGCCCTTCAAACATGTGCTTTTCAAACCAGGGTTCAAGTACCCTCAGGATATTCAGCCTTGTGCCAAGGAGTACACAAGTTCACAAGTTTGCAGAATATAACTCTTCCTGGAGTGTCAATATTACTTTAAGATTGAGTGGCTTTTATGTAAGATGAATATATTTGAAAAGAATGGGCCAGCACAGTGGTTCATGCCTGTAGTCCCAGTACTTTGGGAGGCCAAGGTGGGAGAATCCCTGGGGGCCTGGAGTTTGAGACCAGCCTGATGGTAGAGGGTCTTGCCTCTGTGTTGATGGTGGCTGACTGATCAGGGTGGTGGTTGCTGAAGGTTGGGGGTGGCTGTAGCAATTTCTAATTTAATTTTTTTCTCTTTGGGGATAGAGTCTCGCCCTGTCACCCAGGCTGGAGCACAGTGATGTGATCTCAGCTCACTGCAACCTCCGCCTCCCAGGTTCAAGCAATCTTCCCACGTTGGCCTCTTGGGTAGCTGGGACCAAGGTGTGCACCACCACACTGGCTATTTTTTTAGAGACAGGATCTCACTATGTTGCCCAGGCTGGTCTTGAACTCCTGAACTCAAGTGATCCACCTGCCTCAGCCTCCCAAAGTGCTGGGATTACAGCATGAGCTACTGCGCCTGGCCAGCTGTGGCAATTTCTTAAAATAATACAATGAAATTTGCTGCATCAATTGGCTCTTTCTTTTTTTTTTTTTTTTTTTTTTTTGAGACAGAGTCTCGCTCTGTCGCCCAGGCTGGAGTGCTGTGGTGAGATCTTGGCTCACTGCAAGCTCCGCCTCCCGGGTTCACGCCATTCTCCTGCCTCAGTCTCCCGAGTAGCTGGGACTACAGGCTCACGCCACCACGCCCGGCTAATTTTTTGTATTTTTAGTAGAGATGGGTTTCACCGTGTTAGCCAGGATGGTCTCCATCTCCCGACCTTGTGATCCGCCCACCTCAGCCTCCCAAAGTGCTGGGATTACAGGCATGAGTCACCGCGCCACGCCAGCTCTTTCTTTCACAAAATTTCTCTCTAGCATATGATGCTGTTTGACGGCATTTTAACCACAGTAGAACTTCTTTCAAAATGGGAGTCAATCCTCTCAAACCCTCCAATTGCTTTATCGCCTAAATTTATTTAATATTCTAAATCCTTCATTGTCATTTCAACAATGTTCACAGCATCTTCACCAGGAGTAGATTCCATTTTAAGAAACCATTTTCTAGACTGGGCACTGTAGCTCACACCTGTAATCCCAGCACTTTGGGAGGCCGAGGCGGGAGGATCACTTGAGGTCAGGAGTTCGAGACCACCCTAGCCAACATGGTGAAACCCTATCTCTACTGAAAACACAAAAATTTGCCAGCCGTGGTGGCTCAGACCTGTAATCCCAGCACTTTGGGAGACCGAGGCAGGTGGATCACTTGAGGTCAGTAGTTCGAGACCAGCCTGACCAACATGGTGAAACCCTGTCTCTACTAAAAATACAAAATTAGCCAGACGTAGTGACACGCCTGTAATTCCAGCTACTCAGGAGGCTGAGGCAGGAAAATTACTTGAACCCGGGAGGCAGAGGTTGCAGTGAGCCAAGATCATGCCATTGCACTCCAGCCTGGGCAACCAAAGCAAAACTCTGTCTCAAAAATAAATAAATAAATAATAAATTAAAATGCAAAAATTAGCCTGGCATGGTGGTGCACGCCTGCGGTCCCAGCTACTCAAGAGGCTGAAGCACAAGAATCAGTTGAACCTGGGAAGTGGAGGTTGCAGTGAGCTGAGATCGTGCCACTGCACTCCAGCCTGGGAAACAGAGTGAGACTCCATCTCAAAAAAACAACAACAACAAAAAAGAAAGAAACCACTTTCTTTGCTCATCCATAAGAAGCAACTCATCCATTCAGGTTTTACTACGAGATTGCAGCAATTTAGTCTCCATTTTTAGGCTCCACTTCTAATTCTGGCTTTCTCATTATTTTCACTACATCTGCAATTACTTTCTCCACTGAAGTCTTGAGCCCCTCAAAGTCATCCATGAAAATTGGAGTCAACCTCTTTCAAACTCCTGTTCATGTTGATATTTTGGCCTCCTCCCATGAATCATAAATGTTCTTAATGGCATCTAGAATAGTGAATCCTTTCCAGAAGGTTTTAATTTATTTTGCCCAGATCCATCAGAGGAATCACTATCTATGGCAGCTATAGCCTTACAAAATGTATTTCTTAAATATATGACTTGAAAGTCAAAATGGCTCCTTGATCCATGGGCTGCAGAATGGATGTTGTGTTAGCAGGCATGAAAACATTAATCTTCTTGTATATCTTCATCAGAGCTGTTAGGTGACCAAGTACATTGTCAATAAGCATAATATTTTGAAAGGCATCTTTTTTTCTGAGCAGTAGGTCTGAATAGTGGGCTTAAAATATTCAGTAACCCTTGCTATAAACAGATGTGCTGTCATCCAGCCTTTGTTTTCCATGTCTAGATCACAGGCAGAGTAGATTTAGCATAATTCTTAAGGGCCCTAGGATTTTTGGAATAGTAAATGAGCATTGGCTTCAACTTAAAGTCACCAGCTGCATTAGTCCCTAACAAGAGAGTCAGCGTGTCCTACGAAGCTTTGAAGCCAGGCATTGACTTCTCCTCTCTAGCAATGAAAGTCCTGGATGACGTCTTCCACTGTAAGGTTGTTTTACTGACGCTGAAAATCTATAGTTTTAGGCCAGGCGCAGTGGCTCACGCCTGTAATCCCAACACTTCGGGAGGCTGAGGAGGTTGGATCATTTGAGGTCAGGAGTTCGAGATCAGCCTGGCTAAAATGGTGAAACCCCGCCTCTACTAAAAATACAAAAATTAGCTGGGTTTGGTGGTGTGTGCCTATAATCTGAGCTACTTGGAAGGCTGAGGCAGGAGAATTGCTTGAGCCTGGGGAGGTAGAGGTTGCAGTGAGCCAAGATCATGCCACCGCACCCCAGCCTGAGTGAAAGAGTGAGACCTTGTCTCAAAATAAATAAATAAATAATAAATAAAAATCTGTAGTTTTGTGCAGCCACCTTTATCTATTCTCTTAGCTGGATCTTCTAGATAACTTGCTGCAGCTTCTACATTAGCACTTGCTCCTTCACCTTGCAATTTTATGTTATGGAGACAGCTTCTTTCCTTAAACTTCATGAACCAACCTCTGTTGGCTTCCAACTTTTCTTCCACAGCTTCCTCACCTCTCTCAGCCTTCATAGAATGGAAGAGAGTTAGGATCTTGCTCTGGATTAGGCTTTGGCTTAAGGGACTGCTTGTGGCTGCTTTGATCTTCTATCCAGACCACTAAAACTGTCTCCATCATCGAGAAGTCTGTTTTGCTTTCTTATCATTCATTCACTTTTATTTTCCTTCAAGAACTTTTCCCTTACATTCACAATTTGGCTAACTGACACAAGAGGCCTAGTTTACCGCCTGTCTCAGCTTTGACATGTCTTCCTCACTAAGCTTAATAATAATTCCCAGCTTTCGATTTAAAATGAGAAACTTGTGACTCTTCTTTTCACTTGAACACCTAGAGGCTATTTCGGGGTTATTAATTGGCCTAATTTCAGGGAATGGGGGCCTCGAGAAGAGGGAGAGAGATGGGGGAAGGGCCAGTCAGTGGAGCAGTCAGAACCCCCACAACGTTTATCAGTTAAATTCACCATTTTATATGGGCATGGTTCCCGGTGGCCCAAAACAATTACAATAGTAACATCAAAGATCATTGATCACAGACCACCATAACAGATAGAATAATAATGAAAAAGGTTGAAATATTGCAAGAATTACTAAAATGTGACACCAACACATGAAGTGAGTACACACCTTTGGAAAAATGGCACTAATAGACTTGTTCAATGCAGGATTGCCACAAACCTTCAATTTGAAAAAAAAAAAAAAAAACCGGTATCTGCAAAACACAGTAAAGCAAAGCACAATAAAGCAAGGTGGGACTGTGCTAGTGCCTCCCAATATTGAGAGCAAGAAAACACACCTGGAGCCACAAAGCCCAGAGTTTTCACATTATATAATCCCAAAGTAAGAAAGAAGGAGATTATAATTAACTATGTAATTATCACAGGATACAACTAATTTTAAAACACATACCTCTAAAAGGGAACTTGGGGCATGCACAATTGTAGATGATCTAGTGATGCCCTAAACTTTCAATCAGAAACAAATTTGATTCCACTGGTCACTTCAGTGTGACAGTAAATAAGTACACTTAAAGGAAATGAAATAGACACTGTAATTAGAAAACCAGCTTGAACTAGGAAACTAAACTTCACTGGGTTTTTTGTTTGTTTTTCATTTTTCTGTTTTGTTTTGTTTTGTTTTTGAGATGGAGTCTTGCTCTGTCACCCAGGCTGAAGTACAATGGCACGATCTCGGCTCACCGCAATCTCCCCCTCCCGGGTTCAAGCGATTCTCCTGCCTCTGCCTCCCGAGTAGCCAGGATTACAGGCATGCGCCACCATGCCCAGCTAATTTTGTATTTTTAGTAGATATGGGTTTTTTCCATGTTGGTCAGGCTGGTCTCAAACTCCCTACCGCAGGTGATCTGCCTGCCTCGGCCTCCCAAACTGTTGGGATTACAGGCGTGAGCCACTGCGCCCAGCCTACTGGGTTCTTGGGAACCACTCTGAACAATGCAAATTCTTCATGGTGTTCTGCCCTAACCATGAATTATGTCAAAAAAATAATAATAATGATTTATCTCTTAAAATTTATAGCCTGATAATGAAAATTAAAACAGAAAATTACATTAAAATTACTTTTGTCTTTTTTATCTTTAAGCTTAAAAGATCCTTTGAAAAGTTTGCAGGCCTTTAGAATTTAGAGAGCTGTCAACCAGGGAAACTTTAATGTGACATTGTGCTACACAAAAACCGAAATGTTTAAGCAGCACATGACCATGGGAAAAATGTCTCCTATAGCAAAATAGGAGACAAAAGAACTTCCATAAAATCAGTTTGTGTAGGCCAGCTGGTTATTGTCAACTATTCAAGAAAAAGTCAGAGAGGCCCTCCCTTAAAACTTCCTTCCCAGCAGGAATTCTTTTGACAATGACTTCTGTTTAGGGTCTTCCTGTCCCTGTTTTTCTTATTTTTTTTTTTAACCCATCATTGAGGTAAAGAATTGTTCTGTGTTTAGGTCTTTTGAAGTAATCTTACCTAGCATTAATTTTAATATTATGTCTTTAATTTCAAATATTAACAGTTTTATGCTGTTTCTCTTAATGGTTATAATTAACATGCATACAACGTATAGATCCGAAACCAAATTTTGATTTCAAAATGAAGATCACATCCAGATGCCTTTTAGATTGATTTTCCACTCGCTTCTCACTGTGCCACACTATTTTACCTTGTTTTTGCTATTGTAGTTTTTATATGTATAGTTGGATTTTAATTCAGTGAAGTAAAAAAAAAAAAAAAAGTGTTGCTCTTTGGGGAGAAAGAAAAACTTTCCAAGAGGAGGAGGAGATTATTGATTCAGCCAAAACAAATGTTTTTTTTTAATTTTATTTTATTTTATTATTGTTATTATTATTTTTTTTTTTTAATTGATCATTCTTGGGTGTTTCTCGCAGAGGGGGATTTGGCAGGGTCACAGGACAATAGTGGAGGGAAGGTCAGCAGATAAACAAGTGAACAAAGGTCTCTGGTTTTCCTAGGCAGAGGACCCTGCGGCCTTCCGCAGTGTTTGTGTCCCTGGGTACTTGAGATTAGGGAGTGGTGATGACTCTTAAGGAGCATGCTGCCTTCAAGCATCTGTTTAACAAAGCACATCTTGCACCGCCCTTAATCCATTCAACCCTGAGTGGATACAGCACATGTTTCAGAGAGCACAGGGTTGGGGGTAAGGTCACCAATCAACAGGATCCCAAGGCAGAAGAATTTCTCTTAGTACAGAACAAAATGAAAAGTCTCCCATGTCTACCTCTTTCTACACAGACACGGCAACCATCCGATTTCTCAATCTTTTCCCCACCTTTCCCCCCTTTCTATTCTACAAAACCGCCATTGTCATCATGGCCCGTTCTCAATGAGCTGTTGGGTACACCTCCCAGACGGGGTGGTGGCCGGGCAGAGGGGCTCCTCACTTCCCAGTAGGCGCAGCCGGGCAGAGGCGCCCCTCACCTCCCGGATGGGGGGCTGACCCCCCCCACCTCCCTCCCGGACGGGGCGGCTGGCCGGGCAGAGGGGCTCCTCACTTCCCAGTAGGGGCGGCCGGGCAGAGGCACCCCTCACCTCCCGGACAGGGCGGCTGGCCGGGCAGGGGGCTGACCCCCCCACCTCCCTCCCTCCCGGATGGGGCGGCTGGCCGGGCGGGGGGCTGACCCCCCCACCTCCCTCCCGGACGAGGTGGCTGCCGGGCAGAGACGCTCCTCACTTCCCAGACGGGGTGGCTGCTGGGCGGAGGGGCTCCTCACTTCTCAGACGGGGCGGCTGCCGGGCGGAGGGGCTCCTCACTTCTCAGACGGGGCGGTTGCCAGGCAGAAGGTCTCCTCACTTCTCAGACGGGGCGTCCGGGCAGAGACGCTCCTCACATCCCGGACGGGGCGGCAGGGCAGAGGTGCTCCCCACATCTCAGACGATGGGCGGCCGGGCAGAGACGCTCCTCACTTCCCAGATGTGATGGCGGCCGGGAAGAGGCGCTCCTCACTTCCTAGATGGGATGGTGGCCGGGCAGAGACACTCCTCACTTTCCAGACTGGGCAGCCAGGCAGAGGGGCTCCTCACATCCCAGACGATGGGCGGCCAGGCGGAGACGCTCCTCACTTCCCAGACGGGGTGGCGGCCGGGCAGAGGCTGCAATCTCGGCACTTTGGGAGGCCAAGGCAGGCTGCTGGGAGGTGGAGGTTGTAGCGAGCCGAGATCATGCCACTGCACTCCAGCCTGGGCACCATTGAGCACTGAGTGAACGAGACTCCGTCTGCAATCCCGGCACCTCGGGAGGCCGAGGCTGGCGGATCACTCGCGGTTAGGAGCTGGAGACCAGCCCGGCCAACACAGCGAATCCCCGTCTCCACCAAAAAAATACGAAAACCAGTCAGGCGTGGCGGCGCGCGCCTGCAATCGCAGGCACTCGGCAAGCTGAGGCAGGAGAATCAGGCAGGGAGGTTGCAGTGAGCCGAGATGGCAGCAGTACCGTCCAGCTTCGGCTGGGCATCAGAGGGAGACCGTGGAAAGAGAGGGAGAGGGAGACCGTGGGGAGAGGGAGAGGGAGAGGGAGAGGGGGAGGGGGAGGGGGCAACAAATGTTTTTTAATTGAAATGTTTTTCCTTCAGTTTCCTATATGAGTTATTTAAGGATTTAGATGGTTTTATGAGCCACTTAGTATTTACAACCCTTCTTAATTGTACCCTCTTCCTCACAGGGGAACATTTGCCTAAATCTTTGGAAGGATTTTTTATCTATGAAGAAGAAGGTTCTGGAGTTCCAGGTTCTAGTAGGAAAGGAAATGATGCCATCGTAGTAGAACAATGGACTGTTATTGAGGTGAGCTGCAGTTTTCTGACAATTTAGCTTTACATATATAAATATAATATATAATATATATATATGTTTGGTTTGGGTTTTTCATTTGTTTGTTTGTTTGTTTTTGTTTTTGTTTTTTTGAGTCAGGGCCTTACTCTGTTACCCAGGCTGGAGTGCAGTGGCACCATCACAGCTCACTGCAGCCTCAACTTCCCCTGGCTCAGGTGATTCTCCAACCTCAGCCTCCCAGGTAGCTGGGACTACAGGCCTGCACCACCATACTCATCTAATTTTTTTGTATTTTTTGTAGAGACAGGGTCTCGCCATGTTGCCCAGGCTATATATATTTTATTTTACATGTTAAAGATCTTCAGTGCCTGGCACATGCAGTATCCTTAAACACATATTTGTTTAGTGTTTAGAATCTCATTACAAATGCATGAACAAACTTCTTTCGGATTTGTGAAAAGGTAATTTGCTTTATCCAGTGTTAAATGTTTTTGCAAGATAGAGAAATAATTAACTATGCATAAGCAGCAGTAAGTTCCCAAAAATTTTAAGCCAAAAAACATCGCCTGGCACTGAGCTTCTCTTTACAGCATTCTGTGACAACTGATTGAAAGAAAAAAATTTGGTCACTCAACTAGTGTTTTATCTCCAATCAACCAATGTGACTGAGGTTTTTTTTAACCTTATGAATGACTTTCAAAGGCAAAAATATCCAAAAGATGTTCTCTCTCTCGCCAGGCCAAATATGTACACACAGCATTGTCCTTCACAAACAGAGATGACATTGCTGCTGATGTTGTGCACCCTGAATTCAGATGTCACTGAATGGACTGTCTTTGAGGTGTACACACTGAATTCAGGTATATTCTGTTTTGTGTTTGAGGCCCTCCCTGACAGGCTGTTTCAGGGATACTTTTACCTTTCTGACCTTACACAGGTTAAAGAGACATAGCCCATTTTCAAAGAAACTAGAAAACCCATTGAGTGGGGAAAAAGGATTTGAGGAAAGAGGTAGAGCTCTTAGCAAAACTCAATTCCAAATTAAGAAAAAAGCAGTGAAAAGACTCCCCACACCCAAGCGCCTCTCATCTTCAATACCACTATTGTCACTCTCCACTCTTGTCCTCACTTCCTGGTCCCTAGACCCATGTTTCTGAAATGTGTTCTAGAAACTTCTTGGATCCAAATCCGCTAAGGAACTCGTGTTAAAATGCAGCCTCTGCCTGACACAGTGGCTCACGTCTGTAACCCCAGCACTTTAGGAAGGTGAAATGGGAGGATAACTTGAGCCCGGGAGTTCAAGACCAGCCTGGGCAACATAGTGAGACCCCATCTCTACAAAAAATTTTAAAATTAACCAGGCATAGTGTCATGCACCTGTAGTCCCAGTTACTCAGGCGGCAGAGGCAGGAGAATAGTTTGAGCCCAGGAGATTGAGGTTAAAGTGAGTTATGACTGTGCCACTGCACCCTAGCCTGGATGTAGGAATGAGACCCTCTCTTTAAAATAAAATAAAATAAAATAAAATAAAATAAAATAAAATGCAGATTCCCAGCTCCCCAACCCCATGTATTAAATTTCGAGAACCACTGCCCTAACAAGACCAAAGGAAGGCCCAAACTTCAGACAACGGGATGGAAACCTCTCTCCATTACTAGTGTTTCTAACTTGGTTCAATTATCAGAAGGAAGCAGAGCAGAACATGAAGCCCAGGAAGGCTGCAGCGGATGAAAGTGAACTCCCCTCATCCTAACACGCATCACCCTTTGTTGTAATTGTGTAGTTGGTTGTCTTTGCCATTAGACTATGAGCTCTTATACTTATTCATGCAGGGATGTGAAATCAAAACAGATTATGGCCCTCTGCTGCACACTCTGGCTGAATTCGGATGGCTTCTGACAAGCGTGTTGCCCACACCTGTATTGAGACATGACAGGTAAGGCAAAAGTATCCTTACATACTATCATTTAATTCTAATATATAACTTCATCTGTTAGATAGTTCAATTCAACAAATATTTGTTTAATGCCTACAGAAAACATTACACTGAGCTTCGAATTTGATTTTATGGACCTTAGAGGTTAGTAAATATAGTCCTTGGCATTATAGATGTATAAGCTGTTAGGCTCTGCAGCACATATCCAAAACTGTTCTCACCCCAGCCCACAGCCAGGTTTAGGACACAGTAGGGTTCCAGAGTGAGCAGGATGGAGGAGCGCTTCTGCCACCTCCCCTCCAGTGTGGTGAGTTAGTTCCCCTTGGCACATGGACTTGGTAGCTGTTTCCATTAAAATAAATGCCTACATTAGAACCAAATGCCAATATTTTGTAAGTACTAACTTTCCTTTTCCTTTTCTCCTTTTACTAACTTTCCTGGAAAGGAAAAATTGAATCTTACTTTTTTGAGAGAGGGAAACAGAGACCAAGTAAGTCATTATGTAAAATGCTTTGCTATTCCTGGGACCCAGAGATGTGTCCTCTGCCCGCTTTGGCATCCAGGAAATGACTGACTGCTAAGGCTGTCCTGCCTGGGCAGGTGACTACCTGCAGAGGACAGCACAGTACCAACTAGGCCTTCCCTTTTAGCAGAGTCAATTATGGTTCAACATTCTGAGTGATTTGCAGGTGTGACTAAGGAAAGCAACTTCCCCTTCCTTAGTCTAACCCACTTCACTCACCTTTTCTGGCCTTCCCGGTTTAGCAACTTAGCCCTGTCCAGTATCCCAGTACCCCACAACATTTAAAAACCTTTGATTGGCATGGCTTTATCTGAAAAGCCACACCTTCTTCGGGTAGGGAAAGGAATTAAGGTGGATATAAAGTAAAGAAACTCAAGTTTAAAGAACAAAAAAGGAATGTTTGAAGTAAGCAAAGCAATTAATCTACTTTTCTTCCCAGAGCTCTATAGTAACTGTTCTCAAATTGAGTGATGACTCCTTGAAGCATGATTTCCCAGCCTTTTGTACTCTGTGACATATCTGTCAAATAACAGAATAGTAATAATTCTCAAGATTCAGTCTTCACAAAACAGGAGAATTCCATGACACCCCCGCCCTCAACCTTGCAGGATGTGTGACAGGGGTGTGGCTTGTTTGTTCACCCTCTGCATGCTCAAACCACTTACAGGAGGGGAAGCACACAGATGGGCAGGTGCAGGAGCTGGGGTGAGTGCTGTGGGGCTCCGGCCCCATGGTAGCGTCTAGGGGTGGGTGCCTGTGACTCCCAAAGCCCAAGTAGGCATGTGTTACAGTGATCTTTTAGTTTTGCCATCTGCAGAGGGCTTAAGTGTTAACCAGCTCAGTGTCCTCTCAGTACCTAGGTCCTTGTCCAGCGTCCAGGAAGAACCAAGTTGCACAGGGAATTGAGGACAGTGATTGTGCAGGTTTTATTGAGGGTAGAGGTGGGATGCAGTGGGAAGATGATCATCTTCCGGAGTTTGACCGTCCAGCAGCCGATCTCCTCTCCAACCATCTCCAGCCAAACTCTTCTCAGCATTCAGATGCTCCTTCTCTTATCTCTGCCACGCCATTCTGAATTTTAAATTTTAAAAATCAAATTTAAAAGGCAAAAAGTCAATCAATAAATAAAAATATGTGGAAGCTGTACATGGTTTCTGGCCCTGAAGGATCTTGTGAGCTGGTTAAGCTTACGTTTCATATGTACAAAACAAGGGACTTACATTCTGGTCAGGGCAGATCAAGCTTATGTATTGTGTAATATAATACAGTAACTAATCAAGGGCTAGATGAGGTGTCTTAGTCTATAGGTTCTGTAGGAATATTAAAAAGAAGAGACATTTTAAACTGTCAAAGTTGGATGGGATCATCAAATACTAAAGAGATTAGAGGGCAGCATCATCACTATTTAGCAGATTTCCATTTAGGAAGATGCTACTAACTCTGTATAGAAGATAGCAGAAAAATGTAATTTTAACATTAATTGCCATTATGCAACAAGGCTCACTACAACTCTCAATGTCTACTCTTCTTTTGTATGCCAAGGAGCATTGTGCAATATTGGTGTTTATTTTGTTCCTTTGCATTTTGTAATTTGAGTCCTGCCAAGTGCCTGCAACACAGGAAATATAGGATGAAGGTCATTTGGTAACAAGGATTGTTGGTAAATCTTGTTTATTCTCTGCCTTTTTATTCTTGTGCAAATATACTGTCCCTGTGACAAGTCACATGCTGTTCTTAGCTGCTTCAGTACACACAACGATAGTAATCATGGTCAATGATGTCATCTTTACAAATAAAGAAAAGTGTTATATACAGTTGACCTTGGTCAAAATAGAGGATAGAGCCCGAAGTTTTTAGTCTCTGACACTAGAGGAATGGTTATGAGCTGCCCAGGCTTTGGAGCTAAGCAGATCTTGTTTTAATTATAGCTTCATCATTGTTTAGCTGTATGATTTGGGCAAGTCATCTAACCTTTTTAAGATAAATTTCCTTATCTGAAAAATTGGACAATAATATCAACTTTAGTGGATTATCACTATGACTAAGATAATACACGCAAAGTACCTATACAGGGCCTGGGCATATTAAGCTAATGAATTAGGGCTAATGTTTTGGGACGCAATCCTTAGCAGAACCAAAATTTCTGATAAGTTGAAACCAATGTTCAGGGATGGTAGCTTGGCCTGTCCTAAATCAGGATGTTTCAGAAAATGTAAATACTCTAGTTCACTATATACAAAATCAGCACTGAAGATGACAAGATAATAAAAGCAACAGAAATACATAATGACATTATTAAGATATCTTCTTACACATATTCTCACACCCAGAAAAAAGAATGTCTATCATCATCTTCTTTTTGCGGCCCACATGTCGAAAACATAACTTAAAATTACTGTCAGTGAAAACATTCTTCCTTACATGTGTTTGTCTTATATGCAACAACAGAGTCTTAAGTAATTTCAACATTCTCCCTACTCTTCTGTCACCTAAGCCATACTTGAATGGCCTATATATAAGCTGTTTTTCCCTCACTCAAATATATCCTGTTATTGGATTACATACATACAGTACGTCCCTAGGTTAAAGTTGTTGCTTCAATTACCCTAGGCAATATCACACCACTAGGGTTTAAAGCTGCATTACCATGGAAACGTCATGATGCTGTAATCTTATATCACCACATTATTCCAGAGTTATTGTTGTTGGTCCTGAAAACATGCCAGAATCCCTTCTTAATTGTTATCACTATTAATAATACCAATGGGCTCAATCCTTTTTCCTTCAAGAGTTCAAGGTGAAAGTTGACAGTAACTCTTCAGAGCAAATTTGGTGGAGGACCAAACCAGCTGAGTTAGCAGCTAATATTGTTAAACCACCAAAATAAAGGAGAAGGAGGAGCTAAAGTTCCCTCTGTTTGGCTACCTCAAAACAGCAGCATGGCTCCCCTCTCCAATTCTGGAGTGTGGGCAGGAATGTGCATTGTAACAGGAATCCCAAAGCAATTTTTATGCACTTTCAGAAACACTGAATTCTAACCTTACACTGAGAGAGAGAAAGTGAGGGTAAGGGAGGGGGTGAGAGAGAGAGAACTTTAGAACACAGGATAGAAGAAAGACATGCACTCATTTATATCCAGAAGGCAGAATTTAAAGGCAGGGGACTTTTGGTCCAGCTGAATCAAGTTGTACTATACCAAGAACATTAAAAAACCTCATCCTCAAGTGAACCTAATAGACACCTACAGAACTCTCCACCCCAAATCTACAGAATATACATTCTTCTCAGCACATCACACTTATTCTAAAATTGAACACATGTTTGGAAGTAAAGCACTCCTCAGCAAATGTAAAAGAACAGAAATCACAACAAACTGTCTCTCAGACCACAGTGCAATCAAATTAGAACTCAGGATTAAGAAACTCACTCAAAACTGCACAACTACATGGAAACTGAACACCCTGCTCCTTATTGACTGTTGGGTGAATAACAAAACGAAGGCAGAAATAAAGATGTTCTTTGAAACCAATGAGAACAAAGACACAACATACCGGAATATATGGGACACATTTAAAGCAATGTGTAGAGGGAAATTTATAGCACTAAATGCCCACAAGAGAAAGCAGGAATGATCTAAAATTGGCACTCTAACATCACAATTAAAAGAACTAAAGAAGCAAGAGCAAACACATTCAAAAGCTAGCAGAAGACAGGAAATAACTAAGATCAGAGCAGAAATGAAGGAGATAGAGACACAAAAAACCCTTCAAAAAGTCAATGAATCCAGGAGCTGGTTTTTTGAAAAGACCAACAAAATACATAGACCACTAGCCAGACTAATAAAGAAGAAAAGAGAGAAGAATCAAATAGACGCAATAAAAATGATAAAGGGGATATCACTACCGATCCCACAGAAATACAAACTACTATCAGAGAATACTATAAACGCCTCTATGCAAATAAACTAGAAAATCTAGAAGAAAGGGATGACTTCCTGGACACATACACCCTCCCAAGACTAAACCAGGAAGAAGTTGAATCTCTGACTAGACCACTAACAGGTTCTGAAATTGAGGCAATAATTAATAGCGTACCAACCAAAAAAAGTCCAGGACCAGACGGATTCACAGCCAAATTCTACCAGAGGTACAAAGAGGAGCTGGTACCATTCCTTCTGAAATTATCTCAATCAACAGAAAAAGAGGGACTCCCCCCTAACTCATTTTTGAGGCCAGCATCATCCTGATACCAAAACCTGGCAGAGACACAACAAAAAAAGAATATTTTAGGCCAATATCCCTGATGAACAATGATATGAAGCTCATCAATAAAATACTGGCAAACCGAATCCAGCAGCACATCAAAAAGCTTATCCACCACAATCAAGTCGGCTTCATCCCTGGGATGCAAGGCTGGTTCAACATACACAAATCAATAAATGTAATCCATCACATAAACAGAACCAATGACAAAAAACACATGATTATCTCAATAGATGTAGAAAAGGCCTTTGACAAAATTCAACAGCACTTCATGCTAAAAACTCTCAATAAACTAGGTATTGATAGAACATATCTCAAAATAATAAGAGCTATTTGTGACAAACCCACAGCCAATATCATACTGAATGGGCAAAAACTGGAAGCATTCCCTTTGAAAACTAGCACAAGACAAGGATGCCCTCTCTCACCACTCCTATTCAACATAGTGTTGGAAGTTCTGGCCAGGGCAATCAGGCAAGAGAAAGAAATAAAGGGTATTCAATTAGGAAATGAGGAGGTCAAATTGTCTCTGTGTGCAGAAGACATGATTGTATATTTAGAAAACCCCATTGTCTCAGCCCAAAATCTCCTTAAGCTGATAAGCAACTTCAGAAAAGTCTCAGGATACAAAATCAATGTGCAAAAATAACAAGCATTCCTATACACCAATAACAGACAGAGAGCCAAATCATGAGTGAACTCCCATTCACAATTGCTACAAAGAGAATAAAATACCTAGGAATCCAACTTACAAGGGATGTGAAGGACCTCTTCAAGGAGATCTACAAATCACTGCTCAAGGAAATAAAAGAGGACACAAACAAATGGAAGAACATTCCATGCTCATGGATAGGAAGAATCAATATAGTGAAAATGGCCATACTGCCCAAGGTAATTTACAGATTCGATGCCATCCCCATCAAGCTATCAATGACTTTCTTCACAGAATTGGAAAAAACTACTTTAAAGTTCATATGGAACCAAAAAAGAGCCCACATTGCCAAGAAAATCCTAAGCCAAAAGAACAAAGCTGAGGCATCACGCTACCTGACTTCAAACTATACTACAAGGCTACAGTAACCAAAACAGCATGGTACTGGTACCAAAACAGATATATAGACCAATGGAACAGAACAGAGGCCTTAGAAATAACACCACACATCTACAACCATCTGATCTTTAACAACCTGACAAAAACAAGCAGTGGGGAAAGGATTCCCTATTTAATAAATGGTGCTGGGAAAACTGGCTAGCCATATGCAGAAAGCTGAAACTGGATCCCTTCCCTACATCTTATACAAAAATTAACTCAAGATGGATTAAAGACTTACATGTAACACCTAAAACCATAAAAACCCTAGAAGAAAACCTGGGCAATACCACTCAGGACATAGGCATGGGCAAAGACTTCATGACTAAAACACCAAAAGCCAAAATAGACAAACGGGATCTAATTAAACTAAAGTGCTTCTGCACAGCAAAAGAAACTATCAGCAGAGTGAACAGGCAACTTACAGATTGGGAGAAAATTTTTGCAATCTATCCATCTGACAAAGGGCTAATATCCAGAATCTGCAAAGAACTTAAACAAATTTATAAGAAAAAACAAACAACCCCATCAAAAAATGGGTGAAGGATATGAACAGACACTTCTCAAAAGAAGACATTTATGTAGCCAACAAACTTATGAAAAAATGCTCATCATCACTGGTCATTATAGAAATGCAAATCAAAAGCATAATGAGATACCATCTCATGCCAGTTAGAATGGTGATCATTAAAAATTCAAGAAACAACAGATGCTGGAGAAGATGTGGAGAAATAGGGACACTTTTACACTGTTGGTGGGAGTGTAAATTAGTTCAACCATGTGGAAGACAGTGTGGCGATTCCTCAAGGATCTAGAATTAGAAATACCATTTGACGCAGTGATCCCATTACTGGTTATATGCCCAAAGGATTCTAAATCATACTACTATAAAGACACACGCACACATATGTTTATTGTGGCACTCTTCACAATAGCAAAATCTTGGTACCAACCCAAATGCCCATTAATGATAAACTGGATAAAGAAGTTGTGACACATAAACACCATGCAATGCTATGCAGCCATAAAAAAAGGATGAGTTCATGTCCTTTGCAGGGACACAGATGAAACTGGAAACCATCATTCTCAGTAAAGTAACACAAGAAGAGAAAACCAAACATCGCATGTTCTCACTAATAAGTGGGAGTTGAACAATGAGAACACTTGGACACAGGGAGGGGAACATCACACACTGGGGCCTGTTGTGGGGTGGGGAGCTGGGGGAGGGATAGCATTAGGAGAAATACCTAATGTAAATGATGATTTGACGGGTGCAGCAAACCAACATGGCACACTTATACCTGTGTAACAAACCTGCACGTTGTGCACATGTACCCCAGAACTTAAAGTATTAAAAAAAAAAAAAAAAAAAAAAAAGTCTGGTCCCAGCCAGGAACAGTGGCTCATGCCTGTAATCCTATCACTTTGGGAGGCCAAAGAAGGCAGATCACTTGAGGTCAGGAGTTTGAGACCAGCCTAGCTAACATGGTGAAACCCCATCTCTACTAAAAATACAAAAAAATTAGCTGCGCGTGGTGGTGTGCACCTGTAGTTCCAGCTACCCAGGAGGCTGAGGCACGAGAATCACTTGAACCAGGGAGGCAGGGGTTGCAGTGAGCCAACATCATGCCACTGCACGCCAGCCTGGGTAACAGAGTGAGACTCTGTCTCAAAAAAAAAAAAAAAAAAATCTGGTCCCTAAGGACAAGATGTGAATAACAAGAGAAATTGGTCTTCTCACTGTGATGCTGAGCTCTGCTCCCCTCTTCCATTTTCTGCAGCCCCTGTAGAACAGGCCCAACAGCCTCATGGGCATCACAGCTCAGAAGCACTGGAAGTCTGTGGAGTCCCAATCTCAATCTCAATCTTCATGTGGCAGCCAAAGCAGATGTTGCACATTTATATACATGCAGTTGAGGGAGAGGTTAGGATTTGGCCCATTCTAATGCAGTTCTCTGCTCTTACTAATTTAAATTTTGCAGAAACAGTGTCATGTAATTCCATCATGAGTTAAACTCATAGTAATCTTGCTGTGAGCAGTATTTTGATAAGGCCACATTCTTAAAATAATCAATTTTGTCTATTATATATACTTCCAGTTACCATCGCTCTTTCTCATCTGAACATAAATGTTAAACATTTTGTGGGGTGAGGAGGAGTTGGGACAACTAAACTGTAGCAGTGCCCTTTTCTTTGTTTTTAACACATACTGATACCTGAGAAACAAATTCAGGGTCATAGGCAAAGGAACTTTGTGACTAAGCACATAGCTGCAAAGTTGGAAGCCAAAATTTAATTTTATAATTTTCCTTTTAAAAAGCAAAATTTTATTTCAGTTTTCAAAAGCAAGAATTAACTCATTTACTTTTGAGTTGCAAATGTTAAGCCACGACAATTAATTAATGTGTAAGATGAAGCAAAAGTTAACATAAAATACAAATTAACAATTCTATTTCTTCTAGTCTAATGAATTTTGGAACTATAAATGAAAGCTTTATTATTATTATTATTATTATTATTATTATACTTCAAGTTTTAGGGCACATGTGCACAATGTGCAGGTTTGTTACATATGTATACATGTGCCATGTTGGTGTACTGCACCCATTAACTCGTCATTTAGCATTAGGTATATCTCCTAATGCTATCCCTGCCCCCTCCCTCCACCCCACAACTGTCCCCAGAGTGTGATGTTCCCCTTCCTGTGTCCATGTGTTCTCGTTGTTCAATTCCCACCTGTGAGTGAGAACATGCGGTGTTTGGTTTTTTGTCCTTGCAATAGTTTGCTAAGAATGATGATTTCCAGTTTCATCCATGTCCCTACAAAGAACATGAACTCATCATTTTTTATGGCTGCATAGTATTCCATGATGTATATGTGCCACATTTTCTTAATCCAGTCTATCATTGTTGGACATTTGGGTTGGTTCCAAGTCTTTGCTATTGTGAATAGTCCCACAATAAACATACGTGTGCATGTGTCTTTATAGCAGCATGATTTATAATCCTTTGGGTATATACCCAGTAATGGGATTGCTGAGTCAAATAGTATTTCTAGTTCCAGATCCCTGAGGAATCGCCACACTGACTTCCACAATGGCTGAACTAGTTTACAGTCCCACCAACAGTGTAAAAGTGTTCCTATTTCTCCACATCCTCTCCAGCACCTGTTGTTTCCTGACTTTTTAATGATTGCCATTCTAACTGGTGTGAGATGGTATCTCATTGTGGTTTTGATTTGCATTTCTCTGATGGCCAGTGATGATGAGCATTTTTTCATGTGTTTTTTGGCTGCATAAATGTCTTCTTTTGAGAAGTGTCTGTTCATATCCTTCGCCCACTTTTTGATGGGGTTGTTTGTTTTTTTCTTGTAAATTTGTTTGAGTTCATTGTAGATTCTGGATATTAGTCCTTTGTCAGATGAGTAGGTTGCGAAAATTTTCTCCCATTTTGTAGGTTGCCTGTTCACTCTGATGGTAGTTTCTTTTGCTGTGCAGAAGCTGTTTAGTTTAATTAGATCCCAAATGAAAGCTTTTTATGAGAGTGTATTTCACAAGTGACTGAGCAGTTACAGATAAACCCACTCTTTTGAAACTGGCTTAGTTGTATTGAAACTGATACAGATTCATGCATTTATTTTAACAAGAATGTTCTTTCTGTTCAACTCAAATATTTCTTGAGTGCCTAATATGTGCAAGACAGTATTTTACCCACTCTAGGGGCAGACATACAGGAACTCATACTCTGCTTTGAGAAACAAACCAGTTCATGACAGGTCCTGCCATGAAGGTCTAGAGCATGTATTCTCAACGGGAGTGATATGTCCCCAAGATGATGAAAATTGGTTATTGAGAGTGTGAGGGGGTGAAAAAAGTCTCAGCTATTACAATGGTTTGTGGCCCTCCAAAAGGCCACACAGTATATACACAGATATACAGCATATCTTTGGTATTAAAATTTAATGGGGAGATATTAGGGGGAAAATATCTGAATATTGCTCCTCAGGGAAGCAATAATGAAAAAAGAGTTGACTATAAGGCAGGTGAATATGGTAGAGGAATCAATAAAGGAGGAGGGCAGGTCTGTGAAGCTCATGATGTCTGAGGGGGCACCGTGATGAAAGAATAGTGCTTCCAAAAGCAGTTTTAGAAAGGAAAAGTATTCCTTGTGGCAGATAGGGCTAACTTGGAATAGTAAATGATTTTCCTCTAAGATACCAGCACTAATCTGTTGGTAGTGGCTGCCTGGAACGCTGCAATAAGGATTCTGAGACTAGAACCAGCTCAGCAAAAAAAATGTGGCATTCAATTAGTGATGTCTACTATGTGCATGGGAGCGGACGTTGCAGTATGAATACCACAGATTATTTGCTTTCTCTGGCAACCTTAAGCAAAGCAATGTCAGAAAAGTGCAGGATATATTTAAAGAAGAGTGAATTCAGGTGAATGAATTCCTAAAAACTTCTCATTTAAAACCCAACAAATTCGGCCAGGCGCGGTGGCTCACGCCTGTAATCTCAGCACTTTGGGAGGCCAAGGCGGGCGGATCATGAGGTCAGGAGATCGAGATCATCCTGGCTAACACAGTGAAACCCCGTCTCTACTAAAAATACAAAAAATTAGCCGGGCGTGGTGGCGGGCGCCTGTAGTCCCAGCTACTTGGGAGGCTGAGGCAAGAGAATGGCGTGAACCCGGGAGGCGGAGCTGGCAGTGAGCCGAGATTGCGTGCACTCTAGCCTGGGAAGACAGAGCCAGACTCCGTCTCAAAAAAAAAAACCCAACAAATTCAAGACTGATTTTTCCAAAAGAATAAATGTAAAGGGGGAGGGAGCTTTTTTATCATGTATAAATCTACAACTATTCTTCTACATGTCACCCTTAAATATACTATTTTAAAACAATTTTTGTGATATAAAACACTCATATAGAAAGTGCATAAAACACACGCTGGGTGTGGTGGCTGACATCTATAATCCCAGCACTTTGGGAGGCCCAGATGGGTCACCTGAGGTCAGGAGTTCAAGACCAGCCTGGCCAACATGGCAAAACCCTGTCTGTACTAAAAATACAAAAATTAGCCGGGCATGGTGTCACATGCCTGTGGTCACACCTACTTGGGAGGCTGAGGCATGAGAATCGCTTGAGCCCAGGAGGCAGAGGTTGCAGTAAGCCAAGATTGCA
Source organism: Homo sapiens (assembly GCF_000001405.40). Taxonomy (NCBI): domain Eukaryota; kingdom Metazoa; phylum Chordata; class Mammalia; order Primates; family Hominidae; genus Homo; species Homo sapiens. The sequence continues at coordinate 197,604,820 of NC_000002.12, read as the reverse complement.
CCACTGCACTCCAGCCTGGGCAACAGAGTGAGGCTCTGTCTCAAAATAAATAAATAAATAAATAAATAAATAAATAAATAGAATGTGCATAAAACACAAATGTGCATAATTATGCACAAAGACCTGTGTCATCACAGCTGGCCAAAAAAATAGAATATCACCCACACCCTAGAAGCACCTCATGTGTCTCCCCATCACATTCACTTCCTCCACACAGAGATAACATTATCCCCACTTTTAGGATAGTCATATCCTTGCTTGCCTAATAGTTTTACCACTTATGTATGAATCCCTAAACAATACAGTTTAGTTTTGCCTGTTTTTTAACTTTATATGAATGGAATCATATCATATATATTCTTTTATGTGTTGCTGCTTTCACTTAACATTGTAAGTTTTACCTATGCCGTGTGCAGCAGTTTATTTATTCATTCTACTATGTATGTGTCCATTCAGCTGCTGGTGGTTTGCTGTCTCCAGTTGTTGGCTATGACAAACAATGCTGTTCTGAGTATGAGCAGAGATCTTGGTGCACACATGTGTGAGTTTCTAGAAGCAGAATTGCTGGGTCATAGGGCACTTCTTTAGCTTTGTTAGATAAATACCAGATTCTTTTCAAATAGATTGTTTCCATGTACACTCCTACTAGCAGAGTGTCAGAGTCACCATTGTCTCAACACAAAATATTATCATACTTTTAAATTTTGCCATTTTGATCGAGAGTATGTAGTGTGATCTCAGTGTGACTTTCATTTGTAGTTTCCTAATTACTTGCTGAGATTGAGCACATTTACATATGTTTATTGGCCACTTGGATTTTTCTTTCATAAAGTACCTGTCTTTTTGCCCACATTTAAAATTCTATGTTTTTTTGTTTTTTGTTTTTGCTTTTTTGAGACAGAGTCTCACTCTGTAGCCCAGACTGGAGTGCAGGGGCATGATCTTGGCTCACTGCAACCTCCACCTCCCGGGTTCAAGCGATTCTTCTGCCTCAGTCTCCCAAGTAGCTGGGATTACAGGCACCCACCACCATGCCTGGCTAATTTTGTTTTTCTTTGTAGTTTTTTTAGTAGAGACGGAGTTTCACCATGTTAGCCAGGCTGGTCTCGAACTCCTGACCTCCAGAGATCCGCCTGCCTCACCTCCCAAAGTGCTGGGATTACAGGCGTGAGCCACCACACCCGGCCTAAAGTTCTATTCATAAGGCCAGGCACAGTGGCTCACACCTGTAATCTCAGCCCTTTGGGAGACTAAGCTGGGAGGATAGCTTGGGCCCAGGAATTCAAGACCAGCCTGGGCAACATAGCAAGACCCCCATCTCTATACAAAATTTAAATTTAAATTTAAAAAATCTCTACCTATAACTTACTTAAATATAACAGATAAAGAGTCCTTTATTTGTTATGCATGCTGCAATTATCTTCACTAATTCTGTGGCTTGTCTTTTTACTCTATGATGTCTTTAATTAACAAAAGGTTTTAATTTTAAAATCGACAAATGTACCTATCTTTACCCTTTTTAGTATATTGTTTAAGAAATCTCTCCCTTCATTGAAGTTAGTGTAGAAAGGAAAGAGTGAATTATTTTAAAATATGAGACTTTTTTTATTATTATACTTTAAGTTTTAGGGTACATGTGCACAACGTGCATGTATACATGTGCCATGTTAGTGTGCTGCACCCATTAACTCATCATTTAGCATTAGGTATATCTCCTAATGCTATCTCTCCCCACTCCCTGCACCCCACAACAGTCCCCACTGTGTGATGTTCCCGTTCCTATGTCCATGTGTTCTTATTGTTCAATTCCCACCTATGAGTGAGAACATGCTATGTTTGGTTTTTTGTCCTTGTGATAGTTTGCTGAGAATGATGGTTTCCAGCTTCATCCATGTCCCTACAAAGAACATGAACTCATCATTTTTTATGGTTGCATAGTATTCCATGGCATATATGTGCCACATTTTCTTAATCCAGTCTATCATTTTTGGACATTTGGGTTGGTTCCAAGTCTTTGCTATTGTGAATAGTGCCGCGATAAACATACGTGTGCATGTGTCTTTATAGCAGCATGATTTATAATCCTTTGGGTATATACCCAGTAATGGGATGACTGGGTCAAATGGTGGTGGCGCACACCTGTAGTCCCAGCTACTCAGGAGGCTAAGGCAGGAGGATCACTTGAACCTGGGAGACAGAGGTTGCAGTGAGCCAAGATCACGTCACTGCACTCTAGCCTGGCAACAGAGCAGGACTCCATCTCACCAAAAAAAAAAAGATCTTGGCTTTTATATCTTAAAGAATGTAGAACAACTTTCTCCCACCTATCCATAAATTCTAAGTACTATAGCTCTCAAAGATGCTTGAAATTATGGGCACATATTGAACCAAGAAGAAGTTCAAGTTGTCCTTGTAACTTCCTACAAAAAAATTTTTTTAATTTAATTATCAGCTGGGGGCAGTGACTCACACCAGTAATCCCAGCACTTTGGGAGGCCAAGGCAGACAGATCACCTGAGGTAAGGAGTTTGAGACCAGCCTGGCCAACACAGTGAAACCCTGTCTCTACTAAAAACACAAAAAAAAAATTAGCCAGGCATAATGGCGCACGCCTGTAGTCCCAGCTACTTGGGAGGCTGAGGCAGGAGAATCACTTGAACCCACAAGGTGGGGGTTGCGGTGAGCCAAGATCACGCCACTGCACTCCAGCCTGGGTGACAGAGCAAGACTCCATCTCAAAATAATAATAATAATAAAAAAAAGATAGTGTCAAACTATAAATAGAACTTTTTTTTAGTTTCATTTTTGTTGCTTGTTTGTTTTTACAACTAGTACTAGTCACTGTTGAACAAAACTGAATTCATTTGGGGGAATTTTAAGGCAAAGCTTTCAATGATTAATCTTTTATGTCACACTTTAATACCACGGATCATGAACTTGCTCCTGTCTCTTCTTCCGTTTGCCACACTAACATCAGGACCTGTGTGGTTTGCTTAAGTAGTCTAATTGGCCCAAGAAAAATGAACATTTGTGTTTATTTTCTTCATTATTCTCCACTATAACTTCTGAACATTATAAGGTGGAATGCTTAATTTAGGATGCTAAATAAAAATCTGGAATTTGGTAAAATAAGCTTAGACTTATCCACTAATTATAAAGTTTTCTAGTCAGAATAGAATTAAACTAACCCACATCTTCCTGTAGTCAGGGCTTCAGTGAGCTCTACAAGCAAATGTAGTCACTCTACATTTGCTTGTAGAGCTAATGCAGTATTGTAGAAAGAGTGGGAACTAGAGGAGACCCAAGACAAAGGTCTTAAAAGCTGAGTCTCAATTTCCCTATCCATAAAATAGAGAAAATGTCTGCTCTGCACACCTTAAAGGATTATCATAAGAAACAAGCATGTTAATGTACACAGAAAGGACTTGGAACGCTGAGAGCACTACAGGAGTCAAAGTTGTTTTTATTAGTTTAGTCCAAGAGATCTTCTGTTAGTGGGAAGACCCAATCTTCTTGATAGTCATGCTGTTGTCACAGCAAATCCCTCTCCCTCAAATGACATTCACATAGAATCTTCTTTGTGCTTTCTTATGAAATGCATAGAAGAAGGCAGGGAAGAGAAAAGGAAACATTTCTGAGCATCTCCTATGCTCCAGGGTCCATATCCAGGGTGTAGGAACTTTACATCTACTATCTCATTGACAATGTTCAACCACTTCTGCCTGCAGAGAACTCAGCCTGCCCTGGCTGACCTGTCCTTCATGCAGCCTGTGCCCTCGTGCTGACCACAGCACCAGGGATCATCTGCTGCCCTCAGAGATGAAGGGACTAGTCAATGTTCTCATCACTTCTCTGTAGACTGTTCTCTATACTTGTCACCAAAACAGTTTGTACTAGAACTTTTTCAGAATTTAAATTACTATCTCTAAATCAAGCATATTTTCCAAAGTTGCCTTTGTTTTCTAATACATCAAAGCATGACTGTCCATTAAAGTCTAAAACAGAACCAGAAGATTCTTAAATCCCTCTCAGGAAGATACTAAGTCACTTACTTAACTAACAGCACCTTTTGGATGAACCTTTTTGTAGGGAATAAGAGATGTGGGCTCTGTCCTCTGAAACCATCCAGGGCATTTGAAACATCCTCTCAGGTGCCATAATGACCACCAGTTTGCTAAGGGAAAAATATTCTATCCCAATTCTGTAAATAGAATTATCTCAGGAACCACTGAGAACCATAAGGGACTTACTTGCTTTACCAAATAGGCGTCCCTCTATAAGGCTTCAGACCTCTTTCCCTTAGGTCTACCGTGATTAGAGCCTCGAAACCAAAACAAGTTCCACATGGTCTCACAGCTGGTCTGAAAGTAGCAGGACCTATTTTAAATCAAAATGGCCCTCAGAAAACCAGGGACATAGAAGTTTCCGACATATCTCAAATTAAGGATCTGACTATGAGGACGTCCCCAAGAGGTAGGCAGATGCTGACCTTCCAAAGTCTTATTTGAGCATCTGGATGCTGTCTAAAGTTGTCAGCCTTTGACAAACCATCTCCATGTTTGCTGTTTTATCTCATTAGACTCCCCAAACAGCACTCCCCATAGGGCCACTGGAAGGCATTACTCGTCAGTTTCAACCGAACAGTTTTAAAGCTCGTGCTTAGGCCAGGCGAGGTGGCTCATGCCTGTAATCCTGGCACTTTGGGAGGCCGAGGCAGGTGGATCACCTGATATCAGGAGTTCAAGACCAGCCTGGCCAGCATGGTGAAACCCCATCTCTACTAAAAATACAAAAAAAAGCCAGATGTGGTGGTGTGTGCCTGTAATCCCAGCTACTTGGGACGATGAGGCAGGAGAATCCCTTGAACCCGAAAGGCAGAGGTTGCAGTGAGCCCAGATCATACCACTGCACTCCAGCCTGGGCAACAGAGTGGAGACTCCGCCTCAAAAAAAATAAAATATAAAATAAAATCAAGCTCGTGCTTAAAAAGCTTCTGCCCTTTCAGAGGCAATTCCCCTTCACACCACAGGAGGGATAGGTTTGACAGTGCTCTTGCCTCACTGAAGTAGCTGTGGAGGGTTCGCCCTCCCCTGTGCCACATGTTTCACCTCTCTGCATACTGTGTTAAATATCAAGTAGAACGCTGGCAGAGAGAATCCTATTTCAAACATACAGGCAATGATTCTCAACCCAGGATCGAGCAGTGTACTTCACACCATCTGAGGACTTTTTTCCTTGACATACACCCCTAACCCACCTACCTCCACCTCCAACCCACCGAGCCTTTGATAAGCCACCTCCTTCCTCTTTCTCCTTCTCACACTGCCTCGGGATCCGCTGGTAGAGATACTCTTTCATAATTTGGGGTTGCTGCCAGAAATTGTGTCACACTGCAGAGGGAGTAAGTAACTCCTCGCCCACATTCCAAATTCGTTTATATTTTAGACAAGTCAGGTCAGGAATAAATTGGTAAACTAAAGATGGTGAAAAATATGTGTCCTCAGCATGGCTCTAGGCAGCCTATCCAGCTAAAATTGTCCAAAACATTTAAGGACACAAGTCACATTAGAAGAATATGGTAAGGCTGGGCGCGGTGGCTCACGCTTGTAATCCCAGCACTTTGGGAGGCCGAGGTGGGCGGATCACAAGGTCAGGAGATCGAGTCCACGGTGAAACCCTGTCTCTACTAAAAATACAAAAAATGAGCCGGGCATGGTGGTGGGTGCCTGTAGTCCCAGCTACTCGGGAGGCTGAGGTAGGAAAATGGCGTGAACCCGGGAGGCGGAGCTTGCAGTGAGCCGAGGTCGTGCCACTGCACTCCAGCCTGGGCGACAGAGCGAGACTCCGTCAAAAAAAAAAAAAGAAGAAGAAGAATATGGTAAAATAGACATCAAGGATGCTTCCAGAAAATAAGCCCTTTTTGTTTCCACACTCCATACCAACAGGAACTGTTGGTGGGTTTTATTATTCAAGGAAAACAGTGAATGCCTTTGATAGTAGCAAGTATCACCAAGTAATCCCCAAGGCCTGAGAAGTCCACACTTCCAAGTCTGTCTCTTCTGGTGATGGTTCCCAAATTTACTGTGCATCAGGGCCACCTGGGCAGCCTGGTGAAATGGAGATTCCAAAAGACTGGAGTGGACCCTGGAATCAACAGGCACCTCAATGTTTGGAATGCACGGTAAAGTTTGTAAAGCCTGCCGTAGGTCAAACATCAGATCTTAGTGCATTCAGAATTGCCCCATCCACAGTTAGTGTGAAAGAACTCCCTGTAAGGTCTCCAACAATCCCTACCCCAATGCGTTCCTGCTTTCTCTTCAAGAAGAATAATTCTACCCTGATCCCTGCTTCCCATCTTCGGATCGTTCCAGACCTGGTTCTTTCATGTAATTCTCCACCTGGATCACACACCTGGAACATTACCCAGAAGGTCTCTTCTGCATTCCCACGTACCCTGTCCCTTGAATTTGTTTTTCTTTTTTCTTTACTTTTCTTTCTTTTAAGATAGGTTCTCTTTCTGTCACCCATGGTAGAGTTCAGTGGCGTGATCAATAGCTCACTGCACCCTCAACCTCTGGGCTCAAGTGATCCTCCTACCTCAGCCTCCCGAGTAGCTGGGACCACAGGCATGTACCACCACACTTGGATAATTTTCTTTTAATGATTTTGTAGATACAAGAGTCTCAGTATGTTTCCCAGACTAGTCTCAAACTCCTGGGCTCAAGGGATCCTCCTCCATCAGCTTCACAAAGTGCTAGGATTACAGGCATGAACCACCATGTCCTGCTGTCCCTTGAATTTGCTCTCTGGAAGATATTCTTGATTCTGAAACTTTTCTCCCCTTCCCTTAACTGCACCCTATATTTCACTAAATGAATGGAAAAGTGGAAGGAAATCACAGTTGTTGTGTTCCTTCTTGTGGCAAGCACAATGGGAGGCTCTTCATGCACTCTTATTCTTCACTTATCACTTATTGAGGTCCCTGATAGAAAAAAATCAGAGAGGCTGGGCGCAGTGGCTCACACCTGTAATCCCAGCACTTTGGGAGGCCAAGGCAGGCGGATCACCTGAGGTCGGGAGTTTGAGACCAGCCTGACCAACATGGAGAAACCCCGTCTTTGCTAAAAATACAAAATTAGACCAGTGTGGTGGTACATGCCTGTGATCCCAGCTACTCGGAAGGCTGAGGGAGGAGAATCACTTGAACCCAGGAGGTGACGTTGCGGTGAGCCGAGATCACGCCACTGCACTTCAGCCTGGGCAACAAAAGCAAAACTCCATCTCAAAAAAAAAAGAAAGAAAGAAAAAGAAAACACAATTTACGGATTAAATGATTAAAGGCGTCAGCTATTAGGTACTATGACAGAGTTTGGATTTGAACCCAGGAACTGTCTGGTTCCAAAGCCATGGCTTTTTCCAGCACACTTCATGCTCCCAAAACATGTGACCAGCTTTTTCTGTACACATGCTAATCCCGCCCGTGTACCAAAGCCTCATGATGATTTGTTCCCAAAGTTACTACATATTTTATAAAAGTTTTTTGTTCCAATCAAAGATAAGGTCAAAATGGAATGAGATTAGACTAGAAACAGCCTTTCAAAAATAAAAAAGAAGCAGTCTCCTGTTATCACTTTGAGGAAGATTTGATATTTCTCAAAATTCAGTGGTATCAGTAAGGCTGGGATTTTCAAATGGTATGCAGTTGACATATAACTCTAAAGCCAGAGTTTCAGTGTTGCATTCATTTTCCAGAAAAAGGGCTCAGCATAAAATGCAGCTAATAGTAAGGTTTTGTTGGGGTTTTTTGCATAATAAAAGTCGTAACTGAGCAACATTAGCTACAGACACTCCTCCCCATAAATCCATGGAGACTCTGTGAAAAGCATTTCAGAGGAATACAAACCCCAAGCAGTCTTTGGCAAGGGGTAATTTGCCATGATGATAGTTAAATAAGGAGAATACTGAGTAGCTGACTACAAAGAAGCATCTGAAAATAAATCTAGCTATAGTTGAAGTCCCTCAATTGAAAATGGATGTAAATTTTCTCACATGTGGCAGCCTAAATTAGTCTCTTCTGTTTATAAGGCAAGTTTGACAATGCATACCAAGAAGCTTAAATCATAAGATTTGACCTAATAATCCCACTCCTAAGTATTCATTTCAAGAAAATAATTCATAAGAGGAATATGATACATATTTTTTATAATAGCATCATATATTTATAACTGGCAAGAAACTGGAAGCAACCTTATTTTCCAATAATAAAAGAAAGGCTTAGTACATTTTGGTATCTTAATTCTTTGAGTTATTATGCAACCATTAAAAATAGGATTACAGTGTACAAACAAGGAAAAGAGCATTCAGTGAAGGGCATAGAAACAAAATATAAATGTGCAGTGATCACAGACATGCAAATTACACAAGCTGATAAAGACTAAGAGGGGAAACAAAGAAATGAAAATATTGATGTTAGCTTGGTGAGATTACAAGTGTCTTTAAACATTAAAATTATTTCCTTTTATAGTGACCATATTCAGTTTTTAGGGGTTTTTCCTGTTTTTCCAGATGTGGTTTTTATAGAATTATATTTTACATTCTTTCCATCACTGGAAGAAAAAAAAGATTTATATTTTATAATTATTTTTGGTCAGAAGATTATTTTACAAAACTACATATGGAATGTTCTAGCCAATTATGAAATATAGAGAATTACTAACTCACAAATACTAATACTATTGTTTTAATTTGCAGTGAAGGGAATTTGGCTACAAAGCAGATCGTATTCCTTCAGAGGCCAGTTATGTGGAATTCAGCTGCTCAAACACCAGATGTGAGTAAAATTGATGCTTTATTAACTGAATGTTATATTGAAGCATTTAATCCTTAAACTCTCATTGTAATTCCAAATAAGAAAGCGTGGACATGATATGGAAACAGTCCTCTGAACCAACCTATAAGGGAAATGTGCTAGCAATCAGGCAACATGAAATAGTTCCAAAGGGGATTATAATATGCCATCACAAAATATGCCACTTTGGCAAGAGGATTACTTTGAGCTGAAGGCAATTAAGAAACAGCAGACACAGGAGGAACTCTCTGTCCTCCACCTTTCTGCTGAAAAACAAGGGCACACATGTCACTTTATAAAGGCGACATAAATTTCCATTTGTAAACGTGTCTAATCACCAGAGACAATTCACACTGAAGAGTCTGCAAAAACAAACCTTACTAAAATAAGCTTGATCTTCCATTCGTTTACCCCATGTATTTGCCTTCTCACAATTTACTTCCCCAGAAGCCCAAACTCCTTTTCCCTCATCTAGTCACCTGTCCACAACTTACCACCCTTTGTTAAAATGGTATATAAACTCCCAGGTCTTCTACACCAAACTGCCTCTTTGGGTTTTTGCTACTTTTCTGTGAAAAGACTGTGTGCATTGAAAATAAACCTTTTCTCCTGTTAATATGTCTTTTGTCAGTTTAATTTGTAGTTCTCAGCTACTGAACCTAAGAGGAGAGAGGAACAGTTTTTTCTGCCCTTACAGTTCTAAATCTTGTGAATGAATGTGCCTGATCTTGCAATGCATCCATGCAACCTTGGCTATATTGACCTTTGGCAACACTTTTCTTTTATGTTATCTACTCAAGTTTATATTTTTTCAGCACTTTGCTGAAGGGCTATTCTGATCCTCAAGTCACCTTGATCTTACTGGATGCACAGCTGGAATACAATGATTGAATGAGGCAATCTGTGCATTAATAAAGCATAACTTGCAAAACAAGAAATTTGAAAATGGACCAGAAAACTATTTAAAGTGATTCTTTTTCTGTATCTAAATCAAGAAAACGTTGTTTTATGTTTTCGGGCAAAGCTGCAGAGATTTGAAAAAAGAAAACATTGTTTAGTACATTTTAAAGTTATCTAAACTATCAAAGAGCTAGATTGACTGTGTGTATAATACAGTCATGCTAAATTGTCTCACATTAATTTTGGAAAGAGGCTGGCTGGGTCAGTAGGTAAATCGGTAGAGAGGTAGAGAGGTTGTTGGGAAGACGGAGAGGCAGGAGAATAGAATGACCAAGTACACAGAATTAGAAACCACATTAAAGCCCACAAGTGAGCACTGCAACCCTCCACAACAATGAGGATGACTCAAGTTCATGAGTTTATTAAAAAATATTCTGTCTAGGCCATGCACAGGGGCTCACACCTGTAATCCCAACACTTTGGGAGGCTGAAGTGGGAGAACTGCTTGAACCCAGGAGTTTGAGACCAGCCTGGGAAACATTGGCAGACCCTGTCTCTACAAAAAATTAAAAAATAAATTAGGCAGGCATGGTGGCACATGCCTGTAGTCCCAGCTACTTGGGATGTTGAAGTGGGAGGATCACTTGAGCCCAGGAGTTCAGTGCTGCAGTGAGCTGTGATCATGCCACTGCATTCCAGCCTGGGTGACGGAGTGAGACCCTGTCTCAAAAAAAATTAATTAAATAAAAGAAATATTCTGGCCCAGCGTGGTGGCTCAGGCCTGTAATCCCAGCACTCTGGGAGGCGGAAGTGGGCGGATCATGAGGTCAAGAGATCAAGACCATCCTGGCTAACATGGAGAATCCCTGTCTCTACTAAAAATACAAAAATTAGCCAGGCGTGGTGGCACGTGCCTGTCGTACCAGCTACTTGGGAGCCTGAGGCAGGAGAATCGCTTGAACCCAGGAGGTAGAGGTTGTAGTGAGCCAAGATCGCACCACTGCACTGCAGCCTGGCAACAGGGTGAGACTCTGTCTCAAAAAAAAAAAAAAAAAAAGAAATATTCTGCCTAAAAGAAGCAAAGGTGGGTATATGCAGAGAATGGCCAGAAAAAGTTGTCCTTTCTTCTTCCCCCAAAGCAAACTTCTCATCATGTCACACCCTTCTTATTCTTTTTTTTTTTTTTTTGAGATGGAGTCTCACTCTGTTGCCAGGCTGGAGTGCAGTGGCGCAATCTCTGCTCACTACACCCTCCTACTCCCTGGTTAAGTGATTCTCCTGCCTCAGCCTCCCGAGTAGCTGGGACTACAGGCACACACCACCAGGCCCAGCTAATTGTTGTATTTTTGGTAGAGATGGGGTTTCACCTTGTTGGCCAGGATGGTCTTGATCTCCTGACCTCGAGATCCCCCCACCTCGGCCTCCCACAGTGCTGGGATTGCAGGTGTCAGCCACCACACCTGGCCTCTTTCTTTCTTTTTAACATTCTACAAATGGCCATTATTTTTAGGAAAAAATCATCAGAATTCACAGCCTCATGGGGTTTTGATTTACTGAGGGCCATGGAGTTGTGCTTGTGAAGATGTAAGACCCAAATCCAGCTACCTCACAGTCTCTTTTACTTAATATTAGATATAAGGTTTTTAATTCCCCAAAAATATGCAGGCCCTTTTTGTTTATCATGTTTTACTTTTTTATGAGACAGGGTCTTCTTGTGTTGCCCAGTCTGGTCTCAAACTCCTGAGTTCAAACAATCCTCCCACCTTAGCCTCCCAAGTAGTTAGGGTTACAGGTGCTCACCACTGTACCAAGCTCTTTTTTGTTTAGCTTTAGATACTATCCAGTAGTCTCTAGTCATAGCTTTTCTTTGGGTAATCTTTATATTTCACTGAAATGTAAAATTACTGGTTCATTTATATAATGGGAAGTATATATAGTTGGTTTGTATCAATGACAAATCTAATAATAATATATTTTATAACTTACAATTCCTCTTCTAAACGGATTTACCATTTCTTCATTTGACAAATGTTTAATTTTTCTAACAAGAAACCGCAGGATCTTGAGATTATTTCAGGGTAGAACTTGTAGGTAGGAGTCAAAGTGTCTAACAGCTATAACAGAAAGCTGATTTGCAAATTCAGTTTTTACTTAAGGAAACAATTTCTTACTCTATCTCAGAATGGTAGTAATACTTTCAGGACAGTAAACTATTAATATCAATATAGAGTTAATTTATTACCAAAATGTTAATTTAGCTATCTCATATATATTTTGTGAAAGTTGTATTTACAATATGCCTTGAAAAAATTTATGCAGTCACAGATCCATAATAGCACTGTTCTTTGTTAATACCCTGAAATCAGTTATTGTTTGGAAGGGGTTGATGGGAAGACTGCTTTGTTTATAAAGTCTTTCAAAGAATTTTTTCAAAGATGTTTAGTTTTAAAAACAGTTGGTAGATATTTCAGACATTACAAATGTTGTCCTAGGATTGTCAATGAGTTTTCATTAAACAATAGATTTCATGGGCTGATAGAAATTAACCTAGAGTCTGACCTTTGAAAAAAATTTCTTCAGCCAGGCACAGTGGCTCACGCCTGTAATCCCAGCACTTTGGAAGGCCAAGGCGGGCGGATCATCTGAGGTCGGGAGTTCAAGACCCGCCTGACCAACATGGAAAAACCCCTTCTCTACTAAAAATACACAATTAGCTGGGCGTGGTGGCACATGCCTGTAATCCCAGCTACTCAGGAAGCTGAGGCAGGAGAATTGCTTGAACCTGGGAAGCAGAGGTTGTGCTCAGCTGAGATCATGCCATTGCACTCCAGCCTGGGCAACAAGAGCAAAACTCCATCTCAAAAAAAAAATTTTTCTCTTGTTTCTTTTACTAAGACTAATATCAAGACTTTTCCTACCCAATTTCACTGAGCACAGAACAGTACTGTTATTGAGAGGTGACAGAGTGCTGGCAACCCTCGCAGCCCTCACTCACTCTCCGCGCCTCCTCAGCCTGGGCGCCCACTCTGGCCACACTTGAGGAGCCCTTCAGCCCGCCGCTGCACCATGGGAGCCCTTCTCTGGTCTGGCCGAGGCCAGAGCCGGCTCCCTCGGCTTGCAGGGAGGGGTGGAGGGAGAGGCGTGGAGGGAGAGGCACGGGGCAGGAACCAGTTCTGCGCACAGTGCTTGCAAGCCAGGGCGAGTTCCAGATGGGCGTGGGCTCGGTGGGCCCACACTCAGAGCGGCCGGCTGGCCCCAGGCATTGTTAGCACCCAGGCCAGCAGCTATGGAGGGTGCGCCGGGTCCCACAGCAGTGCCAGCCCTCCCACACTGCCCTCGATTTTTCACCGGGTCTTAGCTGCCTCCCCGCCGGGCAGGGCTCAGGACCTGCAGCCCGCCATGCCTGAGCCCCCCCGCTCCACCACCGTGGGCTCCTGCACCACCGGAGCCTCCCCAATGAGTGCTGCCCCCTGCTCCAGTGTGCACGGTCCCACGGACCGCCCAAGGGCTGAGGAGTATGGGCACACTGCGCGGGACTGGCAGACAGCTCCACCTGCCGCCCCAGTGCAGTATCCACTGGGTGAAGCCAGCTGAGCTCCTGAGTCTGGTGGGGACTTGCAGAACCTTTATGTCTAGCTAAGGGATTGTAAATACACCAATCCGCACTCTGTATCTAGTTCAAGGTTTGTAAGCACACCAATCAGCACCCTGTGTCTAGCTCAGGGTTTGTGGATACACCAATTGGCACTCTGTATCTAGCTAATCTGGTGGGGACTTGGAGAATCTTTGTGTCTAGCTAAGGGATTGTGAATACACCAATCGGCACTCTATATCTAGCTCAAGGTTTGTGAATGCACCAATCAGCACTCTGTGTCTAGCTCAGGGTTTGTAAATGCACCAAAGAGCACTCTGTATTTAGCTAATCTAGTGGGGAAGGTGGAGAACTTTTGTGTCTAGCTCAGGGATTGTAAACTCACCAATCAGCACTCTGTCAAAACGGACCAATCAGCTCTCTGTAAAACAGACCAATTGGTTCTCTGTAAAATGGACCAATCAGCAGGATGTGGGTGGGGCCAGATAAGAGAATAAAAGCAGGCTGCCTCAGCCAGCAGTGGCAACCTGCTGGGCTCGTCTTCCCCACTTGGGGAGTTTTGTTTTTTTACTTTTTGCAATAAATTGTGCTGCTGCTCCCTCTTTGGGTCCACACTGTCTTTATGAGCTGTAGCACTTACTGCGAAGGTCTGCAGCTTCACGCCTGAAGCCAGCCAGACCACGAACCCACCGGGAGGAACGAACAACTCCAGACGCGCCACGTTAAGAGCTGTAACACTCACCGTGGAGGTCTGCGGGTTCATTCCTGAACCAGCGAGACCACGAACCCACCAGAAGGAAGAAACTCCGAACACATCCAAACACCAGAAGGAGCAAACTCCGGACACGCCGCCTTTAAGAACCATAACACTCACCGTGAGAGTCCGTGGCTTCACTCTTGAGGTCAGTGAGATCAAGGACCCACCAATTCTGGACACATTATGTTCAACAAATCCATTTCATGCCCTTGTTGTGGGGGAGGAAATTGAGGATTGCACAATGAAGAAAGCGTATCATTGGATTTTTTTCTTCGGAAGTTATGGAGACCTTTACTTTTGGAATTTGTTTTATATTTCACAGATCTTCTGCAGTATTCTAGATACTTGTGACTGTTTTTAAACATGAAAAATGTCATTTCAAAATATTTAGACCCTCATTTACTACCTCAGTTTTCTCTAAGCTATTAAGAGAATTCATTTTAGTTAAACTAGAAAACTATTAGGAAAAAACATAGGAGAAAATCTTTGTCAAGTGGAGTTAGGCAAAGAGTTTTTAGGGGCCAGGTGCGGTGGCTCACACCTGTAATCTCAGCATTCTGGGAGCCTGAGGCAGGAGGATCACTTGAATCCAGGAGTGTGAGACCAGCTGGTCAGCTCAGCAAAACCCTGTCTGCAAAAAATACAAAAATTAGCTGGGCATGGTGGCGCACACGGGTAATCCCAGCTACTTGGGGGAGTGGGGGTGGGGGGATCGCTGGAGCCTGGGAGATGGAGGCTATTGTGAGCCATGATCGCGCCACTGTACTCCAGCCTGAGCAACAGAGTGAGACCTTGTCTCAAAAAAAAAGTTTTTAGACATAAGACCAAAAGCATAATCTATTTAAAAATTGAAAAAATATAATTCATCAAAATATAAAACTTTTGTTCTGTGAATGACACTGTTAACAGAAGGAAAAGACAAGCCACAAACTGGGAGAGAAAAACTCATATATCATATACATGACAAACGATTTTACCCAAGGGGTATCAAGGACTCTCACAATTGAAGAGTAAGAAAAGAACCCAGTTAAAAAATAATTAAAAGACTGGAACACCTCACCAATGAGGATATGTAAATGAGAAGTAAATACATGAAAAGATGCTTAAATCACTAGCCATTAGGGAAGTGCAAATGAAAACTCATAATGAGATATCATACACCTGTTAAAATGGTTAAAATAAAAAATACTGACAATACCAAGAACTGGGGAGAATGAGGAGCAATCAGAACCCTCATACACAGCTGCTGGGGATGCAAAGTGGTATATCCACTGTATTAGTCCGTTTTCACGCAGCTGATAAAGACATACCTGAGACTGGGTAATTTACAAAAGAAAGAGATTTAACTGGACTCAGAGTTCCTCATGGCTGAGGAGGCCTCACAATCATGGCAGAAGGCAAGGAGGAGCAAGTCACATCTTACGTGGATGGTGGATGGCGGCAGGCAAAGGGCTTGTGCAGGGGAACTCCTTTTTTTTTTTTTTTTTTTTTTTTTTTTTTTTTTGAGACAGAGTCACTCTGTCACCCAGGCTGGGGTGCAATGGCATGGTCTCAGCTCACTGCAACCTCCGCCTCTCCAGTTCAAGCAATTCTGCCTGCCTCAGCCTCCTGAGTAGCTGGGATTACAGGCGCGTAGCACCACACCTGGCTAATTTTTGTATTTTTAGTAGAGATGGGGTTTCACTATGTTGGCCAGGCTGGTTCAAACTCCTGACCTCGTGGTCCACCTGCCTTGGCCTCCCAAAATGCTGGGATTACAGGCGTGAGCCACTGTGCCTGGCCCCATTTTTAAAACCATCAGATCTCATGAGATTTATTCACTATGATGAGAGCAGCACGGAAGAGACCCATCTCTGTGATTCAATTATCTCCCATCAGGTCCCTCCCACAACACGTGGAAGTTATGGGAGCTACAAGATGAGATTTGGTTGAGGACACAGAACCAAACCATATCATCCACCCTGGAAAACAGTTTGGCAGCTTCTCAGGAAGTTAAACAGACATTTACCATATGACCCAGCAGTCCCTGTCTTGGGTGTTTAACCTAGAGAAATAAAAACTTACGTTCACACAGAAACCTACACACAAGTATTTGTAGCAGCTCTGTTCGTAATCACCTCAAACTGGAAACAACCCAAATGTCTTCAACAAGTGAATGAATAAACAACAGTGGTACATCCATACAATTAAATACTCAGAAATAAAAAGGACTGGGCATGGTGTCTCACCTCTGTAATCCCAGCACTCTGGGAGGCCAAGGAAGGCGGCTGGCCATGAGGCCAGGAGTTTGAGACCAACTGGGGCAACTTGGGACCCCATCTCATAAAAAAGTAAAATAAGATAAAGTCTGTCTCTACAAATAAAAAATAAAAATGAATAGGAAAGAACTTACTGATACACATAACTTGGATTAATCTCAAGACAGAGTGAAACTCCATCTCAAAAAAAAGTTTTATGTACTGTTTCTATACATCGTCTGTGTGCATGCAAACATATATATGTAGAGAGAGAAAAAAATAGGAAAATATGCCGAGGTTTTAACAGTTGTATTTCTGGGAGATGGAATTATAGGTGGGTTTTGCTTTTTTCTTTGTTTTTGTCACATTTTCTATATTAAATGTGTGTTATTTTTATGATTGAATGAAATTTTTATTTAGGAAACACACAAATCTTTTACAGCAAATCTACTCATATTTTTGCAGATGTGGGTAAGACAGTGTGAAAAGAATAAGGTAAGAGACTTGGGCTACAGTTCCGGGCCAGCTATTCATGACCTTGGACAAATCCTGTTTTCTTTCTGGGTCTGGGCCCCACCTCTGTAGAATAAGGGGACTGAAGTAGATAATCTCCAAGAACTAGTTGGGCTTCAGACTTCTACAGTCTAAGTTATGAGAACATCACAGTTTGGTTTGTTGGAAATGTTATTATTTAATGTGAAATGAGGGTGGGGTAGGAGAGGTGATATGATTGCTGAAGATGTATTTATTAAACTTAACATGTCACACGTGTCTGTGTGAAGAGACTACCAAACAGGCTTTGTGTGAGCAATAAAGCTTTTTAATCACCTGGGTGCAGGCGGGCTGAGTCCAAAAAGAGAGTCAGCGAAGGGAGAAAGGGGTAGGGCCGTTTTATAGGATTTGGGTAGGTAGTGGAAAATTACAGTCAAAGGGGGTTGTTCTCTGGCGGGCAGGGGTGGGGGGTCACAAGGTGCTCAGTGGGGGAACTTCTGAGCCAGGAGAAGGAATTTCACAAGGTAATGTCTTCAGTTAAGGCAGGAAATGGCCATTTTCACTTCTTTTGTGATTCTTCAATTACTTCAGGCCATCTGGATGTATACCTGCAGGCTTGGGCTCAGAGGCCTGACATTCCTTTCTTCTTATATTAATAAGAAAAATAAAACAAAATAGTGGTAAAGTGTTGGGACGGCGAAAATTTTTGGGGGTGGTATGGAGAGATAATGGGCGATGTTTCTCAGGGCTGCTTCAAGCAGGATTAGGGGCAGCGTGGGAACCTAGAGTAGCAGAGGTCAAGTTGAAGGAGGATTTTGTGGTAAGGGGCAATATTGTGGGGTTGTTAGAAGGAGTATTTGTCATATAGAATGACTGGTGATGGCCTGGATGCAGTTTTGTATGAATTGAGAAACTAAACGGAAGATACAAGGTCTGAATAAGAGGAGAAGAACAGGTATTAAAGAATTAAGAATTGGGAGGACCCAGGACATCCAATTAGAGGGTGCCCAAGGGGGTTCAGCATAATTACTTGCTTGGTTGGAGAGTTTTGGTGCTCTATCCTTGAGTTTTTTTATGTTGTCTTACACCAGGCCAGATTGATTTAGGTAAAAACAACACTCTTCTTTAAAAAATATACAGAGTCCTCATGTTTCAGCAGTGAGTAAGTCAAGGCCTCGGCGGTTTTGGAGGACAACCTCAGCTAGAGAGTCACTTGGGCCTGAAGGACTGATAAAATTTGTGATACGTCTGTGATGCTAGCAGAGAAGTCATTAGAGAGGCTACGAAAGGTCATGACAGAGGTTGAAATGCCTGCTATTCCAGTACCAAGAACATTAGTGGACGCAGAAAGTCCTAAACTGACAAGCAAGGGAATTAGTGGAATAACTCTTTTTTGTCGTGTCAGTGTCATGTGGGGAACAGGAAGCTCTTCCGTCCCATTTGCAAATTGAATTTTGGGAGTAAGGAAAATTAATGTGCATGTGCCTGTCCAATTAGCAGGTAGACACATGTAGGTAGAGGATACACAGAGGAAGAAGAGACCTTGTATAAAGCAAAACTGGAAATGCAAAGTAAAAAGATGAGAAGGAGTGCTGAAAGAAGTGTCTTCTACCCAGACTCCTAGGGATCCAGCTAGGGCGGCAGCTGTCAGAGGTTTTAATGGGGACTGATAGGGTAACTGCTTAGAGGGGGAGGTTCGATTTTCATGGTGTGTGAGAAAACGATGAGTATCTACAAACAACTTTTCACTGTTATTTATGGGGCTGGGTATAAGTAAACAAGAAGAGGGCCTGGGAGGAGAGTCTGACGAGCAAGGGGAAGGTAGCCAAGGTTGGAGTGAAATACAGGGTAAGTGCCTTCGTAAGCAATAATTACTGCTAATGTTTTTAAGTTTGCCCGTATTGATAGAGGGCTTATCTGTAATACGGAGCTGGGAGGCTCCAATTGTTTCAGTGGTGTGTGTAGTTGGGCTTTGGAGATGAAGAGTGAAGGAACATCACGAAGGTGAAAGGGAATTCCAGTGGGTCTTTGCTGAGAGATACAAAAAGGAGCAGCCACAGCAATAGTAGTTTGTGTTGTGAGGGGTCCGAATATGTGGGGAGTAGAGTTGATATAAGGAGAAAGGTTTTTTTAAGTAAGTGCGGAGGAGGGCGGCAGCTTGCTGATGTCACATGTCTGGGGAGGTCTTGCTGGACCTGTCTAGAAAGTAAAGAAGTTCTTCAGGAGGGTAAAGGTGAGGGCTGTTAAAGGAAGTTCGGAGGTGTAGGGAGACAGGAGATGTTGCCCAGTCTGTATGTAAGGCGGGGACAGCTGTGTAAGCACAGGAAGAAAGGGAAATGCAAAGCCAGCAATTGTTCGCTAAGGAGGGATTAGAAATGGCTAGCAGAGAGTGAGATTGATAGTGTGGTGGAGATAGCTGGGGAGAGGTAGAGGGTGGCATAAGAATGGGAATGAGAATAAGAGTGAGTATAAAAGTAAAGAACAGAACTTCATCAGGGTGAAAGTATTGGAGTGTGCCCTGTCAGCAAAGATCATCTATTCACCTTAAGAGAGACTTAAAAGTGGCAGTTTGAGGTAAAACCAGGAGATATCAGTTATGATGGTTTGAAGGAAAAGGGTAAACCACCAGTGTAAACAAGGGCAGGGCATTTACAAGTAGTTGAGAATGGTGAATAGGAGTATGACTAGTCAGAAGACAGTAGGGATGACAAGTTTTTGGGGTGCAGTCCAAATAGTGAGGGTGATTGCATAAAGCCCTGTTGCAAAAAGTAGGGTAAGGATGAATAGTCTTAATAGAATGAAGGGATGTATTAGGCTCATGAGGGTTATTACTGTTCTTCAGAAATGCAAGTGAGTTTAAGCGAAGTAGGAGAGAGTACTTGCGACTTCCAGGAGGAAGAGGAGGGATTAGGCTGGCTGTCCAACGGACACAGCCTTATTCTGGAATGGTGAACCCAGTAGGGAGGATCCTGCAGGTGGACGGCAGTTGGGGTACTATAGATGACTAAGTAGGGTCCAGTCCATCAAGGTTGTAGAGTTTGAGGGGTCAGATTCTTAACAAGAACTGATCGTCCAGCTAGGGTGTCTTCATATAGCTGGTAATCTGGAGTAGGCAAGAGAAGATAAGCAGCCTGGCGAATTTCCTGTCTAGCCTGCTGGAGGACTGGAAGATAGTCACCTAGAGGACTGGTGTCTGGGATGAGGTTGGGGCTGAGCAAGAAAGTGCGTCCATGTAAAAGTTCAATGGACTGTACTCTGTAGCATCTCGAGGACACGTTCTGATTCTGAGAAGGGCAAGAGGTAGAAGTACTGTCCAGTCCTCATGTCTAAAACACCAAAAGCAATGGCAACAAAAGCCAAAATTGACAAATGGGATCTAATTAAACTAAAGAGCTTCTGCACAGCAAAAGAAACTACCATCAGAGTGAACAGGCAACCTACAGAGTGGGAGAAAATTTTTGCAATCTACTCATCTGACAAAGGGCTAATATCTAGAATCTACAATGAACTCAAACAAATTTACAAGAAAAAAACAACCCTATCAAAAAGTGGGCAAAGCATATGAACAGACACTTCTCAAAAGAAGACATTTATGCAGCCAAAAGACACATGAAAAAATGGCCATCAGAGAAATGCAGATCAAAACCACAATGAGATACCATCTCACACCAGTTAGAATGGCGATCATTAAAAAGTCAGGAAACAACAGGTGCTGGAGAGGATGTGGAGAAATAGGAACACTTTTAAACTGTTGGTGGGACTGTAAACTGGTTCAACCATTGTGGAAGACAGTGTGGCGATTCCTCAGGGATCCAGAACTAGAAATACCATTTGACCCAGCCATCCCATTACTGGGTATATACCCAAAGGATTATAAATCATGCTGCCATGAAGACACATGCACATGTATGTTTATCGCGGCACTATTCACAATAGCAAAGATGTGGAACCAACCCGAATGTCCATCAATGATAGACTGGATTAAGAAAATGTGGCACATATACACCATGGAATACTATGCGCCATAAAAAAGGATGATTTCATGTCCTTTGTAGGGACATGGATGAAGCTGGAAATCATCATTCTCAGTAAACTATCGCAGGGACAAAAAACCAAACACCACATGTTCTCACTCATAGTTTGGAATTGAACAATGAGAACACTTGGACTCAAGAAGGGGAACATCACACACCGGGGCCTGTCGTGGGGTGGGGGAGTGGGGAGGGATAGCATTAGGAGATATACCTAATGTAAACAATGAGTTAATGGGTGCAGCACACCAACATGGCACATGTATACATATGTAACAAACCTGCATGTTGTGCACATGTACCCTTGAACTTAAAGTATAATTAAAAAAAAAAAAAAAAGAAGTACTGTCCAGTCCTTTTTAAGTTGGAGGCTGAGCTTGGTGAAGTGTGTCTTTAAAAGACCATTAGTCCGTTCTACCTTTCCTGAAGACTGAGGATGGTAAAGGGTATGAAGGTTCCACTGAATACCAAGAGCCTGAGAAACTGCTGGGGTGATTTGACTAGAATGGCCGGTCCATTATCGGAATGTATAAAGGTGGAAAGGCCAAACTGAGGAATTACATCTGACAGAAGGGAAGAAATGACTGCAGTGGCCTTCTCAGACCCTGTGGGAAAGACCTCTACCCATCCAGTTCAAGTGTCTACCCAGACCAAGAGGTATTTTAGTTTCCTGACTCGGGGTATGTGAGTAAAGTCAATTTTCCAGTCCTGGACATGGGCTAATCCCCGAGCTTGATGTGTAGGGAAGTGAGGGAGCCTGAACAATCCCTGAGGGGTAGTAGAATAGCAGATAGAACACTGAGAAGTGATTTCCTTAAGGATAGATTTCCATGATGGAAAGGAAATGAGAGGTTCTAAGAGGCGGGCTAATGGCTTGTAACCTACATGGAAAAGGTTATGAAATGATGACAGAATAGAATGGACCTGTGAGGCTGGAAGGAGATATTTTCCTTGGTCTAAGAACCATTTGCCTTGTGTGGGAAGAGATTGATAGCTGAAAGATTCAGTGGGGGAGTAGGTGGGAGTGACCGATGAGAAGGAGAAAAACTGGCCGTGAGGGACAGAAATTGGAACACTAGCTGCTTCTTTAACTACCTTATCAGCATAAGCATAGCCCTGAGCGATGGGATTTGACACCTTTTGATGGCTCTTGCAGTGAATGACTCCAGCTTCCTTTGGAAGTAAATAGGCCTTGAGAAGAGGCCTATTTTATTAAAGAGGCATTAATGATGGAGGACCATTGTGTAGTGAAGAAACCTCTTTCTGCCCATATAACAGCATGGTGGTGTGGATATGCAAGGCATATTTAGAGTCAGTGTAAATATTGATGCATTGTCCCTTTGCAAGAGTGAGGGCTTGAGTGAAGGCAATGAGTTCAGCTTGCTGAGAGGTAGTGGAGGGGGGCAGAGTGGTAGCCTCAATGATAGATGTGGAAGATACTATAGCATAGCCTGCCTTTGCTGGTGAGTGGCAATTAGGCCTGGTAGAACTGCCATCGATAAACCAAGTGTGATCAGGGTGAGGAATAGGAAAGAAGGAAATATGGGGAAATGGAGTCAATGTCAGGTAGATCAGAGAGATACAGTTATGGGGGTCAGCTGTGGTATCCAGAATAATGTGGGAGGCCAGATTGAAGTCTGGGCCAGGAACAATGGTAATTGTGGGAGACTCAACAAAGAGTGAGTATAGCTGAAGGAGCTGCGGAGCAGAAAGTATATGTGTCAGATGTGAGGAAGAAAATAGATTTTGGAAGTTATGAGAACTGTAGAGAGTGAGTTGAGCATAGTTTGTGATTTTGAGGGCCTCTAAAAGTATTAGGGCAACAGCAACCACCACACAGAAACATGATGGCCAGCCTAAAACAGTAAGGTCAAGTTGTTTGGACAAAATGGCTACAGGACACCGTCCCGGTCCTTGTGTAAGAATTCCAACTGCACAGCCCTGCACTTTGGCTATGTGTAATGAAAAGGGTTGGGATGAGTCAGGGAGAGCTAGTGTGGGAGCAGTCTCTAAAGCTGTCTTCAAGGAATGGAAAGAGGAGTGGGGAAAGGATTTAGGATCTATGGGGTCAGCTAGGTTTCCTTTTGTGAGTTTATATAATGGTTTTGTTAGGATGGCAAAACCAGGTATCCAAAGGCGAAAGTATCCAACCATGCCCAGGAAGGAAAGGAGTTGTTGTTTTGTAGAAGGGGTTGGGGTTTGAGAGATCAGTTGGACATGATCGGCAGGGAGAGCACATGTGTTTTTATGAAGAATTATGCCGAGGTAGGTAACAGATGGAGAAGAAATTTGAGCTTTGGAAGGGGGTACCAGATATCCCTTGGAGAATAAATGTTGAAGAAGCAGGAGGGTGTCTTGTTGAGAAGATTTAAAGGAGGGGCTACAAAGTAGAAGGTCATCGATATATTGAATAAGGTGAGAAGTGGAGGGGTGGAAAGAAAGTAAATCATGAGAAAGAGCTTGGCTGAAGTAATGAGGGCTGTCCCTGAAGGCTTGCGGCAGTAGAGCCCAGGTAAGCTGCTGGGACTGATGGGTGTCAGGGTCAGTCCAGATAAAAGCAAACAGAGGCTGGGACAATGGGTGCAGGGGAATAGTGAAAAAAGCATCTTTAAGATCAAGAACAGAATAGTGAGTTGTGGAGGAAGGTATTGAGGACAAAAGAGTGTACAGGTTGGGCACCACAAGATGGATAGGCAAAACAATAAGGCACAGATCCTGAACTAACATATAAGACTTGTCCGGTTTTGGGACAGGTAAAATGGGGGAATTGTAAGGAGAGTTTATAGGTTTTAGAAGCCCATGCTGTAGCAGGTGAGCAATAACAGGCTTTAATCCCCTTAAAGCCTGTTGTGGGATGGGATAGTGGCATTGAGCAGGGTAAGGGTGATTAGGTTTTAATGGGATAGTAACAAGTGTGTGATTGGTTGCCAGGGAGGGAGTAGAGATGTCCCATACTTGTGGGTTAAGTTGGGGGGATGCGAGAGGAAGACACGAAGGAGGTTTTGGGTTGGGACGAAGGGCAGCAATGAGATGTGGCTGTGGTCCAGGAATAGTCAGGGAAGCAGATAATTTGGTTAAAATGTGTCAGCCTAATAAGGGAACTGGGCAGGTGGGGATAACTAAAAAAGAGTGCTTAAAAGAACGTTGTCCAAGTTGGCACCAGAATTGGGGAGTTTTAAGAGGTTTAGAAGTCTGGCCGTCAATACCCACAACAGTTATGGAGGCAAGGGAAACAGGCCCTTGAAAATAAGGCAATGTAGAGTGGGTAGCCTCCATATTGATTAAGAAGAGGATGGATTTAATTTCCACTGTAAGAGTTACCTAAAGCGTCTGTGATGGTCCAGGAGGCTTCCAAGGTGATCAGGCAGCATCAGCCTTCAGCCTTTAAGCTGAGAAGATCTGGGAAGAAGTCAGTCAGAGAGCCTTGGGCCAGAGTTCCAGGGGCTCTGGGAGTGGCTGCCAGGTGACTTGGACAGTCCGATTTCCAGTGGGGTCCTGCACAGATGGGATATGGCTTAGGAGGAATCCCAGGCTGCGGGCATTCCTTGGCCCAGTGGCCAGATTAGCCAGCACTTGAAGCAAGATCCTGGGGGAAGAGGTCCTGAAGGAATGCCTGACCACTGTGGCTTAGGAGTTTTGAAATTCCTGTGTGCTGGAGATGTGGCTGGGGTTTCTCTCACAGCAGAGGCAAGTAATTGCAACTCTTCTCTGTTATTGTACACCTTGAAGGCGAGGTTAATAAAGTTCTGTTGTGGGGTTTGAGGACCAGAATTTAATTTGGGGGGCTTTTTTTTAATGTCGGGAGCGGATCGGGTAATAAAATGCATATTGAGAATAATATGGCTTTTTGCCCCCTCTGGGTCTAGGGCGGTAAAGCATCTAAGGGTTGTTGCCAAGTGGGCCATGAACTGGGCTGGGTTTTTTAATTTGATGAAAAAGAGCCTAAACGCTAATTGATTTGGGAGAGGTCGGATAAAGAAAAAGGAGCATTAACCTTGACTACGCCTTTAGCTCCAGCCACCTCTTTAAGAGGAAATTGTTGGGCAGGTAGGGGAGAGCTAGTCGTGGAACAAAACTGTAAGCCAGACCAGGTGTGAGGAGGGGCAGTGATAGAAGGATTATAGGGTTGGGGAGTGGAGGCTGAGGAAGAATTGGAGCCTGATTCAGCCTGGCAGGGAGCAACCTGAGGAGGAGCAGTCTGGGGAGGAAGGGAGAGGTCAGATGGGTCGGTAGAAGAGAAAGATTGAAAAGACTCAGTGATGCTTGGGGTTGGGACTGAGGGGACAGGTAGGAGGGAAAGAAGGAGGATTTGGGACAAGTCACATTGGGAACAGAGGCTAGGGAGGGACCGATGTGTAAAAGAATGCCTGGACGTCAGGCATCTCAGACCGTTTGCCCATTTCACGACAAGAATTATCTAGATCTTGTAGGACCGAAAAATTGAAAGTGCCATTTTCTGGCTATTTGGAACAATTGTTGAGTTTGCATTGAAGTCAAGTGGCATTGGAGAAGAAAATAAGGTGTTTAGGTTTTAGGTCAGGTGTGAGTTGAAGAGGTTTTAAGTTCTTGAGAACACAGGCTAAGGGAGAAGAAAGAGGAATGGAGGATGGAAGGTTGCCCATAGTGAAGGAGGCAAGCCCAGAGAAAAGAGAGGGTAGAGACATGGAGAGAAGGGGTCGGGGGCAATTGCCCCCCAGGCAAGGTGGTGCTTACCACCCAGGGAAAGTGGTACTTGCCACTAGGTGAAGGATCAAGGCAGGCATCCCTGTCATGATCAGACACCTCTGAAACGTGGGTGAATAATCAGACAGGTGTCTCTGCAGTGATTAAACACCAAGGGAAGACTGTCTTCCCGAGTCTGTGACCGGCGCCAGAGTTTTGTTTTCATGGATAAAATGTGTCTCCTCTATCTCTGCCAGAAAAGGAAAGGGCCTGACATTAAGAGAAGGGAGAGATTGAAGGGTGGCACCAAGATTGAAAGGAGAAAGAGGTTGAGGGATAGTGAGAGAGGTTGGAGAAGAGAGTAAAAGAGGCCGCTTACTTGATTTAAAATTGGTGAGATGTTCCTTGGGCTGGTTGGTCTGAGGACCCAAGGTTGTAGATGGATCTTTCTCATGGAGCAAAGAGCAGGAGGACAGGGGATTGATCTGCCAAGGGTGGTCCCCCAATCCGAATCACGGCACCAAATGTCATGCGCATCCGTGTGAAGAGACCACCAAACAGGCTTTGTGTGAGCAATAAAGCTTTTTAATCACCTGGGTGCAGGCGGGCTGAGTCCAAAAAGAGAGTCAGTGAAGGGAGATATGGGTGGTGCAGTTTTATAGGATTTGGGTAGGTAGTGGAAAATTACAGTCAAAGGGGGTTGTTCTCTGGCGGGCAGGGCTGGGGGTCACAAGGTGCTCAGTAGGGGAATTTCTGAGCCAGGAGAAGGAATTTCACAAGGTAATGTCATCAGTTAAGGCAGGAAATGGCCATTTTCACTTCTTTTGTGATTCTTCAGTTACTTTGGGCCATCTGGATGTATACATGCAGGCTTGGGCTCAGAGGCCTGACATAACAGTCACGTGGTAAAAAAAGAAAAAAAGTGTGTGTTGGTACAGAAGTCTTTTTAGAGGTGCAGTGCTAAGTATTTTTGCCATCTTTTAACATTTGAAATTTACATTTGGTGGCTGTTTACCTATTAATGCTTATTTTAAATTGAATTACTATGAATGTCTTATTATTCTGAAGAGCATCCCATTTTTATTAAGAAAATTCTTGTTAAGTGTGTGAGACTTGGCCTCTATTAGCTGATATATAAAGAGGAATTAATTGCAAAATTTACCTTTGGCCCTAGCGCTGGTGAGCAAGGCAAGACCCAGGAAGCCCCCAGGAACCCCCACCTTCCTATTTTGATTCTGTCAGTGTTGAGAGCATTGAGAGCATCATTCAAGAATGAATGCATTCTGGCTGGGCGCGGTGGCTCACGCCTGTAATCCCAGCACTTTGGGAGGCTGAGGCAGGCAGATCACTTAAGTCCAGGAGTTCAACACCAGCCTGGCCAACATGGCAAAATCCCATCTCTATAAAAAATAGAAAAATTACCCAGGCATGGTGGTGCTCCTGTAATCCCAGCTACTCTGGAGGCTGAGGCAGGAGAATTGCTTGAGCCCAGGAGGTAGTCAAGCAATTGTAAATAGTAATGACTCTGAAAAGTCGGGAGGTGGTCAGTGCAGTGAGTGGAGATTGTGCTACTGCACTCCAGCCTGGGTGACAGAGAGAAACTCTGTCTCAAAAAAAAGAGTAAATGCATTCATTGTGCATGTGGGAAAGATAGCCACTGGCCAGGCTTGAGAAAGGAGCGCAGTCTGGCAGTGTTCATCAGCCGTATCTGAAGCCAAAAGACTGTATCCTTGCTGACCAATGCCCCAGTGCAGGGAAGAAGGTGCCATTCTCAAATTTTGTACCTTTTCTGAGAGTAAATCTGTCAGGTTCCACCGCATATATTAATTTCAATAAATTTGGTGAATAGGAATAAACAGGAAAAGAACTGAAGAGCTGATATTTGCATTTGATGAATGCAAGGGTGCCAATGGAAAACGTGACAACCACCAAACTGTGTCTAACTTGGGGCCACGAAGGTGGGCCATTGTTGAGAAAGGACCTACTGTAGACTTTGTGAACCCCGAATATATGAGATAGGTCTCAGTTAATTTAGAAAGTTTATTTTGCCAAGGTTAAGGACACATTCCCATGACACAGCCTCAGGAAGTCCTGATGACATGTGCCCAAGGTTGTCAGAGCACAGTTTGGTTTTACACATTTTAGGGAGACATGAGACATCAATCAACATATGTAAGATGAACTTTGGTTCCATCCAGAAAGATGGGACTAAAAGCGGGACAACTCCAAATGAGCAGGGGTAGATAAGAGAAAAGTGGCTGCATTATTTTGAGTTTCCATTAGCTTCTCCAAAAGAGGCAATCAGATATCCATTTATCTCAGTGAGCAGAGGGGTAAATTTGAATAGAATGGGAGGCAGGTTTGCCCTAAGCCATTCTCAGCTTGACTTTTCCTTTTAGCTTGGTGATTTTGGGGCCCCAAGGGTTATTTTCCTTTCACAACTTTTTCCCTTAAACTTGCTCAACTCCGGTAACTTGGCCAAGAAAAAGATGAGCTGCCTCTGAGCTGCCAATAAACTCCTTTCTATGCAACCCGCTGGGGCTGCATCTTCCTGTACAAACAGTGTCATAAATGGTATTACATTCCACAGTAGCTCACAAAATCCCCTTTAATAAAGCTGTTTGTTTGCTTTGTATATTTGCTGTAAAAACCAGTAGAAAATACCCGGGTATTTTATGCACTGCATTTCAACAGATGAATCATTAACAAACTTCTGTAAGATCAGCCTGGGTATCTGATTTCTACAATTTATCTAAGAATTTTATAATTTTACCTCTTACATTTAGGAAAAATGCAACCCTACTTCCCAAATAACATATAAATGAATTTTCAGTAAATGAGCTCTTTGTAAACTGGGAAATTACTGTGATTTTTAAATGTATCTTTAAATCTATATTCAATTTTATGTGCCTAGGAGGATATGATCATATTCTCTAATATCTGCCATGTTATCAGTATTAAATAAGCTCTTAAAGGCCAGACACCACACCACTGACTCACAGTGGTACTGCCTCACACCAGTAATCCCAGCACTTTGGGAGGCAGAGGTGGGCAAAATGCTGAGGTCAGGAGTTCAAGACCAGCTGGCCAACATGTTGAAACCCCATCTCTACTAATAACACAAAAATTAGCTGGCAAGGTGGCGCATGCCTGGAGTCCCAGCTACTCAGGAGGCTGAGTCAGGAGAATTGCTGGAACCTGGGAGGCAGAAGCTACAGTGTGCTGGGATTGCACCACCGCACTCCAGCCTAGACAACAGAACAAGACTCTGTCTCAACAACAACAAAAAAAGGCTCCTATAATGAAATCTCATCAGGAGTCTGAACATCACAAGTTAAGCAGCTAATTCTCCTTGTTGTGCTTTCCCTTTTTTGACTTAGCTATCTTATTTTTTCATATATATATTATATATATTATATATAATATATAATATATAAATATATTATGTATATAAAATATATATAATATATTATATATAGAATATATATTATGTATATAAAATATATATAATATATTATATATAGAATATATATTATATATATAAAAAATATATTTTATATACATATATGACCTGAGGTCTCGCCATGTTGCCTAAGCTGGCCTTGAACTCCCAGGCCCAAGTAATCCTCCCATTTCAGCCTCCTGAGTAGCTGGGACTACAGGCTCATGCCACTTTGCCCAGCTAGATACCTTATTTTGACTTAAGTTGCCTGGGCAGAGACCATGTCCCCTTTATTCTGGACTGAACCAAGAGCATTCTCTGCCCTCAGTAAATATTTATTAGCAAAAACATCCACAGTTGATCAGAGAGTCTGAATGAGCTGGATTGAATTGTTGAGCATTTATACTGTGTAAGGCAGAAGCAGTTTGCAGCAGGACAAGGAAAGGGTCCACTTCACCCTTGAAGACATTCTAGACACTCGCTCAAAATAAACTCAGTCTGAATTATCCATGTAAACTAGTCTGTTCTCACGTTGCTAATAAAGACATACCCAAGACTGGGTAATTTTTAAAGGAAAGATGTTTAATTGACTCACAGTTCCACATGGTTAGGGAGGCCTCACAACCATGGCGGAAGGTGAATGAGGAGCAAAGTCATGTCTTACATGGCGGCAGGCAAGACAGCACATGCAGGGGAACACCCCTTTATAAAACCATCAGATCTAATGAGACTTATTCACTATTACAAGAACAGCATGGGAAAGACCCACCCCCATGATTCAATTACCTCCCACTGGGTCACTCCCACAACACTTGGGAATTATGGGAGCTACAATTCAAGATGAGATTTGGGTGAGGACACAGCCAAACTATATCATTCCACCCCAGCTCCTCCCAAATCTCATGTCCTCACATTTCAAAACCAATCATGCCTACCTAACAGTTCCCCAAAGTTGTTTTTTGTTTGTTTGTTTGTTTGTTTGTTTGTTTTTGAGATGGAGTCTTTCTCTTGTTGCCCAGGCTAGAGTGCATTGGTGTGATCTTGGCTCACTGCAACCTCCACCTCCCAGATTCAAGTGATCCTCCTGCTTCAGCCTCCCAAGTAGCTGGGATTACAGGCGTGTGCCACCACACTCTGATAATTTTTGTATTTTTAGTAGAGATGAGGTTTCACCATGTTGGTCAGGCTGGTCTCAAACTCCTGACCTCAAGTGTTCCTCCTGTCTCAGCCTCCCAAAGTGCTGGGATTACAGGTGTAAGCCACTGCACCCGGCCAAAAGTCTTAACTAATTTCAGCATTAACTCAAAAGTCCACAGTCCAAAGTCTCATCTGAGACAAGGCAAGTCCCTTCTGCCTATGACCCTGTAAAATCAAAAGCAGGTTAGTTACTTCCTAGATACAATGGGGGTACAGGCATTGGGTAAATACATCTATTCCAAGTGGGAGAAACTGGCCAAAATGATGGGGTTACAGGCCCCATACAAGTCCAAAATCAAGTGGGGCAATCAAATCTTAAAGCTCTAAAATTATCTCTTTTGACTCCCTAACATCCAGGTCACACTGATGCAAGAGATGGGTTCCCATGGCCTTGGGTAGCTTTGCCCCTGTGGCTTTGCAGGGTACAGCCCCCCTCCTGGCTGCTTTCATAGGCTGGCATTGAGTGTCTGCAGCTTTTCCAGGTGCACAGTGCAAGCTGTCAGTGGATCTACCATTCTGGGGTCTGCAAGACGGTGGCCCTCTTCTCACAGCTCCACTAGGCAGTGTCCCAGTAGGGACTCCATGTGGGAGTTTCCACCCCACAATTCCCTTCCACACTGCCCTAGCAAGGTTCTCCATTAGGGCTCCATCCCTGCAGCACACCTCTACCTGGACATCCAGGTGTTTCCTTACATCCTCTGAAATCTAGGCAGAGGTTCCCAAACCCCATTTCCTGACTTCTGTGTACCCACAGGCCCAAAACAACATGTGAGCCACCAAGGCTTGGGGCTTGCACCCTCTGAAGAAATAGCCTGAGCTCTACGTTGGCCCCATATAGCCATGGCTGGGATGCAGGGCAGCAAGTCCCAAAATTGCACAAAGCAGCAAGGCCCTAGGTCCGGCCCACAAAAACATTTTTTCCTCCTAGGCCTCCAGGCTTGTGATGGGAGGGGCTGCCATGAAATGCCCTGGAGACATTTTCTCCATTGCCTTGGCAATTAACATTTGGCTCCTTGTTACTTATGCAAATTTCTGCAGCCAGCTTAAATTTCTTCTCAGAAAATTGGTTTTTCTTTTCTATGGTATCATCAGTCTGCAAATGTAAACATAAGTTCCAATTCCAAACCATATCTTTGTGAATACCTAAAACTGAATGTTTTTAACAGTACCCAAATCACCTATTTAATGCTTTGCTGCTTAGAAATTTTTTCTGCCAGATGCCCTAAATCATCTCTCTCAAGTTCAAAGTTCCACATATCTTGAGGGCAAGGGCAAAATGCCACCAGTCTCTTTGCTAAAACATAGCAAGAGACACCTTTGCTCCAGTTCCCAACAAGTTCCTCATCTCCATCTGAAATCATCTCAACCTGGACTTCACTGTCCATATCACTATAAGCATTTCGATCAAAGCCATTCAATAAGTCTCTAGGAAGTTCCAAAGTTTCCCACATTTTCCTGTCCTCTTCTGAGCCCTTCAAACTGTTCCAACCTCTGCATGCTACCCAGTTCCAAAGTCGCTTCTACATTTTTGGGTATTTTTATAGCACCCCCCACCCCCGCCACTCTACTAGTACCAATTTACTGTATTAGTCTGTTCTCATCCTGCTAATAAAGACATACCCGAGACTGTGTAGTTTACAAAGGAAAGAGGTTTAATTGACTCACAGTTCCACGTAGGGAGGCCTCACAGTCATGGCAGAAGGCAAATGAGGAGCAAAGTCATGTCTCACA
The DNA here is from genome assembly GCF_000001405.40 of Homo sapiens. Classification (NCBI taxonomy): domain Eukaryota; kingdom Metazoa; phylum Chordata; class Mammalia; order Primates; family Hominidae; genus Homo; species Homo sapiens. The sequence goes on along the minus strand of NC_000002.12, from coordinate 197,572,931 downwards.
TGGTGGCAGGCAAGAGAGAGCATGTGCAAGGGAACTCCCCTTTATAAAACCATCAGATCTCATGATACTTATTCATGGGATAAGACCCACCCCCATGATTTGACTACCTCCCACTGGGCCCCTCCCACAACACATGGGAAATATGGGAGTTACAATTCAAGATGAGATTTGGGTGGGGACACAGCCAAACCATATCACTGTGACTCTTCTGTGCAGCCTGTGTCTACATGACATGGGTGTAAGGTGGCCATCAAAGCACCTTTTCTGCTGTATAGATCTGAACTAACACTAAGAAGAAAAACATATTAGTATTTATACCTTGCTTTGTTCTCCCAAAGTATGATTTCAACAAATTTCCTTCCTTAGAGATGTCACTGAGGGCCGAGATGTGTACATAACATACCCATCAACAAGAATGATGTGCCAGGAACCTACAAAGAGTTACAAAACAGGGAGAAGGGAGTTCATTTGTATTTGGGTGGAGAGGGGAATGTGGAGGTAGCTCTGAGCTGGTCGTTGAAGATGAGCAGGATTTTGAAGAGCTGGGGAAAAGGACATTCCTGGAGGCAGAAAGGCAGCATGTGCTAGACCAGAGGGACAGGAAACACCCATCTTTTTAACTCTCCTGGTCACCAATGTCTTGTGTTTCAGAAGAAAGCCAGCCGCCACATAAAAGGTGAAGACAAGAATAAAGCCACTAGTAGAAGCATCGGATTAGACACAACCTCGTCACAACCTGCAGAGAGCAGACACCTGCCTGAGGAGTGCCGCCTTTCTCCCTCCCGGGAATGCTGGACAAAGGAGGGAAGGCTGGCACAGCACAACAGCTTCTCTGGGTTCAGCAGCAGTGACAACGTCCTCCGGGAATTAGACGACGGACAGTTTGATCAGGAAGATGGAGTGACTCAGGTCACTTGTATGTGAGCCATGAGGTGAAGCAAAGGAAGGCCCTGTAAATAATTGTTAAAATCATTGCCAACTGACCTTATTGTATTACTTTCTCTGCATTTATGTAATATTTTTGAATTTTTCCAGACCCAGCCTTTCCTCTAATCTATGTAAACTTTGGCACAACCTCCCAGACAAGGAAGAATAACCAACATATTTATACATTTAGAATCATGTTTACACTTCTCTCAACTAAAACATCTGGTTAAACAGATGTTCCATTCGGTTATTACACAATAATCTATTTCAGCTTCTCATGAATGTACAAAGTAGACTTTCTTACAATTCCTGGTAAGGAGACTGAATATCTCAATCAGTATTTTACCCAATTAGAGAGAGTTCTCAGGAAGTTACAGTCTTATTTAAGCTGAAAAATAACCTCTCTCTCTCTTTTTTTTTCTCTCTCTCTCATACACACACACAGCTAATTAGTGCAAATAAATATCTATTTCCCAAATATAATAATTAATCCACATTTTGTCTTTAACTATAGCATGTATATACAAAGCAAGCCCCTATGTGTTAAAATATTTTTTGAAAAAAATCTTTTTTATGTATCTTTGCTTTTAAAGGGTCATGTCACCAACCCTGTACTGATTCATTGTACATAAATGTTGTTGCTCCTAAAAGCCTAAAAATGCAGACAGCAAAGCAGCATCTCTTAAAATTCAATATGAAAAGAACCCATAATCTCAATACATAAATACCTTAGTAGAGAGTAAGATTTAATTTTTTTTTATTTTAAAGTCCAAATACTATGAAGAGGAAAAATATCAACTTCAATTTGAAACTGAAGTCTTTTACATCTGTCTAGATTTGAATTCTGCTTTTATTTTGACTTGTTAAATCCTGAAGAATGTTGAAACCTAGAATTTTCAATCTGGCAGGAGTAGAAAGATGCTCATAGCACACGCGATATGTATGATAACATATTTTGTTTCATCTTGCTTTTCTTTCCCCTTCTAATAGAGGTGGCTTTGCCTTGACCCAGCCTTTAACAATCTTTAAAATTCTACAAAATAAAGGATTTTCATTTATCTATGAAAGGCTTACTTTGAAAGATGGAACCTCCAAGTGAATTACAACTTATTCTATCATTGATGAATTCAGCCTATTATATATTTTTATTAACATTGATGTTGACATTGTAAGATCATTTTAATAATAAAACATCATTTTTATTGTGTTATTGTTTTATTGAACACAAATATTCATATAATATGTTTGGTTTGGGGGTTTTTTGTGGCTTTTTTTGAGACGGAGTCTCACTCTGTCACCCAGGCTGGAATGCAGTGGCACAGTCGCAGCTCACTGCAACCTCCACCTCCTGGCTTCAAGCGATTCTCCTGCCTCAGCCTCCAGATTAGCTGGAACTACAGCCAGTGTGCGCCACCACGCCCAGCTAATTTTTGTATTTTTAGTAGAGATGGGGTTTCACCATGTTGGCCAGGATGGTCTCGATCTCTTGACCTCATGATCTGCCTGCCTTGTCCTCCCAAAATGCTGGGATTACAGGCGTGAGCCACCATGCCTGGCCTTCATATAATATGTTTTATACATATAACAGATATGTATTACATGTTATCAATTATATAGTGTATCTAAACTAAGTCAATCTCCATTAATTGCTGATAAAATTAACAGGAATTATTCCACTTTTATCATCCAGAAGTACAGTATAAAGGAATTTAAGAATATTCTTCTCAGTCTTATTCTATAGCAATAGCTGTCAACAATATTTGCAGAAATGGTTTTTGTTTTGACTTTTAGATGGACTTGAGTTCCATAATCAAGAGTTAGTGGATTTTTGGTAGAAACAATCACTGCTTCAGGAGTCCATAAAACGTAATGAAGTTAGGAAGCACAAAGAACAAATCAGAAAGATCTGTTTTTCCCAATTCCAGGGTCTACAAGAGGTAGAGACTTCTTTATCATTCAGCCCACATACATAGGGGATTGGAAGTAGTAAATTAAAAACAGAGATAGGAATTTATATTTGACTAAGAAAAAACTCAGAAATATAGCAATAACTTTTTTTTTTTTTTTTTTTTTTTGAGACAGAGCCTCACTCTGTCACCCAGGCTGCAATCTCGGCTTACTGCAACCTCCGCCTCCCAGGTTCAAGTGACTCTCCTGCCTCAGCCTCCTGAGTAGCAGGGATTACAGGCCTGCACCACCATGCCTGGCTAAGTTTTGTAATTTTAGTAGAGATGGGGTTTCACCATGTTGGCCAGGCTGGTCTCGAACTCCTGGCCTCAAGCAATCCACCCACCTTGGCCTCCCAATGTGCTGGGATTACAGGTGTGAGCCACTGCACCCAGCCAAGCAATCGCTTTTTTAAAAAATTTGTGTAAGCATACTTTCTCAGTTTATTTTTTTCTCCCCTCCCGTTTATTTTTAATCTGAGTTATTTCTTATTAAAATAACTTTTATTAAAATAAACTTACTAGTCTGTCATATCCTCAAAACTTGTTTTAGAAGCATTTGCTCCAACAATTACCCTTAAGTTATGTGATGAATTTGTATGATAGCGAATAATTTATGATCAAGTGGTTCTAGAGTATTTTAAATGTGTGTAAATAGCTATGAGCCTATTATTTTAAAAAAAGAAAAAAACTTGGGCTCTCTATGCCTAAGGAGTTAAATATGTCTAATTTTATTATCTGCCAGTTGTATATTCAGTTCTTTTTATAACACTATGATTTCCTTAGGGGCTCTGGCATGTGAATTTTTAAAACCTGTAAGTTATAATGAAAGGTATCAAGATCCCAGATGTTGGGTGAAGATCTGCCATTCCCCTTGGTGTAGTATCTATGGCATTTTCATCTTCGTTTTCAATACCAAGTGTTAATTCCATCCCCTTTGGATTGTATACCACCTTGTTATCTTTTATGGACACATTTAACACCTACCTAATCACCAGGGAAATCAGCTCTATCAGTGTCATTACAATTCATTTCAGTAAAAGAGAAAAGGAAAGGTCACCCTCTTTGAGAGATTCTAGGGCTTTCAGGAGGAGGAGAAGCAGGAGACAGAGCTACAGTCTATTCAAATCACAACTATCTCCAAATCATTTGTGTTATCAGGAGCAGGTGTTTATATATTTGAATATAAATGTAACAGATGCATTTTCATTTCTTTCATTCTGGAGTGCCAGAGGAGCTGTCCCGTTTTCCCGCCCTTGCCTGTTATTGATTCCTCACCACCATTCCTTCTTGGCTGGAAGGACTGTGGCCCTTTCCCTCCCCATATGGCTAAAGAGGATTTCTTTCTCTTAACTCTTCAGAGCCCCAGAGTAGTACTGTATGGAAAGTGTAAATTCAGATGGAGAATCAAATGAAGTGAAATTGCTAACAATGGGGATAGTATATAACTAAGAACACATTATATAAAAATGTACTAGTGGATACATAGAAAAACTAGCTAAATGTTACTCATCAGAACTTGTAACATATCAATTTAAATAACATTTGCTGGTAATCTATCATCCCTTGAGAATGAATTTTATTTGTGTAATAGTGCAAAGTTTGCAGAACCAGGTCTGTCAGATATTTAAGTTCTGAGATGGTGTTTGAGGCAGAAAATTAGGCAAAACTGTAAAATGATGAGCCTCAGTTTTGATGAGGTTCATAAAGTTTTGGTGAAGACGACTGCAAAAGAAATGGGTTCTAAACATGTTTTGAGCATTCAAATTTTTGTATGTAAAAATACCAAGTAATTAAATCAATGGAATAAATGAATCATTTATGTGTAAGATAAATGTATAAGTATCAAGGTGAGTTTGTTGTTTGTTTGTTTGTTTTTGTTTGTTTGTTTGTTTGAGACAGAGTCACACCCTGTTGCCCAGGCTGGAGTGCAGTGGCATGATCTCGGCTCACTGCAGCCTCTGCCTCCTGGGTTCAAGAAAAATTCTCCCACCTCAGCCTCCCGAGTAGCTGGGACTACAGGTGCACACCACCACACCCAGCTAATTTTTCTATTTTTAGTCAAGTAGGGTTTCACCATGTTGGCCAGGCTGGTCTTGAACTCCTGGCCTCAAGTGATCCACCCACCTCGACCTCCCAAAGTGCTGGGATTACAGGTGTGGGTCACCACGCCCAGCCAAGGTGAGTTTTTGAAGGTTTATGTAAGCCACATTATTACCTGTAAGCAACAGAACTTAACTTGGCTTATTTAGCAATAAAGGAGTTTTTTGTTGTTTTTGTTTTTTGTGGGTTTTTGGTTTTTGTTATTTTTTGTTTTTTTGAGACAGTCTCACTCTGTCACCTAGGCTGGAGTGCAGTGGTGTTATCATAGCTCATTGCAGTATCAATCATCCTGGGCTCAAGCGATCCTCAGCCTCCCAAGTAGCTGGGACTACAGGCATATGCTACCACACCCAGCTAATTTTTGTATTTTTTATAGAGACAGGGTTTCACCATGTTGCCCAGGCTGGTCTTGAACTCCTGGGCTCAAGCAATCCCTCCCGCCTTGGCCTCCCAAAGTGCTGGGATTACAGGCATGAACCACCGAACCCAGCCCAATAAAGGAGTTTATTTCAAAAGATATCTGGAGGCCAGGCACAGTCACTCACACCTGTAATCTCAGCACTTTGGAAGGCTGAGGAGGAAGGATCACTTGAGGCCAGGAGTTCCAGACTTTTGTTCTACAAAAAATACAAAAATTAGCTGGGCATGGTGGCTGGTGCCTATGGTCCCAGCTACTCAGGAGGCTGAGGTGGGAGAATCACTTGAGCCCAGGAGGTGGAAGTTGCAGGGAGCCAAGACTGCACCACTGCACTCCAGCCTGGGCAACACAGTGAGACCCTGTGCCACCACCCACCCACCTCCAAAAAAATATCCGGAATTGGACTTCATCAAAATTTTAAATTTCCGGCCAGGCACAGTGGCTCACGCCTGTAATCTCAGCACTTTGGGAGGCCAAGGCGGGTGGATCACTTGAGGCCAGGAGTTCGAGACCAGTGTGGCCAACATTGCAAAACCCCATCTCTATTTTTTTTTTTTTTTTGAGACGGAGTCACACTCTGTCTCCCAGGCTGGAGTGCAGTGGCGCGATCTCGGCTCACTGCAACCTCCGCCTCCCGGGTTCAGGCCATTCTCCTGCCTCAGCCTCCCAAGTAGCTGGAACTACAGGCATGCGCCACCATGCCTGGCTAATTTTTTTTGTATTTTCGGTAGAGACGGGGTTTCACCATGTCAACCAGGATGTTCTCAATCTCCTGACTTCATGATCCGCCCGCCTCGGCCTCCCAAAGTGCTGGGATTACAGGCGTGAGCCACTGCGCCCAGCCCCATCTCTATTAAAAATGCAAAAATTAGCCAGACATGGTGGCATGTGCCTGTAGTCCCAGCTACTCAGGAGGCTGACGCAGGAGAATCACTTGAACCTGGGAAGCAGAGGTTGCGGTGAGCCGAGATTATGCCACTGCACTCCAGCATGGCAACAGAGCGAGAAACCATCTCAAAAAAAAAAAAAGGTCAAATTCACTCATAATAATATTAAACTTAAATGTAAATGGGCTAAATGCCCCAATTAAAAGACACAGACTGGCAAATTGGATAAACAGTTAAGACCCATCAGTGTGCTGTATTCAGGAGACCCATCTCACGTGCAGAGACACACATAGACTCAAAGGGACGGAGGAAGATCTACCAAGCAAATGGGAAACAAAAAAAAGCAGGGGTTGCAATCCTAGTCTCTGATAAAACAGACTTTAAACCAACAAAGATCAAAAAAGACGAAGAAGGAAATTACATAACAGTAAAGGGATCAATGCAACAAGAAGAGCTAACTATCCTAAATATACATGCACCCAACATAGGAGCACCCAGACTCATAAAGCAAGTCCTTAGAGACCTACAAAGAGACTTAGACTCCCACACAATAATAATGGGAGACTTTAACACCCCACTGTCAATATTAGACAGATCAACGAGACAGAATGTTAACAAGGATATCCAGGACTTAAACTCAGCTCTACACCAAGGAGACCTAATAGACATCTACAGAACTCTCCACCCCAAATCAACAGAATATACATTCTTCTCAGCACCACATCACACTTATTCCAAAACTGACCACATAGTTGGAAGTAAAACACTCCTCAGCAAATGTGAAAGAACAGAAATCACAACAAACTGTCTCTCAGACCACAGTTTAATCAAATTAGAACTCAGGATTAAGGAATCACTCAAAACCACACAACTATATGGAAACTGAACAACCTGCTCCTGAATCACTACTGGGTAAATAACAAAATGAAGGCAGAAATAAAGATGTTCTTTGAAACCAATGAGAACAAAGACACAACATACAAGAATCTCTGGGACACATTTAAAGCATTGTGTAGAGGGAAATTTATAGCACTAAATGCCCACAAGAGAAAGAAGGAAAGATCTAAAATTGACACCCTAACATCATAATTAAAAGAACTAGAGAAGCAAGATCAAACAAATTCAAAAGCTAGCAGAAGGCCAGAAATAACTAAGATTAGAGCAGAACTGAAGGAGATAGTGACACAAAAAAACCTTCAAAAAATCAATGAATCCAGGAGCAGGTTTTTTGAAAAGATCAACAAAATAGACTGCTAGCAAGACTAATAAAGAAGAAAAGAGAGAAGAATCAAATAGACACAATAAAAAATGATAAAGGGGATATCTCCAATAATCCCACAGAAATACAAACTACCATCAGAGAATACTATAAACACCTCCATGCAAATAAACTAGAAAATCTAGAAGAAATGGATAAATTCCTGGACACATACACCCTCCCAAGACTAAACCAGGAAGAAGTTGAATCCATGAATAGACCAATAACAGGCTCAGAAATTGAGGCAATAATTAATAGCCTACCAACCGAAAAAAGTCCAGGACCAGACAACTCACAGCCGAATTCTACCAGAGGTACAAAGAGGAGCTGATACTATTCCTTCTGAAACTATTCCAATCAATAGAAAAAGAGGGAATCCTCCCTAACTCATTTTATGGGGCCAGCATCATCCTGATACCAAAGCCTGGCAGAGACACAACAAAAAAAGAGAATTTTAGGCCAATATCCCTGATGAACATCGATGCAAAAATCCTCAATAAAATACTGGCAAACCAAATCCAGCAGCACACCAAAAAGCTTATCCACGAAGATCAAGTTGGCTTCATCCTGGGATGCAAGGCTGGTTCAGCATATGCAAATCAATAAACGTAATCCATCACATAAACAGAACAAAAACCACATGATTATCTCAATACATGCAGAAAAGACCTTAGACAAAATTCAACAGCTCTTCATTCTGAAAACTCTCAATAAACTAGGTATTGATGGGATGTATCTCAAAATAATAAGAGTTATTTATGACAAACACACAGCCAATATCATACTGAATGGGTAAAAACTGGAAGCATTTCATTTGAAAACTGGCACAAGACAGGGATGCCCTCTCTCAGCACTCCTATTCAACATAGTGTTGGAAGTTCTGGCCAGGGCAATCAGGCAGGAGAAAGAAATAAAGGGTATTCAATTAGGAAAAGAGGAAGTCAAATTGTCCCTGTTTGCAGATGACATGATTGTATATTTAGAAAATCCCATCATCTCAGCCCAAAATCTCCTTAAGCTGATAAGCAACTTCAGAAAAGTCTCAGGATACAAAATCAATGTGCAAAAATCACAAGCATTCCTATACACCAATAACAGACAAACAAAGAGCCAAATCATGAGTGAACTCCCATTCACAATTGCTACAAAGAGAATAAAATACCTAGGAATCCAACTTACACGGGATGGGAAGGACCTCTTCAAGGAGAACTACAAACCACTGCTCAACGAAATAAAAGAGTACACAAACAAATGGAAGAATATTCCATGCTCATGGATAGGAAGAATCAATACAGTGAAAATGGCCATACTGCCCAAGGTAATTTATAGATTCAATGCCATCCCCATCAAGCTACCAATGACTTGCTCCACAGAATCAGAAAAAACTACTTTAAATTTCATATGGAACCAAAAAAGAGTCTGCATTGCCAAGACAATCCTAAGCAAAAAGAACAAAGCTGGAGGCATCATGCTACCTGACTTCAACTATACTACAAGGCTACAGTAACCAAAACAGCATGGTACTGGTACCAAAACAGATATATAAACCAATGGAACAGAACAGAGCCCTCAGAAATAACACCACCCATCTACAACCATCTGATCTTTGACAAACCTGATGAAAACAAGAAATGGGAAAAAGATTCCCTATTTAATAAGTGGTGCTGGGAAAACTTGCTAGCCATATGTAGAATGCTGAAACTGGATCCCTTCCTTACACCTTATACAAAAATTAATTTAAGGTGGATTAAAGACTTAAATATTAGGCCTAAAACCATAAAAACCCTAGAAGAAAACCTACGCAATACCATTCAGGACATAGGCATGGGCAAGGACTTCATGACTAAAACACCAAAAGCAATGGCAACAAAAGCCAAAATTGACAAATGGGATCTAATTAAACTAAAGAGCTTCTGCACAGAAACTACCATCAGAGTGAACAGGCAACCTACAGAATGGGAGAAAATTTTTGTAATCTACCCATCTGACAAAGGGCTAATATCCAGAATCAACAAAGAACTTACAAATTTACAAGAAAAAAAATCAAACAATCCCATCAGAAAGTGGGCAAAGGATATGAACAGACACTTTTCAAAAGAAGACATTTATGCAGCCAACAGACACATGAAAAAATGTTCATCATCACTGGCCATCAGAGAAATGCAAATCAAAACCACAATGAGATACCATCTCACACCAGTTAGAATGGCAATCATTAAAAAGGCAGGAAACAACAGGTGCTGGAGGGGATGTGGAGAAACAGGGACGCTTTTACACTGTTGGTGAGAGTGTAAACTAGTTCAACCATTGTGGAAGACAGTGTGGCGATCTAGAACTAGAAATACCATTTGACCCAGTGATCCCATTACTGGGTATATACCCAAAGGATTATAAATCATGCTACTATAAAGACCCATGCACATGTATGTTTATTGCAGCACTATTCACAATAGCAAAGACTTGGAACCAACCCAAATGTCCATCAGTGATAGACTGGATTAAGAAAATGTGGCACATATACACCATGGAATACTATGCAGCCATAAAAAAGGATGAGTTCATGTCCTTTGTAGGGACAGGGATGAAGCTGGAAACCATCATTCCGAGCAAACTATCGCAAGGACAGAAAACCAAACACCACATGTTCTCACTCATAGGTGGGAATTGAACAATGAGAACACTTGGACACAGGGCAGGGAACATCACACCCCGGGGCCTGTTGTGGGGTGGGGGATGGGGGAGGGATAGCATTAGGAGATATACCTAATGTAAATAATGAATTAATGGGTGCAGGAAACCAACATGGCACATGTATACATATGTAACAAACCTGCATGTTGTGCACATGTACCCTAGAACTTAAAGTATAATTTTAAAAAAAGATTAAAACATAAATGAGTTAAATATGATTTTAAATCCAATATTAACACCTCAAAGGAGGCTCAGAACAAGGGAATATATTGTCTCTTAACTCAATTATATCAGATGCCTAAAAGGATAAAGCTATATGTTTACTGAGACCACTATTACTTATAAAACCTAACAAAAATACAAGCCTACAAACCTAACTAGCCTCACTCTAGGAGACATTCATACAGTATAATAAGATTAGACTAATTATTAATAATTAAGGCCAGGTGCAGTGGCTCATGCCTGCAATCCCAGCACTCGAGAGGCCGAGGCGGGAGGATCACTTGAGCTCAGGAGTTCCAGATCAGCCCGGCCAATATGGTGAAACCCCATCTTTACTAAAAATACAAAAAATTAGCCTGGCGTGGTGGCGTGTGCCTGTAGTCCCAGCTACTGAGGAGGCTGAGGTGGAGGTTGCAGTGCACTGAGACCATGCCACTCCTTCCAACCTGGGCAACAGAGCAAGACGCTGTCTCAAAATAAATAAATAATTAAACAAACAAACAAAAAAACTGTAAATTGTAAGACATTCCAAATTTCCTTAGAGTGAAATTAAAAACTTATAAAGATGCACTTATTCATAACGTACTCCTTTCCTTTCAAAGTCACAAACATCAAATTTCTTCTCCAGTAGTCTCAGTTCTAGCTTCTAGAAGGCTGTGCTGTTTACATAGCTGTTATCTAAAATTTGTTTTCTAATTTGATTCCAAGATGATGAATACAATCTTTAAAGTGCTTCATTTACAGGCTGGGTGTGGTGGTTCACGCCTGGAATCCCAGCACTTTGGGAGGCCGAAGCAGGTGGATCACCTGAGGTTGGGAGTTTGAGACCAGCCTGACCAACATGGATAAACCCCGTCTCTACTAAAAATACAAAAAATTAGCCAGGCGTGTTGGTGCACGCCTGTAATCCCAGCTACTCGGGAGGCTGAGGCAGGAGAATCACTTGAACCCAGCAGGCAGAAGTTGCAGTGAGCCGAGATCATGCCATTGCACTGCAGTCTGGGCAACAAGAGTGAAACTCCATCTCAAAAGCAACAACAAAAGAAGTGCTTCATTTACTTACCTGTCAAGACAGACGCAAATATATTACATTCATGAAATAGAATGGCACTGCACTAAGTTCACAATTTCTTGATTTAGTCACTCAACTGGATCTAGATTAACAGACTGAATTTTTGCTGGGTAATGATTTGAAATTTCGTATTTTATATTAAATCACTTGATGCATAAGAGAAGGACCAAGTGATAACAATTGCAATGTGCAATTCTGACTAAAGAAGCACATTTGGATCCAATTTAAGAAATCATCAGGTTGGCCAGGCACAGTGGCTCACACCTATAATCCCAGCACTTTGGGAGGTCGAGGTGGGCAGATCACAAGGTCAGGAGTTCAAGACCAACCTGACCAATATGGTGAAACCCTGTCTCTATTAAAAATACAAAAATTAGCCGGGTGTGGTGGTGGGTGCCTGTAGTCCCAGCTACTCGGGAGGCTGAGGCAGGAGAATCGCTTGAACCCAGGAGGCGGAGGTTGAAGTGGGCCAAGATCACGCCACTGCACTCCAGCCTGGGCGACAGAGAGAGACTCCATCTCAAAAAAAGAAAGAAGAAGAAATCATCAGGTTAAGGCCAGGTGTGGTGGCTCACTCTTGTAATCCCAGCTCTTTGGGAGGCCAAGGCAGGTGGATCACCTGAGGTCGCAAGTTCGAGACCAGGCTGACCAACATGGAGAAACCCAATCTCTACTAAAAATAAGCCAGGCATGGTGGCGCATGCCTGTAATCCCAGCTACTCAGGAGGCTGAGGCAGGAGAATCACTTGAACCCGGGAGATGGAGGTTGCGGTGAGCCAAGATGGCACCATTCATTGCACTCCAACCTGGGCAACAAGTGCGAAACTCCATCTCAAAAAAAAAAAAAAAAAAGAGAGAGAAATCATCGGGTTAGTGTAGGAATCCCTGGGAAAGAATGGGTACATTGTGAAGTTTCTGGCATACTTATAAATTAGCTAGTGAAAGCTAAAGGCAGATGGGATTTTAGCCAGTTGACGACTGGCCTATTTTCAATTTAGAATTGTAAACAGGAGAACGGGCTGTTTTATAATCAACCAAAATCACAGTAGTGATTAAGATATGCCCTGGGAGTAAATCAGGGGTTTTAGAAGTCCCCAAACATCCCTACTATTTAGTGTACCATATGCTGCTATACCGAATATTCTCGTCCATGAAAAGATTTCACGCAGCTCCCAAACTCTAACCTACTCCCACAACTCAGACAATGACTACAATGTTAAACTCTGGCCCCAAGAAGCACTTTTGGGTCTAACTAGAGAATCTCATCATTTACTGTTGGGATGGATTATAGGATCTGGCTAAAATGAAACTTAACTTCATATCCTAAATTTTCCAGTGATTTCCAGAACTAGCAGCGTATCAGAGTCACCTGGGAAACTTTAAAAACCCGGAATCAGGTCCTCCCATTCTCAAAGCAGTTTCCAAGGTGGAGTCCAAGAATCTGTAGTTTTAAACTCTCTCTTTTGTTTTTCGATGTACAAAAAGACTTGGAAAACATTCTTCCACCTCATTTACTTCCATCTCTCCTGAACTCTGTCTTTCATAAACTGGCAAGCAACATCGCTGAACCACATCAGCAATGTGGTTTTATGCATCAACTAAGAGATCACATTGTCCAGAAATAAATCCGTACATATGCAGTTAACTTACCTTCAACAAGGTTGCCAAGAATCCACAAAAGGGAAAAGGTAGTCTCTTCAATACATGGTGTTGGAAAAGCTGGATATCCATGTGCAAAAGATTGAAATCGGACTCTTTTCTTACACCATACACAAAAATCAACTAAAAATGGATTAAAGATTTAAAAGTAAGACTGAAAAGCATACAGTTCCTACAAGAAAACATAGGGGAAAACCTTCATGACATTGGTTGTGGCAATTTCATGCATATGACACCAAAATACAGGCAATAAAAACAAAAAACAAGTGGGATTATCTCAAACTAAAATGTTCCTGCACAAGCAAGGAAAAAATCAACAGTGAAAAAGGTAACCTAGGGAATGGGAGAAGATATTTGCAAACGTATCTCTAATAAGAGGTTAATCTCGAAAATATATAAGGAACTCCTACAACTAAATAGTAAAATAACTAACAGCCCAATTTAAAAATGGGCTAAAGACTTGAATAGACTTTTCTCCAAAGAAGACATACAAATAGCCAACAGGTATATGAAAAAATGTTCAATGTCTAGCCATCAGTGAATCAAAACCACAGTAAGGGCCGGGTGCGGTGGCTCATGCCTGTAATCCCAGCACTTTGTGGGGCCGAGGTGGGAGGATCACTTGAGCTCAGGAGTTTGACACCAGCCTGGGCAACATAGTGAGAACTTGTCTCTAACATTAAATTTAAAATAAAAAAAATTTAGGAAAGGAAAAAAATACAATAAGATATCACTTCACACTTGTCAGGATGGTTGTTATCAAAAACCAAAAGTTCTGTGAAGGATGTGGAGAAATTGGAACCCTTGGGTGCTGTTGGTGGGAATGCAAAGCCTCTGTGGAAAACAGAATGGAGGTTCCTCAGAAAATTATATAACTACCATATGCTCTAATAATCCCACTTCTGGGTATGCATACAAAAGAACTGAAGTCAGGATCTTGAAGACATATTAACACTCCTATATTCATATCAGACTATTCACAATAGCCAAGGTGTAGAAACAACATTTAAGTTGTTTGGCTTTATTCATCTGTCAATGAATAAAGAAATGTGATATATACATACAATATAATATTATTCAGCCTTTAAAAAAGGAAATTCTTTGTTGGGCATGGTGACTCACACCTGTAATGCCAGCACAGCACTCTGGGAGGCCAAGGTGGGAGGATCGCTTGAGACTAGCAGTCCAAGACCAGCCTGGGCAACATGGTGAGACCCCATCTTTACAAAAAATTAAAAACTTAGCCGAGGCTGTGGTCTCAGCTACCGGGAAGGCTGAGGCTGAAGAGGCTGAGGTGGGAGGATTGCTTGAGCCCAGGAGGTCAAGGCTGCAATGAGCTGTGACTGCCACTGCACTCCAGCCTGGGTGACAGAATGGGACCCTGTCTCAAAAAACAAACAAACAAAACAAAACAGGAAATTCTCCAATATGCTACAAGACAGATGGACCTTGAGAACATTATGCTAAGTGAAATAAGCCAATCACAAAAAGACAAATACTGTATGAATTCACTTAGATGAAGTATCTAAAATGGTCAAATTCGGCCAGGCACGGTGGCTCATGCCTGTAATCCCAGCACTTTGGGAGGCTGAGGCAGGCGGATCACTTGCGGTCAGGAGTTCGAGACCAGCCTGGCCAACATGGTGAAACCTTGTCTCTACTAAAAATAAAAAATTAGGTGGGTGTGGTGGCACATGCCCGTAATCCCAGCTACTCTGGAGGCTGAGGCAGGAGAATCACTTGAACTCGGGAGGCAGAGGTTGCAGTGAGCCAAGATTATGCCACTGCACTCCAGCCTGGGCGACAAGAGCAAAACTCTGTCTCAAAAAATAAATAAAATAAAATGGACAAATACATAGAATCAAAGGTTACTAATCAATGCACACAAAAGTCAAACAAGATGAATAAACTCTAGAGATCTGCTGTGCAACATTATATCTATGGTCAACAATAATGCATTGTACAAACATTTGTTGAGAGTGGATCTCATGTTAAGTATTATTACAATAAATTTTTTTTAAAGATTATACCAAGAACTTAGTTATATACAAATGGATCAATACAAGGAGGATGTAGCAAATGGTAACCTGCAGAAAATGATCCCAAATTCAGTTTTTCAGAGACTTAAATGATGCCTATGTGTTTGGGAGACACGAAGTGGATAACAGGCAGGAAATAAAAAGTCCCACTATAGAGTAAAAATTAAGTCCATAGCATGAACTATGAGATTAACAATGTAAATTTGTGTTTTTTTGTTTTGTTTTGAGACGAGTCTCGCTCTGTCATCCAGGCTGGAGTGCAGTGGCACGATCTTGGCTCACTGCAACCTCCGTCTCCCAGGTTCAAGCGATTCTCCTGCCTCTGCCTACTGAGTAGCTGGGATTACAGGCACATGCCACCACACCCGACTAATTTTTTGTGTTTTGTTTGTTTTGTTTTTTTAAACAGAGAAGGGGGGTTTCACCATGTTGACCAGGCTGGTCTCGAACTCCTGACCTCAAGTGATCCACCCGCCTCGGCCTCCCAAAGTGTTGGGATTACAGGCATGAGCCACCGTGCCTGCCCAGCCTAACAATGTAAATTTGACGGAGGCAAGTGGATCACTTGAGGTCAGGAGTTTGAGACCAGCCTGGCCAATACGATGAAACCCCATCTCTACTGAAAATGCAAAAATTAGCCAGGCATGGTGGCTGTAATCCCAGCTACTCGAGAGACTGAGCAGGAGAATCGCTTGAACCCAGGAGGTGGAGGTTGCAGTGAGCCAAGACCACGCCACTGCACTTCAGCCTGGGTGACACAGCAAAACCCTGTATTAAAAAAAGAAAAAAAAAAGTGAATTTGAGAGGATTGCTGTGTAGACTGAATAAAGGCCCCTAAAATGTCCACATCCTAATCCCTGGAACTTGTATGTTACTTTGCATGGCAAAAGGGACTTTGCAAAAGTACTTAAGGATTTTGAGATTGGGAGATTACCCAAGTGGGCCCAATGATGTAATCACAAGTGTCCTTGTAAGAGGAAGTCAGAAGGAAATACCATCACAGAAGGAAAAGCAATGTGATGATGGAAGTAGGGACTTGAATTATTATGCTGGCAAAGAATGCTGGCAGCCACCAGAAGCTAAAAGAAGCAAGGAAAGAATTCTTCCCTGGAGCCTCTAGAAGGAACCAGGAATTGTATTTTGGCCCAGTAAAGCTGATTTTGAGCTCTGAACTCAGGAAGTGTGACAGGATACGTTTATATTGTTTTAATCTACTAAATTTGTGGTTTACTATAACAGCCATAGGAAACTAATACAATTACTGACATGGTATCTCAACAATCAGAATCCAAGGTCTGCATCTGTTTCATAAAATGTTTTTAAAATGCACCAAAGATTTAAAAAGTGGTTTAAATTTTACCAAAATCAAGGCAAGCATATGATTTATCTATGTATACATATCTGGTTTTAAAAACATAATGACATCTTTCAGGGCAGGTAACTAGGGACTTATTCTCAGAAGTCAAAAAGACCCTACTGATATTATGGAATTGGGTGAAGGGGTATCTCATTTGCTATTACCATAATGACTATACCCACTATTATTTCCTCATCTCTGGAGTTCCCTTGTTCCTTTATCAACTCCCCTCAATCTATCTCTGAGAGAAGTGGGGGATTACTGAATCCTGTTATTCTTGATTTAATCTCTTACTTTTAAAACAAGGAATAAGGCATTTTTTAAAAGAAACCTAGCATTTTCTTGTAGACATTGATGCTAAGGAAAACCAAAAATATTTATTTTTTGAGGTAAGGTCTCACTCTGTCACGCAGGTTGGAGTGCAATGGCACAACCATAGCTCACTGTGGCCTCAAACCACTGGGCTCAAGTAATCCCCGCCAAACCCCTGCCTTAGCCTCCCCAGTAGCTGATACCACCAGTGTGCACCACCATACTCAGTTAATTTTTTAAATTTTTTGTATAGACAAAAATTGGGGTCTCACTATATTGCAAAGGCTGGCTCAAACTCCTAGCCTTAAGCAATCCTCTGGCCTTAGCCTCCCAAAATGCTGAGATTACAGATGTGAGCCACTATGCCCAGTCATCAAAAATATTTAATATCAGCAAATACTTGTAGGGATACAGATAATTATTTTACATAAAGCATACTGTATAAGCATGTTCCTGATACAAAAAAAGGCAGAGATAATACTATAACCTGTAACATAAACTAGAAGTAAATATTTTTAATTGTTATATAAGATATAGGTGGCTCTCATGAGGTCCACCCAAAATAAAATAATAAATATGCTATTTGGCTGGGCGCAGTGGCTCATGCCTCTAATCCCAACACTTTGGGAGGCCAAGGCCGGTGGATCACCTGAGGTCAGGAGTTCGAGATCAGCCTGGCCAAAATGGTGAAGCTCTTGTCTCTACTAAAAATACAAAAATTACTCGGGTGTGATGGTGCGGTGGTGCAGGCCTGTAGTCCCAACTACTTGGAAGGCTGAGGCAGGAGAATCGCTTGAACTTGGGAGGAGGAAGTTGCAGTGAGCCGAGATCACACCACTGCACTCCAGCCTGAGTGACAAAGGAGTGAGACTCCATCTCAAAAAATAAAATAAAAAAAGATAAATACACTACTTATGGAATTAAAAACTGCTTTTAACAAGGTTTATGAGACAAATCCAGATCAGCATATTATCTTGATCTTATGAAAAAATGAACAGTTCACTAGTTTTAAATATTGATGTCACAGTTAATCCTAGAATCATCACTTAATTGACATACTTCATGGATTTAAGTTCACGGTGTCAATTTTTTCTTTTCTTTTTTTTTTTTTTTTGAGATGGAGTCTTGCTCTCTCATCCAGGCTGGAGTGCGGTGGCACAATCTCAGCTCATTGCAACCTCCACCTCCCAGGTTCAAGAGATTCTTGTACCTCAGCCTCCCAAGTAGCTGGGTTTATAAGTGCGTATCACCACACCCAGCTAGTTTTTGTATTTTTAGTAGAGACAGGGTTTCATTTTGTTAGTCAGGCTGGTCTCGAACTCCTGACCTCAGGTGATCCACTGGCTTTGACCTCCCAAAGTGCTGGGATTACAGGCATGAGCCACCACGCCCGGCCAATGTTTTTATCGTTTACAAATTTAGGTTAATACGAAAATTTAGTATTCTCTTTGCTTAATTACATTAGGTGCTCACACTTGATATGAAGCTTTGTGTACTATAAAAAAGTAGGCCGGGTACTGTGGCTCACCCCTGTAATCCCACTACTTTGGGAGGTCGAGCCAGGCTGATCACTTGAGGTCAGAGTTCAAGACCAGCCTGACCAGTATGATGAAACCCCATCTCTACTAAAAATACAAAAATTAGCCGGGCGTGGTGATGCACACCTATAGTCCCAGCTACTCAGGAGCCTGAGGCAGGAGAATCACTTGAACCCAGGAGGCAGAGGTTGCAATGAGCCGAGACTGCGCCACTATACTCCAGCCTGAGTGACAGAACAAGACTCCGCCTAAAAAAAAAAAAGTAGCAGAAAAGTCATACAAATGAAGAGTAAGGCTCCACAATGAACCTATTATTAGATAGGTAATCTAACCCTCTAGAGGATTCACTTGGTAGCTTTCCGGTTTCATAGTGTACTCTATACTAATAATGCATATTTTTTCAGGAAAACAGATTTGAATGTTCTTATCATCTCAAATAAACTGCTAAGCATATTGCACAAATACGTTTTTTTTTTTTTTTGAGACGGAGTCTTACTCTGTCGCCCAGGCTGGAGTGCAGTGGTGCAATCTCGGCTCACTGCAACCTCCACCTCCCAGGTTCAAGCTATTCTTCTGCCTCAGCCTCCCATGTAGATGGGATTACAGGCATGCATCACCACACCTGGCTAATTTTTGTATTTTTTTAGTAGAGATGGGGTTTCACCATGTTGGCCAGGCTGGTCTTGAACTCCTGGCCTCAAATGATCTGCCCACCTTGGCCTCCAAAGGGCTGGGATTACAGACGTGAGCCACTACATCTGGTCCATATGTATTGTCTGTTAACAATGAGATGCTTGAAGAAATAAAAATCAACTACTTTTACTAAAATATTCGCATAGCATGGAAGAACTACACAAAGAAACCTTTAGCACATTCAACAAGGATTCACAAAATAAAGTATATACAATTTAAAATTTAGCTGCTCAAAAAAGATGTCATCATATAGACAGTAGGGCAAAGTACTCACATAAAAAACTTAGTTCTACTATTACAGTGAATTTGACATCAACCAATAAATGTGTTTATAATCGTAACACAGTCCTTACTAACAATGTAATCAAGGATTTTTTTTTTTTGAGACGGAGTTTTTGAGACGGAGTTTTGCTCGTTACCCAGGCTGGAGTGCAATGGCACGATCTCAGCTCACCGCAACCTCCACCTCCCGGGTTCAAGCGATTCTCCTGCCTCAGCCTCACGAGTAGCACCACGCCCGGCTAATTTTTGTATTTTTAGTAGAGACAGGGTTTCTCCATGTTGGTCAGGCTGGTCTCGAACTCCTGACCTCAGGTGATCTGTCTGCCTTGGCTTCCCAAAGTGCTGGGATTACAGGCGTGAGCCCCTGTGCCTGACCAAGGATTTCTAATTGTATTCTGATAGTAAAAGTTGTTAAGTCATCAAGAATTTAACTGAGAAACTGTTCTAGAAATCCAAATTTGACATCTCAAGTCAGAGAAAAGGAAATGTATACACACAAAAGAAGGGTTACTTATGGGAACATAAATAGTTAAAAGTTAGCTACTTTCCCAGATGTGATAGGAGAAAAAGAATGAATTGACTATACGATCTTTTGGAAAGAAAAGCCTAAGTTTACCTTCGGATATACATAGGGTAATTCAAACAAAAAGTGGAGCCTAACTTCCTTATCACACAGAACTGTCTTGTTCCCCTCTTAGAACACTTACTTTTATAAATCAATGGTTTGCCAGGCTCATTAATTTTTTAGTAGTATTTATGTATATATAAGTACATTTTCAAAATTCTGAAAACAGTATTAAGGAAAAACAGGAACTGTTTCACTTAGGTCTTACCTAGTATAGTAGTGAATCAACTTCACAATTAGTAAGATTATCAACATGAATACAAAAGCAAGACTACAAACTGATTATTTTCTTTTGGAGATGTTTTATGATCAATTCCAAACATACAGTACAGGGAAGGTGAAATGAGTAAGAAAAAAAAATCATATTTAAGTCCCCGTTAACACTAAGCCATATTATTCAAAATGTGTTTCAAAATACTCAGCCAGATCACCAAATCTCAGTCACTACCTTAGTATAAATATTCACTAAGAAAATAGTCAAGCAACAGAAATCCATTGTGAGACACCATCTAGAGAGAACAGCTACACTGCTATATATAATTTATTAACTTAGTAGTTTAGTTTCTCAATATTTAGCAAGTTTAAAAATTACCATTACCATTGGTTTATAGTGCCATTAATATAAATCCATAATTTCAAAGTCATCATTCCTTTCACTGTGAACTAAGACTTCTTAAAAGATAGTTGTGGGTTGGGGAACAGTAATGACTGTAGCTGATGGGCAGTGTTCAAAGCCAAAAAGACTGGCAAGCTTGGAAAGGCATACACTATACATACACACACTCTCAGTATACTACTGTTCCCCTTATTTTTGCTGTACATTCTTGTCTGAAAAGATGGTATAAATTATTCCCTTAAATTTGAAAAAACAATTAAGATGAATACATTTTCATCTTCAAAATTATCCTTCTAAATAAAAAAGTTCCTCATGTTTGTTAAATCTGTTCAAAAGTTGGATTTAAATACTTTCTTCACAACATGTACAATGTTTTCACCCTTACTGCCTCATTACAATCAGTTTGGCAATAAGACCTCCAGTGCTTTATCAAAAATGGCATTCAATAGATTATAAGATTGTTAAATCTGCATTTCAATCATTCTTACCACAATGAATTATAACAAAGTCCAAAAAAATGTATGACTATTCATCAACACCCTTGGAACCTATGAATTATTGCAAATAATCTCACACGTGCATGTAATCCAAACATAAACTTCGTGGGAGAGGGGGTGTAAAATAAATACTATGGTATTTCTTCAATTCTATTTAATGCTGCCTAGCTGGTTAAATGAAAGATTAATATATTACTAACAGGAAGAGTCAAACTATTTTAAGGACTGTTTTCTAAGTAGAACAATTTTGCAAAACAAAGATAAGCAAGAGCCTATGCAAATACATTTTCTTGTAGTGTAATGTAATTGCTAATATGAGGTATAATCTGTAAGCAATTAATACAAATATAAATAGGTATAAGCCACCACTAACTCAGTCTGGTGAAAAGCTTCTCAGCTAAAGTAGTTTGAAGATAAGGTTAAGGGAAATGAGAAGGGGTGGACAGGGCAGGTTTCCAGTGGGAAAATAATTTATGTGCCTTACCATTGTGATCATCCTGTATGTACCAGTCCGTTGTTGCAGAACGGTAAATCCTTTCCAAGTATGTTATACTTTATGTAGCACAGTAAAATTATTTAAGTATTACTAATGCTTCATTTGCATTTGTATTTAGATATACACATAATTATATATGCATATCAAAAACTATAAACAGAATTTTAAAACACTTTTATCTCAATTGGGGAAAGTTAACAGGTAAGACAAAACTACGTACTACAGAATTTTTTAGGATATCTAAACTCAAGGTAAAACCAATAGAAAACATTTCTACCTCTTTAGTAAATGGCTTGTGTGAAACCTCAAGCTCTCCCTCATTTTTTTTACAGATGGGTTTGTCTGATGAGGATTGTGATCCAATGATTGTTTAGCAGCAATTTTACCAAACTGTAAATTCTTTTATTAACAGGCATTATAAACAGATAATACTAATCTTATTTAAAAACCATGAGTGCCACACTGGTGAATATACAGCTTATGAATAACTTAAAAAGTATTTCCCATTTTAAAAGGCAAACCCAGCATACAAAAACCTATACTAAACAAAGAAGCTATAATATGGATACATGATTGATGTGTCTAAAATGATATATACAGTACATAATGTTAATTATATGATCAGTACATTTTTCCTATGATTCCCTTCATGCTTCACTTTCCCCAGAAACTGAATTCTGTACTTCCTCTTCTAAAATTGGTACAATCAGGTTATCCTTGGACATCAAATTGTATTTCATCACAAACTTAGTAAACCGATGACACAAAAATGTTTCATTCTGTAGAGAGGAAGACAAAAATGTTATTTTAATTCACTATCCCAAACTAAAAGACTAGAAATAACATCAATATATATTACTGTTACACTGATAAGAATGCATCAAGATAATCAGTGAAATATACTTACTTCATATTCATCAAATATCTGCCGATGATGAAAATAAGCATGTGAAAATATTCTGTAAATCCTACGGCATACTGATCCTAGTTTCGCTACAGATGATTCCTTTATGCTAACCCTAGAAGTAGAAAAGAAACCATAGATTCTTAGAACTGGATAGAATCTTAGGAACAATATAGTCCAATTTCTCGCTTACAAGTGTAGAAACTGACACCTAGGGAAAATAAGCGACTACTCCAAGGTCACACTGCGAGTAAATGCCTGGAGCCCCTGCTCCTCAGTTCTAGGCCAGTGTTCTTTCTACCTAATCACAGGGCCTAACTTAAATTCAGCATTATAGTTTTGAAACTTTGTAAAAGTTTAATGCAGTTAGAATAAATCCCTGACATTTCAAAATTTACTATAACATCTATTTCCAACATTAATACATTGTCCACTAGAGGCGATTGAAAACTCCTGAAAGGAATTATTGTTTTATTTTACAGAACTAGGTTATTCTTTCCTTTTCTTTTCTTTTTTTTTTTTTTTTTTTTAGAAATTAAGGCCAGGTGTGGTGGCTCACGCCTGTAATCCCAGCACTTTGGGAGGCCAAGGCAGGTGGATCATCTGAGGTCAGGAGTTCGAAACCAGCCTGGCCAACATGGTGAAACCCCGTCTCTACTAGAAAATACAAAAATCAGCCAGGCGTGGTGGCAGGCACTTGTAATCCCAGCTACTCATGAGGCTGAGGCAGGAGAAACGCTTGAACCCAGGAGGCAGAGGTTGCAGTGAGCTGAGATTGCGCCACTGCACTCCAGCCTGGTTGAGCAAGACTCCATATAGAAAAAGAAAAACAGAGAGAGAGAAATTAAAATTGTTTTTTTAAAATTGAAATTTTCTGCATATTTCTGATATCCTTTTTTAAAATATGTATACACAGAATATTAAGGTCAAAAGTCAGTATTTTTCTTAACATATTTTATATGAGCTCTTTGAAGCTAATCATATTTGGTGGGGGAAATCTCCAAATCTATCCACCTGGTAACAAATACCTTAATAAAATAAAAGGCAGTCACAAACTTCACCGATAATATATTACATGTACAGACTTCTCAGATCTTAAAAATCAATGAGCAAGGATAAGGAATCCTTCAAAAACAAATAAGAAAGTCTGCTCTTTTTTTTTTGAGACAGTTTCGCTCTTGTTGCCCAGGCCGGAGTGCAATGGCGCGATCTCGGCTCACCACAACCTCTGCCTCCTGGGTTCAAGCGATTCTCCTGCCTCAGCCTCCCAAGTGGCTGGGATTACAGGTACTCGTCACCATGCCCAGATCATTTTGTATTTTTAGTAGAGAAGGAGTTTCTACATGTTGTTCAGGCTGGTCTCGAACTCCCAATCTCAGGTGATCCGCACGCCTCGGCCTCCCAAAGTGCTGGGATTACATCCGTGAGCCACTGCGCCCAGCCAGAAAGTCTGCTCTTTAGGCATACTACATAAAGGGAGGTCGAGTCTAACTAACATAGAGATTCAAGTGAGCAAGTATATACATATCCCAACTCTAAAGCATGAGAGGGAGAGCTCTGCAGAATGACATATATGAACAGGTACTAGCCTTAGACTGAACTGGCCTTGAGCTTTGACAGCCAAGTTCTGCTGTTTAACCACAGTCCTAATTTCAAAACTTGAATAAACAAGCCAAAATACAACAGCTAAAAAAAAAAATACAAAAATGCATTAACGAGCAACCTAATTTTACTTTTAAAATACTAATCTTTTATTTTATTATTATTTATACTTTAAGTTTTAGGGTACATGTGCACAACGTGCAGGTTTGTAACATATGTATACATGTGCCATGTTGGTGTGCTGCACCCATTAACTCATCATTTAGCATTAGGTATAGCTCCTAATACTATCCCTCCCCCCTCCCCCCTAAAATACCAATCTTATAAATTAACTCTAAAATGTTTAACACTATGTTTAAAAGTTTCGATTACCTGCTGGGAAAATA
This sequence comes from Homo sapiens, assembly GCF_000001405.40. Taxonomy (NCBI): domain Eukaryota; kingdom Metazoa; phylum Chordata; class Mammalia; order Primates; family Hominidae; genus Homo; species Homo sapiens. The sequence goes on along the minus strand of NC_000002.12, from coordinate 197,548,401 downwards.
TTTATTGCTATTCAGAAGACATGCAGCACCATCAAGTGTGTGTCTAGTATAGTCTATAGCAGGACACTACAAAAGAAAGAATATAGAAATGCATCAACAAAGAGCTCTCTCTTAAGTTAGATATATTCATTATATGGGTATACCTTATTCCAAAGACATGAGCATGTTCTAAGAAAAAAGTTCCTTACAATTTCCGAATGCTTGTAAAATATAATGTTATATTAATAAGTAAGGTTTATTATCCCCTTGAACCATATCACAATTCTAGATGATACATAAACCAGTCTCCCATTTTTATTCCCAACATCGTACCTACAAGAAAACAACAATTACAGACAAGAAGAATCCTGATTTATCTCTGGTATCTCCAGGGATGCCTTCTTATATCCTAAACAATATTCCTTATTATGTCCCTAGCACTCTATTATCAATCTAGCAGCCCTCTAAAGAACTTTCTCCCAGATCACCTTTGAATTTTAACATGAAATATCAAAGTTTCCTTATATTTTAATAAATCTGACTTATTCTGTTCCATTTATCAGAAACAATGAAAAAAAGAAACAATGAAACACTGTCTCATGGCAACTCAGTAAATTTATTAAAGGAAAAATAAAACTGCAAAGTAATTGTCCTCATCCAGTCCTCCTGAGGGCAGACAGGGAGCAACATCAAGGGGAAAGCAGTCTAGAAACAAACCAGGGAGTCAACCAGAAGGAAAAAACAACTAGAGGAAGGAGTAACAATGACTGTAGCTCAAAGACTCTACCCAGTAATTAGGTTATTTTTCAAGTTTGAGACTGAAGCTGTCACTTAGAAATACGGTTTAGTAACTACTAAATATGGCTTAGTGCCGTGGCACTAAAAAATTACCTAATAAAAAAGAAGTATTTTTCTAACAATATATCCACAGGAATTTCTGATTAGTGGACTCCTTGCCAAAAACAGTACCATGAGCAATATTTATTGAAAAAAACTACCTTTCTCCAGATATATGACCACAGATGAGTTGGTCAAAAGCAAATATCCCAAGTAACTGTATTTCTCATATTTGTCATTTGGGTATACCATGAGACAGTTTTACAACCTTTAAACCAGAATCATCAACAGAAATACAGCAGACCCTTGAACAACACAGGTTTGAACTGCGTAAATCCACTTATGCTCAGATTTTCCCAGCAACGGCAAGACCAACCCCACTTCTTTCTCTTTCTCCTCAGCCTACTCAACGACATGAACACAACAAGGAAGACCTTTACAATGATCCACTTAATGAATGGCAAATATATTTTCTCTTCCTTACGATTTTCTTTAAAAAAAAGAAAGAAAGAAGGTCTCACTATGTTGACCAGGCTGGTCTCGAACTCCTGGCCTCAAGCGATCCTCCCATCTCAGCCTCCCAAAGTGCTGGGTTTACAGGCATAAGCCATCACGCCCAGCCCCTTATGATTTTCTGAATAACATTTTCTCTAGCTTCCTTCATTGCAATACACTATATAATACACAGAACATACAAAATGTGTGTTAATCGACTGTTATCGGTAAGGCTTCCAGTCAACAGTAGGCTATTAGTAATTAAGTTTTGGGGGAGTCAAAAGTTAGATACTCAGATTTTCAGCTGCACAGAGGGTTGGGATCCCAATCCCGGAGTTGTTCAAGGGTCAACTGTATAATGCAAGCCATATATTTAATTTTAAATTTTCTAGGCCCAATGTGGTGGCTCACGCCTGTAATTCCAGCACTTTGGGAGGCCAAAGTGGGAAGATCACTTGAGTCCAGGAGTTCAAGACCAGCCTAGGCAACACAGGGAAATGCCCCTATCTCTACAAAAAATTTGAAAAATTAGCCAGACATGGTGGCACTATGATTGTAGTCCCAGCTACCAAGAAGGCTGAGGCAGGAGGATTGCTTGAGCACAGGAGGTCAAGGGAGGTAAGCCAAGATCAGGCCACTGCATTCCAGCCTGGATAACAGGGTAAGATTTCGTCTCAAAAAATTAATTAATTAACTTTCTAAGAGATACATTAAAAAGGGGATAACGTGAGGCCGGGCGCAGTGGCTCACGCCTATAATTCCAGCATTTTGGGAGGCCGAGGCAGGTGGATCACAAGGTCAGGAGATCAAGACCATCCTGGCTAACACGATGAAACCCCATCTCTACTAAAAATACAAAAAATTAGCTGTGCGCAGTGGCAGGCACCTGTAGTCCCAGCTACTCAGGAGGCTGAGGCAGGAGAATGGCAAGAACCCGGGAGGCGGAGCTTGCAGTGAGCCAAGATCGCGCCACTGCACTCCAGCCTGGGCAAGAGTGTGAGACTCCGTCTCAAAAATAAAAATTAAAAAATAAAAAATAAAAAGGTAACGTGAAAGAGGTGAAATTAATTTTAATATTGTAGTTTGACCCACTATATCCAAAATAATACCATTTCAGCAGGTAATTGATATAAAATTAATGGGCTACTTTTTGACTTTTAAGATATAATTGATACAACTAAAATTTACTCTTAAAAATTCAGTAGTTTCTAGTATATTCACAAAATTCTGCAACCATTACCACTAAATTTCAGAACATTTCAGCATCCCAAAAAGAAACCTTGAACCAATTAGCAGTCACTTCCCATTCTCTCCTTCCCCCAGCCCTAAGCAACAACCAACCTAATTTCTGTTTCACAGGATTTGCCTATTCTGGATATTTCATTAAAATGAAATAATATAATAAGTGGCATTTTGTGTCTGGCTTCTATTATGTTTTCAAGGCTTATCCATGGTGTAGTATGAATCAGTACTTCATTCCTTTTTTTAAAATTCAAAACTTTTTAGCCTTTAATGTTTTTAATATATACAAAATGCCGTACTGTATGTTTCTCCCTTTAAGACTTCATTCCTTTTCATGGCTGAATATTATTCCATTGTACACATACAGTCAGCACTTTGCATCTGCAGATTCAACCAACTGCAGATCAAAACTACACTTTAAAACCCCATAACAATAAAAAATAATACAAATTAAGAAATACAGTATAACAACTATTTATATAGCATTTATATTGTATTCAGTATTATATGTAATCTAGAGATGATTTAAAGTATATAGGAGGATGTGCATAGGTCATATGCAAATACTATGCCATTTTATATAAGAGACTTTGGTATCTGTGGTTTTGGTATTCATGGGGGTCCTGGGACCAATCCTCTGAGGCTACTGAGAGATGGCTGCAACACATTTTGCTTATCCATTCATCAGTTGATGGATATTTGGTTGTTTCCATTTTTTGGCTATCATAAATAATGTGACTGTGAATATTCATGTACAAGTCTTTGTGCAGATAAATGTTTTCATTTTGGGGGAACTACATATCAAGGAGTGGAATTCCTGGGTCGTATGCAACTCTATGCTTACCATTTTAAGGAACTTCCAAACTGTTTTTTGAAATAGCTGAAGCATTTTACAATCCCATCATCAATGTTTAGGGGTTCCACTTCACATCCCCGTCAGCACTTGTTATTGTCTATCTTTCCTATTTTAGCCATTATAGTGGGTATGAAAGTATATGCCATTTGGGGTTTTGATGCTTTTTTCTTAACATTTTAAAAAATTGTAGTAAAATATATACACCACAAATTTTTCCATTTTGACCCTTTTTTTTTTTTTGAGACGGAGTCTCACTCTGTTGCCCAGGCTGGAGTGCAGTGATGTGATCTCCACTCAGTGCAAGCTCCGTCTGCAGGGTTCACGTCATTCTCCTGCCTCAGCCTCCCAAGTAGCTGAGACTACAGGCACACGCCACAGCGCCCGGGTAATTTTTTGTATTTTTAGCAGAGATGGGGTTTCACCGTGTTAGCCAGGATGGTCTTGATCTCCTGACCTCGTGATCCGCCCGCCTTGGCCTCCCCAAGTGCTGGAATTACAGGCGTGAGCCACCGCGCCCAGACAGCTATTTTGACCATTTTTAAATGTACAATTTAGTGGCATTAATTTACAATATTGTGCAACCATCTTCACTGTTTCCAACTCTCAAACAGAAACTATTATGGCCAGGCATGGTGGCTCATGCCTATAATCCCAGCACACTGGGAGGCCAAGGCAGGTGGATCACTTGAGGCCAGGAGTTTGAGACCAAACTGGTCAACATGGTGAAACTCCGTCTCTACTAAAAATACAAAAATTAGCCTGGCATGGTGGTGCACGCCTGTTGTCCCAGCTACTCAGAAGGCTGAGGCAGTGAACTGCTTGAAACTGGGAGGTGGGGGCTACAGTGAGGCAAGATTGTGCCACTGCACTCCAGCCTGGGCAACAGAGTGAAACTCCAGCCTGGGCGACAGAGCGAAACTCTTGTCTCTTAAAAAAAAAAAAGAAAGAAACTCGGCTGGGCGCAGTGGCTCACATCTATAATCCCAGCACTTTAGGAGGCTGAGGTGGGCGGATCACATGAGGTCAGGAGTTCGAGGCCAGCCTGGCCAATAGGGTGAAACCATGTCACTACTAAAAATACAAAAATTAGTCAGGCGAGGTGGCACATGCCTGTAAATCCCAGCCACTTGGGAAGCTGAGACAGGAGAATCGCCTGAACCTGGGAAGCGGAGGTTGCAGTGAGCCGAGATTGCGCCACTGAACTCCAGCCTGGGCAAAAGAGCAAGACTCTGTCTCAAAAAGAAAAGAAAAGAAAAAAGTCTATTACCCTTAAGCACTAACTTCCCATACCGCCCATCCTTTGGCAGCTTCTACCTACCTTCAAATGTCTATATGAATTTATTCACTCTAGATAAGTGGAATGCTACAGTATCTGTCCTTTTGCATCTGACTTGTTTCACTCCACATAATACATACTGGATTTTAAAGGTTCATCTGTGTTGTAGCATGTATCAGAACTTCATTCCCTTTCATGGTTTTATAATATTTCATTGTATGTCCATGCTACATTTTGTTTCTCCATTCTCACGGTGGTTTTTTTTTTTCCCTTATCAAGCATGGTTGTGGAGGAGACAATGTTAATCAGCATAACAATAACGCACAACCCTCGCACCAACTGTCTGTGGTTTTGAGATGTGCCTTAATAACTAATGTTGAGCATCTTTTCATGTGCTTACTGGCCATTTCTGAATCTTTTTTTGAGACATGGTCTCTCTCTGTCACATAGGCTGGAGTGTAGTGGTGTGATCTTTGCTTACTTCAACCTTGAGTCCTTGGGCTCAGGTGATTCTCCCACCTCAGCCTCCCTAGTAGCTGGGACTACATGTGCACACCCATCACACTCAGCTAATTTTTTGTATTTTTAGTAGAGATGGGGTTTCACCATGTTGGCTAGGCTGGTCTCGAACTCCTGACCTCAGGTGACCCACCTGCCTCGGCCTCCCAAAGTGCTGGGATTACAGGCGTTACTGTCTTCGAAATCCAGTATTTATTTTGTGTTTACAGCATATTTCAATTTTGACTACCCACATTTCAAGTGCTACACAGCTACATGGGGCTCATGGGTTACCACATCACTGTATCTTTAGACCTTTAACTGGTTTCTGAATTTTTAATTTGGATGACATTTTGCATTGTTTTTAGCTGCCTTCCCTTCACCTTCCCCCAGTTAATTCTCAGGTAACTATTCCTACTCTGTAACAGTTATAACAGCAAAAAATGGCAAAATATAGCAGGTTACAAAATACTATGTAATGGTGTTTACAAATTTTTATGTATTATATTTTTCCAAATATATAATCATAATGCTACTGCAAGTGATCACAATCAGCATGTGACTGTGAGGGCTTGTAGACAGTAAGTTATAATGTTTGTCGCCTAGAAGCACTATTTGTATAATTTACTCTATATGCTGAATGCCTCTCTTTAATTCTCAAGGATACTGAATAAATGATTATTGGTGCTAAGTATTCTGCTGCTCCCACTTCAGAATCTCCCTAGTGATTTTAATCCATGAGAGCAATTTTCTTAGCTTAGTTTGTCAGTTCCTATAGTTTCCTGACTAAGCAGTTATTCAAAAACAGTTCAGAAAGTGTCCTTTCAAATTGTTCTTTTGTTTGTATTTTTACAGTAACTCCACTCAATATAACTACCACTTGGAAATCCTACTATCACCCTCCCTTGACACATGGCCAGTTCAACAGATCTGGACTTCAGCAAGCAATGCTGCAATTCTAAGACTCAATTTACAGGTCTTAATGCTAATGACTATCCTGTCATTTAATATTAATCAAGAAAGAAGTGGATATGAGAATGACAGTATATTTAAGAGTCATAACACATCACAAACTGGATATCACTTCCACTCTAAAGAAAGAATAATACATCATTACTATTTGCCAAAACAAAACTAGCCTTGATTCAGCCTTCTTGATTCAGTTTCCTAATTGCAATAATCACATCATTCACTACGTTAAGTAGCCAACTTCAGTGAATTATCAATGAAACCACTATGTGGATTTTCCCAGATGTAGACAGATACAATCTTTTTATTTTTTTTATTTTTTATTTTTTTTGAGACGGAGTCTCGCTCTGTCGCCCAGGCTGGAGTGCAGTGGCGGGATCTCGGCTCACTGCAAGCTCCGCCTCCTGGGTTCACGCCATTCTCCTGCCTCAGCCTCCCAAGTAGCTGGGACTACAGGCGCCCGCCACTACGCCCGGCTAATTTTTTGTATTTTTAATAGAGACGGGGTTTCACCGTTTTAGCCGGGATGGTCTCGATCTCCTGACCTCGTGATCCGCCCGCCTCGGCCTCCCAAAGTGCTGGGATTACAGGCGTGAGCCACCGCGCCCGGCCGACAGATACAATCTTAATACTGCTTCAATTAATTAACATAAAAATGTGACATCCTGAATGAAACCAGTCTTCCAAATAAGTACTATTCTCTTAGGTATCAAATACTCCTTATTTTGGAGCATTTGTCCTTTTTGAAACAAAAAACATCAGATATTGATTTTGCAACTAGGGCCTCACTTGTCTTCAAGCCTTAGAAGTCTATCAATATAATGACCACTTCAAGGTCTATGATTCTACAGAATTGGCCTAACCCAATATCCCCAGTGAGTCAGTGTCAAGTAAAAAGTAATTATAACAGATTAAATGGGAATACAGATTAAGGGAAAAGCAATGCATAAACAACCCAGATGTAAAGACCATTTTGGAGACAACTAAGGAAAAGTATACTGGGTATCAGATGATATGAAGAAATTTTTTAAATAAGAAAAAGTACAGTAGGCCAGGCACAGTGGTTCACACCTGTAATCCCAGCACTTTGGGAGACTGAGGTGGGCAGATTACTTGAGGTCAGGAGTTTGAGACCAGGCTTGCCAATATAGCAAAACCCCATCTCTACTAAAAATATAAAAATTAGCCCGGCATGATAGCGCATGCCTGTAATCTCAGCCACTTGGGAGGTTGATGCATGAGAATCTCCTGAATCCGGAGACAGAGGTTGCAGCGAACCGAGATCATACCACTGCACTCCAGCCTGGACAACGGAGTAAGAATCCATCTCAAAAAAAAAAAAGAGCAAAACAAAAAACTGCTACTGCCTATAGTCTTACCTTGACAAAAACTAAATAAGGAGAAAAACAACATGAATATTTAAAAGCTCAAAAGTAACATTTCTACTTAAACTAGGCATCAGAGTAATCAATAGTTCTTCCTATCAAAAGAAATAATCTGAACAAAAACCTAAACAGGCGTATCTCAATCATTACACAGTAGATATCAGCACAATGTGACAGATGTTAATCCGTAATAGCCAGTGGATCATGAAGTGAGTTCTAGCCCATGTAATTGCCCAATTATGAAAAATGATGCTTATCATAAGAAATCCTAAAATAGCACTGCAGTAACAACTTCACAACAAGCAACTCAAAATGAAATAGCAAAATGAACAGTGAACTAAAAACCCTAAAAACTTGTCTAACATTGTCTTGAGAGAGATTTAGGCTATAATAATTTTATTAGTTACTCTATTTCATAAATCCTCACCTCTTTTGGAGTTTTATGAGCTGCACAAAGAAAAATCCATTGTTCAGTTGCTGTCATTTGAGTGCAAGTATCTGGATGGCATTCACTCTGTTAAAAATAATTATATTTCTTAATATGTAAAATAATAATGAAAAAGCTTATCATTTAGGTTACTATATTTCCATAATAAATTCTAGAAGAAAGTTAGAAATGTGGATACGTTTTTGTAAGCACATTAAGTTATAAAAACAGAGAAAAAAAAATCAGAACTTTCAATTATAACTTTGACTTAAAGAAAATATTACCTGAAGTTTGACAGCAAGTCCATTTAGCTCAAGGCAGAACTGCCTGAAAATGCAAATACATAAATAAAAAGTCATATCTATTCTTCACAGCAATTTTTAGAATATTAGCTGCAAAAAGAGAATCCCATCAGTATCATCCCTCCTCCCTCATTACCATTCTCAAAACCACCTAAACTGACAATGACACATTTCTTCTAAAGGCTTACAGATTAAAAATAGAAAACCAATAACCCTCATAACATTCAATACCAGAGTTAAGTGAGCTGATCATTCTCTTATATACTAGAAATTAGTACAATTTTTCAGGGAAGTAATTTGGAAATATTTACCAAGACTTTTAGGAAGTGTATACTTTTCGACTAAGTCATTCTTCTAAGAATCTATTGTAATGAAATAATCAGATCTGCATGCAGATAAATGTATAAAGATGTTCACAGGAGCTATATATGCATATGAGAAAATTTCTGAATTGTAGAAAAATTCAGCAACTGGAGGGTAATAAAATGTTGGTACATAGAAACATACAAAGAAATTACAGCAGGGCGCAGTGGCTCAGGCCTGTAATCCCAACACTTTGGGAGGCCGAGGCAGGTGAATCACTTGAGGTCAGGAGTTCAAGACCATCCTGGCCAAAATGGTGAAACTCCATCGCCACAAAAATACAAAAATTAGCCGGGCATAATAGCGGGTGCCTGCAATCTCAGCTATTCAGGAGGCTGAGGAGGGAGAACTGCTTGAACCTGGGAGTCGGAGGTTGCAGTGAGCCAAGATCACACTACTGCACTCCAGCCTGGGAAACAGAGTAAGGCTCCATCTCAAAAAAAAAAAAAAAAAAATTACATTACAATTGCACTGAGGCCATCAGTTTTAGACAGCTATTTGATAAAAAGACAATCTTCTATGTCACAAAGGTAGTTTTACAGCTGTCAAAACACTGAACGTGTTCCCTCCTAAAGTCCTACCTATTAATATTTAGTTCAATGTATCAGGTTAGATAAATCAATACTATGTTTCCCCATCAGAAAAATTGAATCATTTTGGTTCCCAAAACAATGCAAAGCTAACACCTATATAATCAGAAGACAAAAAAAAATCCCCCCAAAAAAGAAAAAAACAGGATATATGTGAACAAATTTGGTGGAAAAACTTCATTTACTTACTTACTGCACATTGTAACAGAGGAAAACAAAAAGGCAAGGGTCAAATTTTCAGTTGTTTGTAACTGCATTTCCTTTCCAGATGCCTAATAATGCTGTCCTTAGATTACAAAAATAACATTATTTCTAAATCACCGTATCACCCTCTACTGTCCCCTATCAAGTAGACTGCATGTTATGTGTTTTTTAGTTGTTTTCCACCAAGTGGTAATAAAGACTGGTTGTGGTAAGTTTCTTACCCAACCCTTTTATAGCCAAAAGCAAAATTAAGTTGATTCAGCAGGGCTGTGGGTATAATCTGTGGCAAATAATGCAAAACTCACAACTTCAAGTTAATTTAATACAGGGCTAACATGTACACAGTTGTGCAGCTGAAGAGACCAACCAGAGCTGGAATCCAGCCTACATTCCAGTCACCACGCATGTATCCGGACATAAAGGAGTACTTTTTCCTAATCATTAAGACTCAATATGAGCTAGTGGGAGATATGACTGAAGTCATGACCCAATCTAAATTAACATCATTATATAATCAACTGCATTAACTAAAAATGGCAAGTATACAGCCTCAAATCAATAAAGGATGTATGCAAAAAAAAAAAAAAACCTCTTCCTGGTCAACTAATAAAATGTACACAATACAATAAAGAGATAAAAGAATATATACGATAGTTAATATACAACCCAGACCAAAAAGTGGCTAGTAGAAAAAAATAACAAAAGTAAAAATAGCACCAGAACAAATGAAATACTTGTGAGAAATATTTCATGTAAAGTTTTATGTAATGTTTTATATAATGTTTCATAGAATAAGTTAAATAGGGAGATAAATGTTTTCTTAGATCTGAAAAAAAAAAAACCCTTGTAACACTAAAATCAGCCCCTATTTGTTAGGAATTATGCTTGTAATGGAAAAAACGGCCAAGTGTGGTGGCACACGCCTGTAATCCCAGCACTTTGGGAGGCCAAGGTGGGCAGATCGTGAGGTCAGGAGATCAAGACCATCCTGACCAACATGGTGAAACCCCATCTCTACTAAAAATACAAAAATTAGCTGGGCATGGTGGCGTGTGCCTGTAGTCCCAGCTACTTGGGAGGCTGAGGCAGGAGAATCGCTTGAACCCATGTGGCGGAGGTTGCAATGAGCCGAGATCACACCACTGCACTCCAGCCTGGTGACAAAGCGAGACTCGAGACTCTTGTCTCAAGAAAAAAAACATAAGAAAGCAGTTATTTTCAAGGCTGATAAAAATAAAGCAAAGGATGTACTACACTAAAGTGCTCTCTGTCTTGGGTTGTAAAAATGGGAAAATATCTACAGACTCGTACTTTGAATTATTGTGCATTCATATATATTAAAAAGTTAGAAAATAGTCAAGTAATTTGTCTAAAAACTGGCAAAGGATACAAAGAAGTCTTAGCATCCTGAAATTGCTGAACTGTTATGACACGACATAATGTCTTAGCCATTTCTAAAGAAGCATGCAGCATCAAAAAGTAAATATTTTTAAAAAGTGCCTTGTCTACAAGTTGAGGCACACAACACAGGAAACATGGTCTAATTTATTCAGGAAAAGTCATATTTCTACTCTATTTATCTAAAAATCAACTTACAAATAATAAGCCCCAATGAACACATACTGCATTCTCTATATTTATTAATAATCTGTCAACTCATCCCAGCTCCCATTTGCACTGGAAAATTTATAATTTCAAGAAACACCTAGTAACTTCAGAATATATCTACTTTTAATGTTATCTCCACCTATCCACTAGTTATCAATTTTTTCATTCAAAGGGCATTATAAAAAGCACCAAAACTCCTTACTTCAGGATTACAATTAATCTCTATTTACCAAAGAGAAGACTGGAAGTTTGCAATAATTTACAGGTAACTTATCAGATACCAAGCCTAGACTAGGAACTGGAAGTAATCCTCTACAAAAACATAAAGTGGCCAAGTGCAGTGGCTCATGCCTGTATAATCCCAGCACTTTGGCAGGCTGAGATGGGAGGATCACTTGAGCCCAGGATTTCAGGACCAGCTTGGGCAACACAGTGAGACCCCATCTCTACAGAAACAAAGGAAAAAAAAAAGACAAGTCAGGCACGGTGGCTCACACCTGTAATCCCAGCACTTTGGGAGGCTGAGGCGGGCAGATCATGAGGTCAGGAGTTCGAGACCAGCCTGGCCAACATAGTGAAACCCCATCTCTACTAAAAATACAAAAATTAGCTGGGCATGGCTGCGCCTGTAGTCCCAGCTACTCGGGAGGCTGAGGCAGAAGAATCACTTGAACTCGGGAGGCAGAGGTTGTGGTGAGCCGGGATCACACCACTGCACTCCAGCCTAGGCAACAGAGCAAGACTCTGTCTCAAAAAAAAAAAAAAAAAAAAAAAAGACAAAAGATGACACAGTTATGCAAAAATGGGGAAACGGAAATACTATATTAGCGGTTAAGAGATACAATTAAGGAAAATCATGAAATAAGAATAAAACCCAGGCTGGCATGGTGGTAATCCCAGCACTGTGGGAGGCCAAGGTGGGTGGATTGCTTAAGCCCCGGAGTTTGAGACCAGCCTAGGCAACATGGTGAAACCTTGTCTCTACAAAAAATACAAAAAACTAGCCAGGCTTAGAGGCATGCACTAGTAGTCCCAGCTACTCAGGAGGCTGAGGTGGGAGGATTGCTTCAGCATGGGAGACAGAGGCTGCAATGCGCCAAGATTGCACCACTGCATTCCAGCCTAGGCAACAGATCAAGACCCTGTTTCAAAAAAAAGGCGGGGATAATAAGGCCCAAATGAATAAATGTAGAAAGGGTGGCTCAATACTTTGGGAGGACAAGGTAGGAAAATTGCTTGAATCCAGGAGTTTGAGACTAGCCTGGGCAACACAATCAGATCCTGTCTCTACAAAAAATTAAAAAATTAGTGAGGCATGCTGGCACACACCTGTAGTCCCAGCTACTCTGGAAGCTGAAGTGGGAGGATCACTTGAGCCTAAGAGGTAGAGGCACAGTAAGCAGTGATTACACCACTGCACTCCAACGTGGGCAAGAGAGTGAGACCCCATCTCAAAAAAAAAAAAAAAAAAGAAAAGAAAAGAAGAGAGGTGCAGAGGCAGGTCCAAATTATCAACTCTGAAATAAACCACCTTTCAAAATGAGTGACTCTGCAGCATAATTTGACCTGGAAACAACCAGTGAAGAAAGCTGAGAACCTTGTGACACTGAAAATGCCAAAGCTTTAAAATTTGGCTTCTTAGTCTGCAGTTACATAGTAAATTTTACAATTCATAATTATCATTAATATGAAAGCTAGTTTTGTGAGAGGTACTATTAGTATTTTGATGTAAGGTCCTACCTTAAATGTTCATACTTCCACACACCTTCATCTTGGCCTTCAGGTGGTTCAAGAATTTTGTCAATATTGGAGCAATCTGCTCTTATGTTCTGTTGAATATACTAAAAACAAAGAAGTTCTTATGGTTAATTAAATTATATCACCTGGTAAATCTTATGTTAAGTACATATAATTTGTTAATACATAACTGCTCTTGTGGTTCAACTTGGGTTATACACTAAATAGGAAACCAAGTATAGAATCATAATCAGTAACTAAGAAAAAAAGTAGGTTACCCTTACTTATTTATCCTTCAATTCAACTTCATTTGGATAGAATCTACTACATAAATGCAGATATTGTATTTGTCAGGACTGGAACTTGGATCAAAATTGCAAACCATAATTTCTTTTTTTTTTTTTTTTTTTTGAAACAGGGTCTCACTGCATCACCCAGGCTGGAGTACAGTGGCACAATCTCAGATCACTGCAATATCCACCTCCTGGGCTCAAGCAATCCTCCCACCTCAGCCTCCTGAGGAGCTGGGACTACAGGCACACGCCATCACGCCGGGCTAACTTTTCCATATTTTGTAGATACAGGATTTCACCATAGGCAATGTAAATATAACTATGGTACATATTGTGATTTGGTTTATATGAAGTGTCTAGAGTAAGAAAATCTATTGAGACAGGAAATAGATTTGTACTGGTGTAGGGCTTGAGGGCAGAGAGGAAGGCAGAAGAGACTGAAGATGGCTGCTAATGAGGGTGAGGTTTCCTTTCAGGAAGGATAAATATGTTCTAAAAGGCCGGGCGTCGGGGCTCATGCCTGTAATCCCAGCACTTTGGGAGGCCGAGGTGGGCAGATCACAAGGTCAGAAAATCGAGACCATCCTGGCTAATATAGTGAAACCCAATCTCTACTAAAAATACAAAAAAATTAGCCAGGCGTGGTGGCACACACCTGTAGTCCCAGCTACTCTGGAGGCTGAGGCAAGAGAATCGCTTGGACCCGGGAGGCGGAGGTTGCAGTGAACCAAGATCGTGCCACTGCACTCCAGCCTGGGCAACACAGTGAGACTCCATCTCAAAAACAAAACAACAACAAAAAAGCTTTAAAATTAGACTGTAGTGATGGCTGTGCAACCCTGTGAATATAATCACTCTAACTGTATAGGGATTTGTATGGTATGTTCATTAGATCCAATAAAAGTTGTTTTAAATGACTAACAGAAAAAACTAAGTTTAAAAAAAAAGGCAAGGGAGGGTCACTTTCAATTTTTAAAATGTAATAACATAAAAATTTAAATTTCAGATCTCTGTAATGCTTTATGCAATCTTTTTGATATTCTGAAGTCTAAATACGTTAGAACAGATTAAAAGGGTGGTTACAAAAACTTACTAACTATAAGGCCTTCTTGAGCCAATCAATTTTGCCTACTTCAGACAATCTTTCTTGAATATCACTTGCTTACTCAAAAACTTTTTTTTCCAAACAAAAGGTCTCACATATTTAGTACTGAACCAGCCTACTGCAGAGCATAGAAACCAAAAGAAAAACCATTGTTCCAATACAGCATGTACAACTGTCCAGATGATGGTGACATTTTCAGCTTGATATGGTGACATGATAGTGACCTTGATGCAATATTAAGTATGTGTGCCATCTCATGTAAAATTCCTTCTAGACCCAGCTTGGTTCTTTTCCAATGTCTCCTCTTAGAGTTGTACCTGATTTTATTACTCAGTTTTCATCTGAATCCACTGGGGAATGGGACGATTTTGCTTTTGTTTCTTGGCCAGGAATCACTTGATTCTAAAAGTCTTAAAGTCTTGTGGGAAGGCATGGCAAAGAACTGAGTCACACGCACACACCATGATGACAGGGAAAGGGATCAAATACTTTTTTTTTTTTTTTTTTTTTTTTGAGGAGTTTTGCTCCTGTCGCCCAGGCTGGAGTGCAATGGCTCAGTCTTGGCTCACTGCAACCTCCGCCTGCCGGGTTCAAGCGATTCTCCTGCCTCAGCCTCCCGAGTAGCTGGGAATACAAGCACCTGCCATCACGCCCGGCTAATTTTTGTATTTTTTGTAGAGACAGGGTTTCGCCATGTTAGTAAGGCTGGTCTCAAACTCCTGACCTCAGCTGATCCACCCGCCTCGGCCTCCCGAAGTGCTGGGATTACAGGCATGAGCCACCGTACCCAGCCTCAAACACTTTTTAATGACTCTTTAATTACTATTGAAACCACTCTCCCTGATTTTTTTTATCTCATCCTAATGTTTCAAAGTTTTGATTCTCTCTCTCCTTGAGGAGATACAGCTAAATTGTATACCTTCTCCAAAGGCCACCTCAAATTCCACATCACAATTCTGTCCAAATCTCTCGTTCCCCCAACACACTCAAGCACTCCCTGATTATTCGAATCCTCACAGAACTCCATCCAATTTCCTGCCACATTTGTAATTTGTATATATTAGCAATCTGTCTATTCATTTTTGTCTTTCCTGTTCCCACTACACCTTCTATGGATAGAAATTTTTTTTTGTTTTTGAGATAGAGTCTCACTCTGTCGCCCAGGCTGGAGTGTAGTGGCGCAATCTCAGCTCACTACAACCTCTGCCTTCCGGGTTCAAGTGATCCTGTTGTCTCAGCCTTCCAAGTAGCCGGGATTATAGACATGCGCCACCATGCCCAGCTAATTTCTGTATTTTTAGTAGAGATGGTGTTTCACCATGTTGGTCAGGCTGGTCTTGAAGTCCTGACCTCAAGTGATCCACCTGCCTCAGCTTCCCAAAGTGCTGGGATTACAGCGTGAGCCACCGCACCCAGTCTTCTATGGCTAGAACTCTTAGTAGCATTTATTTCACACTTAATAGCACAACTTACTAACACTTACTTTCATGTGTCTCCTTCATATAGTGAGTCCCTGAACACAGAGACTTTTATTTACTTATTTTTTTTTTGAGATAGAGTTTCGTTCTGTCGCCCAGGCTAGAGTGCAGTGGCGCTATCTCGGCTCACTGCAACCTCTGCTTCCTGGGTTCAAGCAATTCTCCTGCTTCAGCCTCCCAAGTAGCTGGGATTACAGGCGTGCGCCCACAACACCTGGCTAATTCAAGACTGCCTAGGCTAATTCAAGACCGCCTAGGCTAATTCAAGACCCCTTAAGCTAGTTTTGAACTCCTGGGCTCAAGCAATTCTCCCACCTCAGCCTCCCAAAGTACTGGAATTACAGGCATGAACCACTGGGCCCACCCCAATTTTAATTATTTAACCATATATTTAGAAACTGACTTTACTTATATAATTACTAAATTTTGTTATTAAGTGGAGTTACAAGCTGTCAATCTTGAAGAAATCTAGAATCCTTTTATTGATACCAATTTATATAAAGCAAAAAAGAAATCCTTAACTTAGAAATAAAACAAAAATGCCATTTTGGCCAGTCACAATGGCTCACTCCTGTAATCCCAGCACTTTGGGAGGCAGAGGCGGGCAGATCACCTGAGGTCAAGAGTTCAAGACCAGCCTGGCCAACATGGTGACACACCATCTCTACTAAAAATACAAAAACTGGCCAGGCATGGTAGCACACGCCTGTAATCTCAGCTACTGGGAGACTGAGGCGGGAGAATCACTTGAACCTGGGAGGTGGAGGTTGCTCTGAGCAGCAATCACACGCTACTGCACTCCAACCTGGGAGTGAGACTCTATCTCAAAAAAAAAGTCATTTTGTTTTCTATAATGAGTCCTCCACACTTTTATGCAATAAAAGCAACTATCATTTTTAAAAAATCAGCTAAGAAGGCTGGACGAGGTGGCTCCTGCCTATAATCCTAGCACTTTGGGAGGCCGAGGCAGGTGGATCACGAGGTCAGGAGTTCGAGACCAGCCTGGCCAATAGGGTAAAACCCCATCTCTAATAAAAACACAAAAATTAGCCGGGCATGGTGGCACATGGAGGCTGAGGCAGTAGAATCACTTGAACCCGGGAAGCAGAGGTTGCAGTGAGCCAAGATCATGCCACTGCACTCCAGCCTGGGCGACAGAGCAAGACTCCGTCTCAAAAAAAAGGTACTTGAAGAAATAATGCTGAAAAGTTTCCAAGTTTGTAAAAAGATATAAGCTTGCAAATTCAAGAAGCTGAGTAGGCTGAGAAAAAAAAGAGGAATAGGGAGTTATTATTTAATATGTATAGAATTTCAGTTGGGGAAGATGAAAAAGTTCTGGACACGGTGGTGATGGTTGCACAATGGGAATGTACTTCATGCCACAGAACTGTACACTTTAAAATAGCAAAAATGAGGCCGGGCGCAGTGGCTCACGCCTGTAATCCCAGCACTTTGGGAGGCCGAGGTGGGTGGATCACGAGGTCAGGAGATCGAAACCATCCTGGCTAACACGGTGAAACCCCGTCTCTACTAAAAATACAAAATAGCCGGGCATAGTGGCGGGCGCTTGTAGTCCCAGCTACTCGGCAGGCTGAGGCAGGAGAGTAGCGTGAACCTGGGAGGCGGAGCTTGCAGTGAGCCGAGATCGCGCCACTGCACTCCAGCCTGGGAGAAAGAGCGAGACTCTGCCTCAAAAAAAAAAAATAAAAATAAAAATAAAAATAAAATAGCAAAAATGATAAATTTTATGTCTCATATATATTGCCACAATTTAAAAAAAGCTGAGTGAACATCAAACAAGATAAACCCAAAGAAATCTACATCCAGATACATCATAATCAAATGGCTAAAACCCAAAGATAAGTCCAGGTGTGGTAGCTCAGGTCTGTATCCCAGCACTTTGGAAGACCAAGGCAGGAGGATCACTCAAGCTCAGGAGTTAGAGACCTTGGGCAACACAATAAGAGCCCATCTCTACAAAACATAAAAATTAGTCAGGCATGGTGGTGCATGCCTGTAGTCCCAGCTACTTGAGAGGCTGAGTTGGAAGGATTGCTTGAGCCTAAGAAGTCCACTGTACACCAGCCTGGAATGACAGAGTGAGACCCTGTCTCAAAAAAAACAAAGAAAAAAACACCACTAAAGAAGCCAGGAGAATTTGAATGACAGATTCTTTCTCATCAGAAACCATGGAAGCAAAATGGCAAAACATTTTTAAAGTGCTGAAAAACTTAGCAGGCTGAGGCAGGAGGACTGCTTGAGGCCAAGAGTTCAAGACCAGCCTAGGCAACATAGCGAGACCACATTTCTACAAAAAAAAAAAAAGTCAGCCAGGGGTGGTGTGCTCCTGTAGTCATAGCTACTCAGAAAGGTGAGGTGAGAAAATCTCTTAAGTCCAGGAGTTTAAGGCTGCAGTAAGCTATGATTGTACCACTGCACTCCAGCCTGGCAACAGAGTGAGACCCTGTCTCAAAAAAAAATAAAAATAGAGTCCAGGCATGGTGGCTCACACCTGTAATCCTAGCACTTTGGGAGGCCGAGGAGGGTGGATCACAAGGTCAGGAGTTCAAGACCAGCCTGGCCAAGAAGGTGAAACCCCGTCTCTACTAAAAATACAAAAATTAGCCAGACACGGTGGCAGGCGCCTGTTATCCCAGCTACTAGGGAGGCTGACGGAGGAGAATCGCTTGAACCCAGGGGGTGGGGATTGCAGTGAGGCGAGATCGCGCCACTGCACTCCAGCCTGGGAGACAGAGTGAGACTCCATTTCAAAAATAAATGAATAAAAATGAAAATAAGGCCAGGAGGCCAGGTGGGGTGGCTCACGCCTGTAATCCCAGCAATTTGGGAGGCTGAGGCGGGCAGATCACAAGGTCAAGAGATCGAGACCATTCCGGCCAACATGGTGAAACCCCGTCTGTACTAAATATACAGAAATTAGCTGGGCACGGTGGTGTGCGCCTGTAGTCCCAGCTACTCGGGAGGCTGAGGCAGGAGAATGGCTTGAATCTGGAGGCAGAGGTTGGAGTGAGACGAGATTGCACCACTGCACTCCAGCCTGGGCGACAGAGCAAAACTCCATCTCAAAATAAATAAATAAAAATAAGGCCGGGCACAGTGGCTCACACCTATAATCCCAGAACTTTGGGAGGCTGAGGTGGATGGATCACTTGAGGTCAGGAGTTCAAGACCAGCCTGGTCAATATGGCAAAACCCAGTCTCTACTAAAAATAGAAAAATGAGGCGGCTGTGGCGGCATGCACCTGTAGTCCCAGCTACTGGGGAGGCTGAGGCAGGAGAATCGATTGAACCCAGGAGGTGGAGGTTGCAGTGAGCCAAGATCACGCCACCGTACTCCAGTCTGGGTGACAGAGCGAGACTCTATCTCAAAAAAATAAATAAATAAATAAAATAAAAATAAAAATGTGCTGAAAGAGTTGTCAAGCCAGAATTCTATATCTAACAAAAATATTATTTAGAAATGAAGATCAGCTGGCCGCGGTGGCTCATGTCTGTAATCCCAGTACTCTGTGAGGCTGAGGCAGGCAAGTCAAGAGTTCAAGACCAGCTTGACCAACATGGTGAAACCCTGTCTGTACTAAAAACACAAAAATTAGCTGGGGGTGGTGGCGCATGCCTGTAATCCCAGCTACTCGAGAGGCTGAGGCAGGAGAACTGCTTGAACTCATGAGGCTGAGGCAGGAGAATTGCTTAAACTCAGTGAGCCGAGATCGCGCCACTGCACTCCAGTCTGAGTGACAGAGCGAGACTCTGTCTAAAAAAAAAAAAAAATTACTAAAGGAAGTTCTTCAGACAGAAAATAATACAAAGAAAATTGGGAGGCCAGGCGCGGTGGCTCACGCCTGTAATCCCAGCACTTTGGGAAGCCGAGGCGGGCAGATCACGAGGTCAGGAGATTGAGACCATCCTGGCTAACACAGTGAAACCCCGTTCTCTACTAAAAATACAAAAAAATTAGCCGGGGGTGATGGCGGGCGCCTGTAGTCCCAGCTACTCGGGAGGCTGAGGCAGGAGAATGGCCTGAACCCAGGAGGTGGAGCTTGCAGTGAGCAGAGATTGTGCCACTGCACTCCAGCCTGGGAGACAGTGTGAGACTCCGTCTCAAAAAAAAAAAAAAAAAGAAAAAGAAAAAGAAAAAGAAAATTGGGAACATCAGGAGCAGGGAGCAGGAGACATTGTAAATATCTGGGTATAAATATAATAGACCATTCTTCTCATGACTTCTTTAAAATATGTTTGACAAGTGAAAGTAAAATGATTAACGATGGGGTTTTCAATGTATATTGATGTAATATACAGCAACTATAGTATAAAGGGGGAGCAAAAGGGGTGCATATGATAGTAAAGTTTCTACATTTCAAGTAAAGTGGTAGAATACTGATTTTCAGTAAACTGCGCAGGTACCCATTTAGTAATCAAGTATATAAATATGTCAAAATTAGAATTAAAACAGAATACTAAAAATGTTCAACTCACCCTTAAAAAGACAGAAAAGGGGAAACAGGAACAAATGAAAAGCCCAGAAGGAACAAATTAAAAAGTAATAAAACGGTAGGTCTAAATCTAAATAATAGTAAACATTCAGCACATCAATGTTAAATGGTCTGAACATACCAATTAAAAGAGAAAGTCTGTCAAAATGAACTAAGAAATATGACTCAACCATATGCTGTCTACAAGAAACTTATTTCAAACGTAATTATATAGGTATGTCAAATCATGAAAAAAGAAATACCATACAAATATAAATCAAAAGAAAGTTATCAGGAATGCAAAGATGGTTCAACATTTTTAAAAAAACAACAACAATGCAATATACTACATTAATATACAAACGGAAAAAAGCACACAATCATACCAATGCAGAAAAGATATCTGACAAAATCCAACATATTTTCGTGATAAAACCACTCAGAAAACTAGGTTTAAAAGGAAATTTCCCCAACATGATTAAGGGCATTCATGAAAAGCTCACAGCTAACCTCAGACTCAAGGGTGAAAAACTAAAAGCCTTTCCAACCCAAATGAGACAAGGATGCTCACTTTCACCACCGCTATTCAACACTGTACTAAAAGTTCTAGCCAGAGCAACTAGACAAGATAAAGAAATAAAACGCATCTCATTTGGAAAGGAAGTGGTAAAACTATCTCTATCCACAAATGACATGATCCTATATATAGGAAATCCCAAAGAATCCACAAGAACGTTACTCTAAGTGAAAAATGATTCAGCAAAGTTGTAGAATACAAGATGAACACATAAAAATCAGTTTTGTTTCTATATACCTGTAAGAATCTAAAAAGGAAGAAAGCAATTCCACTTACAATAGCACCTAGAAACTTTTAAATACCTAGAAATAGATTTAAATAAGGAGATAAAATTTTTTGCAGACGGAAAACTACAAAACATTGCTGCAAGTAATTAAAGAAGACCTAAATAAATGGAAAGACATCTCGTGTGCATGAGTAAGAAGGCTTAATATCGTTAAGATGTCAATGCTACCTAAAGCAATCTAGAGATACGAGGCAATCTCTATCTAAATTCCAATCGACGCCCCCCTTTTTTTTGCAGATACGGAAAAGGTGATCCTCAAATTTATATGGAATTGCAAGGGTTTCTGAATAAACAAAAAAAATCTTGAAAATAAAGAACAAATTTGGTCAGAGCATGGTGGCTCATGCCTGTAATCCCAGCCGAGGCAAGAGGATCACCTGAGCCAAGAGTTCAAAACCAACCTGGGCAACATTGCAAAATTCTGTCTCTATTAAGAAAAATAAAATAAGGAACAAAGTTGGAGGATTCACACTTCTTGAGTTCAAAACTTACTACAAAGCTACAGTCATCAAACACTGTGTGATACTGGCATAAGGATAGACATACAGACAAACAGAAATAAAGAAAGAACCCAGAAATAACGTGTCACATACATGGCCAAAAGATTTCGACAAGGCTGCTGAGACCATTCAATAAAGAAAGGAAAGGCATTTAAACCATTTTTAAGTGTACAATTCAGTGGCATTAATTATATTCCCAATGTTGAGCAACCAAAGAAAACCCTGGGCCTAACAACTTCACTAGTAAACATTTAAAGAAAATACCAAACATTTAAAGAAAAATTAATGCTGGGCGTGACGGCTCACACCTGTAATCCCAGCACTTTGGGAAGCCAAGGCAGGTAGATCACGAGGTCTGGAGTTCAAGACCGGCCTGGCCAAGATGGTGAAATCCTGTCTCTAACTAAAACTACAAAAATTAACCAGGCGCAGGGGCGGGCGCCTGTAATCCCAGCTATTCAGGAGGCTGAGGCAGGACAATCGCTTGAACCCAGGTGGCAGAGGCTGCAGTGAGTTGAGGTCACGCCACTGCACTCCAGCCTGGTGACAGAGCGAGACTGTCTCAAAAAAATAAAAAAATAAAAAAAGTAAGAAAAAGAAACACATGATCATCTCAATAGGTGCAGAAAAAGCATTTGACAAAATTTAACACCATTTTATGATCTAAAAAGCACTGAATGACCTACGAATAAAGGAAACAACTTCAATATAATAAAGACCATATATGAAAAATCCATAGTGAACATCATACTCAACAGTGAAAAACTAAAAGCTCTCCTCTAAGATCAGGAAGAAGACAAAGATGCCCTTTTTCACCACTTTTATTCAAAGTAGTACTGGAAGGTCTAGCCAGAGCAATTAGGCAAGAAAAAGAAAGAAAACAGATCTAGATTGGAGAAGTAAAATTATATGACATGGGTCTCGTATGTAGAAAACCCTAATGATTTCACATCCAAAAAACCTGTGAGAATAAATGAACAAATTCAACAAACAGGACACTTCCCCCTATTTTTAAAGAGATAACCATCTGTACATTTTTCTTCAAAATTTAACCAATTTCTAGGCATAGAGCTAGATCTAGGTTTATATTCCTTTATCTTCCACAAGGCCTAACTCATTGCTAGCTATATCGTGAGAAGCCAATAAATATTTGCTGATTGAACAGCACTTTTTCTTTTTTTTTTTTTTTTTTGAGATAGGGTCTCTGTCACCAGCCTGGAGTGCAGTGGTGCAATCACAGCTCACCATAAACCCTTTCCTCCCACCTCAGCCTCCTAAGTAGCTAGGACTACAGGTGCACGCCACCTAGCCCAACCTTTTTATTTTTTACAGAGACAGGGTCTCACTATATTGTCCAGGCTGGTTTCAAACTCCCAACCTCAAAGTGATCCTCCCTCCTCGGCCTCCCAAAGTACTAAGATTACAGGTGTGAGCCCCCACACCCAGATGGGTGGTTTTTAATGCTCAAATAATTCAACTATATGTCTCTTTTATTTTCTAAGATCTTCAAATAACATAACAAATCCGAATAGCTGTCTACTTTTTTTTTTTTTTGAGATGGAGTCTTGCTCTGTCCCCCAAGCTGGAGTGCAGTGGCACGATCTCGGCTCACTGCAGGCTCACTGCCTCCCAGGTTCACATCATTCTCCTGCCTCAGCCCCCGAGTAGCTGGGACTACAGGCACCCACCACCACGCCCGGCTAATTTTTTTATATTTTTAGTAAGAGATGGGGTTTCACCATGTTAGCCAGGATGGTCTCGATCTCCTGACCTGGTGATCCGCTCGCCTTGGCCTCCCAATGTGCTGGGATTACAGGCGTGAGCCACCGCACCCGGCCAGCTATCTACTTTTATTATCTGGCTATCAAAATGAAGCCAAACAGCCTCGATTTATGGTATATTTTCCCTTTAAAAATGTTATCATCAGCCAGGGCAACATGGTGAAACCCCATCTCTACAAAAAATCAGCCAGATGTGGCAGTGTGCGCCTATAGTCCCAGCTACTTGGGAGGCTGAGGTAGAACAATCACCTGAGCCCAGGAAGTTGAGGCTACATTTTGCCATGCTTGAGCCACTGCACTCCAGCCTGGGCAACAGGGTGAGACCCCGTCTAAAAAAAAAAAAGACAGGTGCAGTGACTCATACTTGCAATCCCAGCACTTTGGGAGGCCATGGTGGGTGGACTGCTTGAGCCCAGGAGTTCAAGGTGGGCAGCATCGCAAAACCCTGTCTCTACTAAAAATTCAAAACAAAAAAAATTTAACCAATGCCTAATCCAATATACTAGTACGCTCCAATTTATATTATCTTTTTATTAGCCCCTTAATGAAATTGTATTTTTGTTTTTGTTTTTGTTTTTTTTTTTTTTTTTGAGACAGAGTCTTGCTTTTGGCCAGGCTGGAGTGCAGTGGCATGATCTTGGCTCACTGCAACCTCCGCCTCTTGGGTTTAAACGATTCTCCTGCCTTAGCCCTCCCGAGTAGCTGGGACTACAGGCACATGCCACCATGTCTGGCTAATTTTTTATGTTTTTAGTAGAGACAGGGTTTCACCATGTTGGCCAGGATGGTCTTGATATCCTGACCTAGTGATCCACCTGCCTCGGCTTCCCAAAATGCTGGGATTACAGCTGTGAGCCACCACACCTGGGCTATTTTTATTTTTTTAAGATACAAGATCTCACTCTGTCACCCAGGTTGAAGTACAGTGGCACAATCATAGCTCATTAGACCCTTGAAGTAGGATCAAGTGATCTCCCCACCTCAGACTCCCTAGCTACTGGGACTACAGGTGTGTGCCACCATGCCTGGCTAATTTATCTTTTCGTAGAAACAGGGTCTTGTTATGTCGCTCAGGCTGGTCTTGAACTCCTGGCCTCAAGTGATTGGCCTCCCAAAGTGCTGGCAGCCACAGTGCCCAGCTTAATATGCCATCTTAAAACAAAATGAGGGTTGACTAAACTTTTAAATAGGCATTCCATTAATTCAGTGGAATCTTCTCTATGCGAAAAGATATAAGAATACTTAACTATGTCAGAGGTAAAATGCTTAGGTTATTGGAGTTGTAAAAGGAACTATTTTGTTTTGTTTTGTGAAAGAGCACGCTTTATTGGGAAGCAGACTGCTGCACAGTGACCAACAGACAAAGGCCACCCAATGGGCACTTACACATCGTACTCCAAAAGACACAGGGTGAAAAGAAACTATTTTTATTACCTGTTGAACAGCTAGTGTACTGTCCATTTCATCAAAGGATTCATCAGGCCAATTATAGAAATCCTATAAAAATAAATTCACGGTTAAAGCACATACAAAATACTATTATGATTAACTTCAATTCTTAATAAAGACCCAAAGCTCACACTAGAGGGGAAGAAAAAACTTTTGCAATGTAATTATCAGTGAAATAAGGAAATAAATTTTATTCAACTTTTCTTTTTTACAGACAGGGTCTCACTCTGCAGCCCATGCTTGTGTGCAGTGGCACAATCATAGCTCACTACAGCCTCAAACTCCTGGGTGTAAGCAATCATCCCACCTCAGCCTCTCACCTTAGCCACCCTATTCTTAGGATTATAGTCCTGACCCACTGCGCCTGGCTGTTTAATGTTTTTTAAATGAATATTAAGATTTTATTTAATTGAACTATAAATTACGTTTTTTCCAATCACAGATTCCTCAAATACAGCTCCCATAAACCTTTAATGTATTACTTAATTGGGGAGACAAGTCTATCACTTTTTTATGATGGTTAAATATCTCTCAAAAAGTTACAATGAAAAAAAAACTCCAGACACCAAAAAGTAAATCAGATTTTTACCAAAAGAGAATATCTAGCATTAGTAGCTAATTTACTGCTCCATAATTATTATTATTAATATTATTATTATTATTTTGAGACCACTCTGTCGCCAGGCTGGAGTGCAGTGGTGCGATCTCAGCTCACTGCAACCTCCACCTCCTGGGTTCAAGTGATTCTCCTGCCTCAGCCTCCCGAGTAGCTGGGACTACAGGCACGCACCACCACACCCAGCTAATTTTTGTATTTTTTGTAGAGACAGGGTTTCACCATGTTGGCCAGGATGGTCTCAATCTCTTGATCTCGTGATCCGCCTACTTCAGACTCCCAAAGTGCTGGGATTACAGGCGTGAGCCACCATGATCGACCCATAAGTATTATTTTAAAAAGAAATTATAAATTATTATTCTCATTCCAAATAGAGTTTTGAATTTCTAAATCAAAATATGGGCACCATTAAAAAGTAATCATCAGACTGGGCATGGTGGCTTACACCAGTAACCCTACCACTTTGGGAGGCCGAGGCGGAAGGATCACTTGAGGTCAGGAGTTCGAGACCAGCCTGGCCAACATGATGAAACCCCGTCTCTACTAAAAATACAAAAAATAGCCGGGCATGGTGGCGTGCGCCTGTAATCCCAGCTACTCAGGAGGCTGAGGCAGGAGAATTGCTTGAACCCAGGAGGCGGAAGCTGTGGTGACTCAAGATCACGCCACTGCACTCCAGCCTGGGTGACAGAGCAAGACTCCATCTCAAAAAAAAAAAAAAAAAAAAAAAAAGGTAATCACCCATGGGTACAAAAAAAATAGAAAGAATGAATAAGACCTAGTATTTGCTAGCACAATAGGGTGACTATAGTAAAAACCAATTTAATTGTACATTTAAAAAAAACTAAAAGAATCTAATTTTTTGCAACATAAAGGACAAATGTGTTGCAGGAAGTCAGGGACCCCAAACTGAGGGACCGGCTGAAACCACGGCAGAAGAATGTGGATTGTGAAGATTTCATGGACATTTATTAGTTCTCCAAATTAATACTTTTATAATTTCCTATGCCTGTCTTTACTGCAGTCTCTAAACACAAATTGTGAAGATTTCATGGACACTTATCACTTCCCCAATCAATACCTTGTGATTTCCTAGGCCTGTCTTTAATCTCTTAATCCTGTCAGCTGAGGAGGAGGTATGTCACCTCAGGACCCTGTGATAATTGTGTTAACTGCACAAACTGTAGAGCATGTGTGTTTGAACAATATGAAATCTGGGCACCTTGGAAAAAGAACAGGATAACAGCAATTGTTCAGGGAATAAGAGAGATAACCTTAAACTCTGACCACTGGTGAGCCGGGCGGAACAGAGCCATATTTCTCTTCTTTCAAAAGCAAATGGGAGAAATATCGCTGAATTCTTTTTCTCAGCAAGGAACATCCCTGGGAAAGAGAATACACGCCTGGGGGTGGGTCTATAGACGGCCCCCTTGGGTATGGCCGTCTTCTATGGTCGAAACTGTAGGGGTGAAATAAACCCCAGTCTCCCATAGTGCTCCCAGGCTTATTAGGAAGAGGAAATTCCCACCTAATAAATTTTGGTCAGACCGGTTGCTCTCAAAACCCTGTCTCCTGATAAGATGTTATCAATGACAATGGTGCCCGAAACTTCATTAGCAATTTTAATTTTGCTCTGGTCCTGTGGTCCTGTGATCTCGCCCTGCCTCCATTTCCCTTGTGATATTCTATTACCTTGTGAAGTACGTGATCTTTGTGACCCACACCCTATTTGTACACTCCCTCCCCTTTTGAAAGTCCCTAATAAAAACTTGCCGGTTTTGCAGCTTGTGGGGCATCACGGTACCCACCGACATGTGATGTCTCCCCCGGACGCCCAACTTTAAAATTTCTCTCTTTTGTACTCTGTCCCTTCATTTCTCAAACTGGCTGATGCTTAGGGAAAATAGAAAAGAACCTACGTGACTATCGGGGCAGGTTCCCCGATACAAATGTTTATGGTGATGGATACCCCATTTACCCCCCTGATGTGATTATTATACACTGCATGCTTGTATCAAAATATCTCATGTAACCTACAAATATATACACCTACTATATACCCACAAAAATTTTAAAAAGAGAAGGAAACATCAAATAAACCAGCTTTCTGTTAAAGGGAATATTTTTATTTCTTCTTCTTTTTTTTTTTTTTTTTTTTTTTTAAGAGACGAGGTCTCACTTTGTTGGCCAGGTTGGTCTCAAACTCCTGGTCACAAACAATCCTCCAGCCTCAGCCTCCCAAAGTGCTGGCATTACAAGCATGAGCCACCATGCCCAGCTTAAGGGGGATATTTTTATAGAGCATCTTGCCCTGGTTCTGGAATTCTCTGTAGATAATACAGTTAACAGATATTCCCCTAAGTGATTAAGAACCTTTCCATTTGACTGATTTTTCAGAAAAGTTTACCTATGTAACCTCAGTGGGTAGCACAATGCCTGACACATCTTTGAAGCTCAAATGTCTCTGAGGTAAAACTTGGTGGGGAGGAGGTAAGAGTAAACCAATAATCTATAAACCTGTATATAAACCTGTAAAAACAATCAACAAAGATTAAGTCTTCAAAACCTTGAGCAAAAAAAGCAAATTAGAAGTAAACACAGTGTATATAAAATGAATAAAGTTTAGGCCGGGCGCGGTGGCTCACGCTCAGCACTTTGGGAGGCCGAGGCAGGCGGATCATGAGGTCAGCAGATCGAGACCATCCTGGCTAACACGGTGAAACCCCATCTCTATGAAAAAATACAAAAAATTAGCCAGGCGTGGTGGTGGGCGCAAACCCAGGAAGCGGAGTTTGCAGTGAGCCGAGAGTGCAGCACTGCACTCCAGCCTGGGAGACAGAGCGAGATTCTGTCTCAAAAAAAAAAAAAAAAGTTTAAGTGCAAGGCATACTTATGGATATAATGCATATATAGTAAAAGTATACAGAAAAGAAAAGGAATGATAGGGTAGAAGACAGAGAATGTCTTCCATAAGGATTCAACTATAGTAGCAATGTCCCCGTTTGGACAGTAGGTAATGAGTACACCTTTTTAAGTGTCTTAAACATTTCATCTTTTTTGAAATAGCTGGCCTATCTGGATGAAAATGAACTAATTTTATTAAAGGAAAATATCAAGAAATAAAACAATCTTCTAGAAATGGTTCCAGGATTCCTTTTCTTAGACATTATCTATTAAAGAGCAATTCTAAAATTTTTCCTATATGATCTAAAGTTTCTACCAATACTCTGTCTATTCTTTCCTTTTTAAAAAAACTAAGGAAGTTTACAGAATGTTGTTTTTAAAATATTAGAAAACACATGTACAGTTGGCCCTCCATATCTGCAGGTTTAATCTGCAGATTCAATCAACCAGGAATTGAAAATATTCATTTCAGGGGAGAAAAAAAATACAGAAAATGTTATATTGTTGCTGACATGTACTATGTACCTAGTTAGGTCTAAGATAGTTGCGTATGTACTAAACATGTACCGGCTTTCTTTTTGGTCATTATTCCCTAAATACAGTATAACAACTATTTACAGAACACGCATTGCATTAGGTATTATTAAGTAATCTAGAGTTGATTTAAACTATATAACAGAATGTGCATAGGTTATATGCAAACACTATGCCATTTTACTTAAGAAACTTAAGCATCCTCAGATTTTGGTATGGGGTGGGGGTACGGAGTTATCCTGGAGCCAATCCCCAGAGGACACCAATGATGACTATATATAGAAAAGATGTTGAGAATGAAATGTTTCGCCTTCTCATAACTGTGACATATTTTAGATGCCTATGAGAGACACCAAAAATTCAGCTTAATAAAGATTCTCATCTAATTCAACCAACAAACATTTATTGAAAACCAACTATGAAGCCCAGCGTGGTGGCTTGCGCCTGTAATCCCAGCACTTTGGGAGGCTGAGGCGGGAAGATCACTTGAGGTCAGGAGTTCGAGACCAACCTGGCTAACACGCTGAAACCCCATCTCTACTAAAAATACAAAAAAAATTGGCTGGGCGCAGTGGCTCATGCCTGTAATCCCAGCACTTTCAGAGGCCGAGACGGGCGGATCACGAGATCAGGAGATCCAGACCATCCTGGCTAACACAGTGAAACCCCATCTCTACTAAAAATACAAAAAAAAATTAGTCAGACGTGGTGGTTAGCGCCTGTAGTCCCAGCTACTCGGGAGGCCGAGGCAGAAGAACAGCGTGAACCCGGGACGTGGAACTTGCAGTGAGCCAAGATCGTGCCACTGCACTCCAGGCTGGGCGACAGAGTGAGACTCTTGTCTCAAAAAATAAAATAAAATAAATAAAAATAAAAATAAAAATAAAATTAGCCGGGCGTGGTGGCAGGCACCTGCAATCCCAGCTACTCAGGAGGCTGAGGCAGGAGAATCACTTGAACTTGGGAGGCAGCGACTGCAGTGAGCTGCGATCGTGCCACTGCACTCTAGCCTGGGCGACAGAACGAGACTCTGCCTCACACACAAAAAAAAAAAACCTCCAGGTGCAATGGCTCACGCCTGTAATCCCACCATTTTGGGAGGCCCAGGCGGGCAGATCACCTGAGGTCAGGAGTTCGAGACCAGCCTGGTTAACATGGTGAAACCCAGTTTCTGCAAAAAATTAGCTGGGCGTGGTGGCACGCGCCTGTAATCCCAGCTACTCGGGAGGCTGAGGCAGAAGAATCGCTTGAACTCGGGAGGTGGAGGTTGCAGTGAGCCGAGATCGCACCATTGCACTCCAGCTTGGGGGCAACAAGAGAGAAACTCTGTCTCAAGAAAAAAACAAAAAAAAGAAAGAAAGAAAGAAAAAGAAAAAAGAAAACCAACTATGTGCCTATATTCCAGTCTAACCAACTTTTTTTTTAATGTAGGAAGATACTCCACCTACTCTCCTATAGTTTTTTGTTTGTTTGTTTGAGACCGAGTTTTGCTCTTGTTACCCAGGCTGGAGTGCAATGGCGCGATTCCGGCTCACTGCAACCTCCGCCTCCCGGGTTCAAGCGATTCTCCTGCCTCAGCCTACCGAGTGGCTGGGATTACAGGCGCCCGCCACCACGCCCAGCTAATTTTTTGTATTTTTAGTAGAGACGGGGTTTCACCGTGTTGGCCAGGCTGGTCTTGAACTCCTGAACTCAGATGATCCGCCTGCCTCCACCTCCCAAAGTGCTGGGATTACAGGCGTGAGCCACCGCACCCAGCCCTCTATTATAGTTTTTAATTTTTTTTCTTTTGACCCAATAGGGAAGGAGATACGGTTCTAAATATATCATTTTAGAACAGATCCATTTCACTAAACGAAATTCATGTGATAAACAAGATAGGACAAACTACGGCGTAAGCAGTCTTTTTCATTTTTTATCCTTTTTCTGTTATATTTTATCTAACAACCTTGATCCATGACAATGTGAAAAAAAAAGACAATAAGTTTTCTTCTATGTGACTTACAGCAACATAGCAAGTATGTTACGATATTAAATATTTTATTTTCTAACCTTTCAAAATTAAGAACTTATGAATAAATGAGATGACTCTCAGAATATGAACAGAAAAGTCTACTTCTGAACATAAAAATGTAATCAGAAACAATGTTTCCACAGAATAAGATGTAAAGGTATCTGAGAAAAGAGCATGAGGAAGAAAAGTGTGGAAACGGTAAAAAGCAAGCATATGTAACGGATAAATTTCCAGTAGTATGAAAACAAAACTGTCAGTAGGAATAACTGACAGCTTAATGTGACTCCAAAATAAGACTTTAAAATTTTCTCTGAAATTCAGCACTAGAAGCAGCTTGTTAAAGAGAACAGGTCACCAGTGAATTAAGAATCAGGAGACTATGTATCCTTGGGCAAATCCACTTAATTCTCTTGGGCTTCAGTTTCCTTATCTGTAACATGAATCTGGGGAGGTAATCAATACCTGTATGCCCCCTTCGAAAGGTGTTCTTTCCATAATTCTGTATAAGAAATTAAAATCTATTCTCAGACATACAATCATAGCTCCACGATTGTTTTGTTTCAATTTTCATTTGCATCACTTTTTAACATTTTATAAACACATCTCTTCCGATTTCAGAGCATCTAGTCTATAGCAAGCCATTTCGGCTAGCAATTAATCAGTTCAAGTCTGGATGCCAATTTTATTTATTTATTTTTAATGTGAGGCATCCCATCTTTTCCAAACCCTAAGAAACAATGCCTAATCAAGCACCAATTTACCACACATAATGCCCTACAAAAAAGCTGACAAAATTATAATCAGTTCATTCTCTGACTATGCTTCACGCATATTAGCAAGGAATGACATCTAACAAGTCACAACTTAGTGATGAAAACTTGCTGGACCAGAGAACAGCTCCAGGGAAAGCGGCAGGGAGAGGTGGTCAAAGGGAAACAAGGAGGAGAATATCGGCACCCGGATCCGGCTAGACAAGCTGGATGGCAGGAAACGGGTAGGTACTTCCCAGGCCAGGTAGGAACTGGACGCCGGGTCGAGGTAGGCTGTGTTTACACCCCCTCCCACCTCAGCGGCCCCGACCTTCAGGAAACCCCGGGGGTCTCCACCAGGCTGGTCGCGCCCCTCCAATGCTAGTCAGCTGGGGCTCAGGGGCAAGGCGAGAAGAAGCCGTTGCTGCTGACAGGCTCGCAGCCCAGGGCTTCGGCAGGCAGGTACCACCAGCAGACCCCACCCGCCCCTCACGCCTACCCCTGGGTCGGAGCTCCGCAGGCCTCACGGCGGCCGCCACCGCCTCAGCCAAATTGAGGGGCTGCAGCTCCGGAAGAGCAGGCCGGGCACCAGTGCCCCAGCCCGCCCGCCTGCCGCCTCGGCCCAACCTCCCCGCAGTGGCGGCCAGCTTCCGGGCGCAGCACTGCTCGGCACCTAGTTGCCCGACAAGAAAAGTGCAGACATGGTACCTGCGCCTTGGTGCCCGGCCTGTTCCGCCTCAGCACTGCCGTCCCCTCCGCCATGACCATAGTGCCAGCGTCTAGGCGGCTGGAGTCGGTACCCGGATGTAGGGACGGCAGCCTGCGCGGGGGGCGGGGCAGAGCGGCGCTCTGCGTCTGGGAGGAGGAGCGGCAGCTGACGGAACAGCTGCAGCCTGCGCCGGGAGCCGTCCGGGTAGAAGCGGGCTAGGCGGAGGGAGAGGGCGAACGAGGAACAGCCGGACGGCGTCGGGTGGCTACTGGCAGGGACTGAGGCACCGGAAGGCGGGCGCCACGAGCCTCTTTGCGAGGGCTGCGGGGCGGTTTGAAAGGTCGTGATCGCAGCGACCGCTGCGGCAGTGTGCACGGCTGCGTTGCACGTTGGTATGGGCTCTCGTTAGTTACACGGGAAGAACGAACTTCGTATAGTGGCGACCGTTTCAGTAAACCCACCTGCAAGCAAATACTTAGAGAACCGTAATTCTGTCCCAGAAGCCACCTAAGGAATCAGGGTAGAAAACAGGCCAGCAGTCTTGGCAAATTCTATAGAACCTGCGTGAAATCGACCCAATCTGAAATCAGACGGGGGATTTGAGTGTCAGTGTTATTTACGCCATCCGGCGACTTCAAAGCCAAGGACTTTTTCAATGACAAGTTTGTTTACGTAGATAAAAGACGCAGATGTCAATTATGTGAGATGAAGAGTGGACATCTGGTTTTGTGCGTTAGGCAGACAGATTTAGCTCGTGTTTTTCAAGTCAGAAGCAGGAGGAGGAAATTAGTAGTCCTTGACAGGTGGTGAGGGTTTTACATCTTACAGGATTCCACATTTCCTTTGTTGCAAATTTTAAGTGTTCTCTCTTAAGAAACCACAGCATTTTCGCAAACTTTTTTTCCTGCTTAGAAACCTTGAATCTTTTATCTGGGGTGAGGGAGGCCTTGGGATAGCAGATGGGAAGACAGTTCAAAAAGTAAAAAACGCATACAGTAGCATGATTTCCAAAAGAAGAAAACATCAAGTGTCCCTAGATAGAAGGTGTATTGAGAATGCTGAGGGAAGGGCCATGTAACAGCTTCCAGAAATGGAATTTGAGAGGAGAGGAGAGGTTGAGTGGGTCTCTAGCTGAGTAATTGTCAGTGACTTAGAACTAGGCATTGAAGGGTTTAACAACAGGAAGTTGGTTCTCTCTGGAAGATGTATTGACTGGTAACTCTTCAAGAATAGGGACTTAATTTTGCCCTCCCAGAACCAGCGTCTACATATGAAAAGATTATTCGTTCAACAGATACTCATTAAGCCCCACTATATGGTAGGCACTAATGTACAAGTATGATAAGGCTCAGTCCTTCACTACAAATTGCCTTGACTCCAGCAACAGAGACGTGCAAATCACAAATTCTTATACAGGTTAAGTACCCCTCATCTTAAAGTTTGGGACCAAAACACTTTCAGATTTCTGATTATTTTGGATTTTAGAATATTTGCATATACATAATGAGATTTCTTGGGGATGGAACCTAAGTT
The DNA here is from genome assembly GCF_000001405.40 of Homo sapiens. Classification (NCBI taxonomy): domain Eukaryota; kingdom Metazoa; phylum Chordata; class Mammalia; order Primates; family Hominidae; genus Homo; species Homo sapiens. The sequence continues at coordinate 197,514,612 of NC_000002.12, read as the reverse complement.
TAAATGTGAAATGCATTTGTTTCCTATACACCTTACACACATAGCCTGAAGTTACTTTTATACAATACTTTAAATAGGCCGGGAGCGGTGGCTCACACCTGTAATCCCAGCACTTTGGGAGGCTGAGGGGGGCAGATCACTTGAGGTCAGGAGTTCCAGACCAGCCTGGCCAACATGGTGAAATCCCATCACTACTAAAAATACAAAAATTAGCCAGGCGTGGCGGCAGGCGCCTATAAAACTTCAAATAATTTTGTGCGTGAAACAAAGTTTTGACTGCAACCGGTCACAGAAGGTCAGGTATGGAATTTTCCACCTGTGGCATCATGTGGATGTTCAAAGTTTCAGATTTGGGAGCATTTCAGATTCTGGACTTTTCAGATTATGGATGCTCAACTTGTATTAAATGCAACGAGAGCCTAGGACAAGTGACACGTAAATGTTGCCTCCCTTAGAGAGATGGGTTGGGTCTATGAGATAGCAGAGTCCCAGGGAGGCCTCTTGGTCTATAGATAACTCGCCTCACTTACTGCAAGGATTACGTTTACATTTCCCAGATTGTGTGATATTTCCCTGAGCTGTAAATAGTCACCTATAGTTGAATGGAATCATCTTCACTTTCTCTTAATTCCAGATTTGTTAAACTGTTTCAACCCATCTGAAACCAACAAAAAACGTGAATGAGTAGGTGTTAAATTCGGGAACAAAATGCACATTCGTTGTTTTTGAAAAGTCCAATAAAGTTGCATTCTGATGTCAACCCTGGCCTTGTTCATAGGAAGGACCTTGTTCTTTAGGGATAGAATGTTTCTAGCTCATAACCTTCACATTTTCATTCCTCTGTCAGCCTGTAGATTACGTACCTCCAAACAAGACAAATTTTATAACTAGGGTTAATTTGTCCGGGGTAGGAGGAGAGAGAAAAGAAAAACAAAAAGCATGATCAACAATAACAGTTACATGAAATACTTGAATATTTCAGGTAAAGGAGGAGTGGAGTGATCTGTTTAAAGGCAATATGCACCAGTAGGAATAGCTCTGGACTGGGATTCGGAAAATCTAGATTCTCTTGCCTGTTAACTGTTAAGACATTGAACAAGCTATCAAATAAATGTTTCTTCATGTGTAATGAAGATTGTGCATAGCAGTTCTTTCCCTCTGCCCCATAAAGTATGAAAGCAAGCATAAAATTAAATATGGAACCTTGAAGCTTTAGAAGAAAATATTTTATAAAGCCAAAGTATCATAAGTAATTTCAAATTATCCATGAGCTTCAAATCATTGACACATTAAAAAAAATTATCCAATAAAAATTCACTTTGGGGAATTTTTAAATCCAAATAAAAGAGTTAATGCAGGCCATGTGCGGTGGCTCAAGCCTGTAATCCCAGCACTTTGGGAGGCCGAGGTGGGCGGATCACGAGGTCAGGGGTTTGAGTCCAATGTGCCCAACATGGTGAAACCCCCGTCTTTTCTAAAAAAAAAAAAAATACAAAAATTAGCTGGGCACAGTGGTGTGCGCCTATAGTCCCAGCTACTCAGGAGACTGAGGCAGGAGAATCACTTGAACCCGGGAAGCGGAGATTGCAGTCAGCCGAGATTGAGCCACTGCACTCCAGTCTGGGCAACAGAGTGAGACTCCATCTCCAAAAAAAAAAAAAAAAAAGAGTTAATGCATATTATGTGCAAGGCACTGGGCTAAGTGCTGAAAAACATGAAGATATATAAGACAAGCTTTCCTCAAAGAGCCTTGAAATTAATGGGAAAGCATCTTATGTAGATTACTACAGTACAAGGCTGAACGCCTTAAGTATTGAAGCAGCCCCTTTCACATGCTCTTTGCAAACAGCCTCTGATCTTGCTCAGTGTTCTTCTCTCATGCTATGACCAGGGAAAGGTAAACCCATATCTAGCTGAGGGATAAATTCCTGTTGGCCTAAGTGTGAAAGGGCCAGCCTCTGTGGTTCACACCTGTAATTCCAGCACTTTGGGAGCCTGAGGTGAGAAGATTGCTTGAGCCCAGGAGTTCAAGACCTGCCTGGGAAACATAGTATAACCCCCCCCACATACACCCCCATCTCTACAAAAAAATACAAAAATTAGCTGGGCATGGTGGCACACACCTGTAGTCCCAGCTACTCAGGAGGCTGAGATGGGAGGATTGCTTGACGCTGGGAGTTCAAGGCTGCAGTGAGCCATGATTGCACCACTGCACTCCAGCCTGTGTGACAGAGTGAGATCCTGTCTCAAAAAAAAATAAAACAAAGAAAAGAAATGTGAAACGATGTAATGAAGCACTTTGGAGAAAGATTTACTTGCTCTTCAGAAGATACCAAAAGAGATGCTCTCTTTTTTCTGCCAATGGACATCACCCAATATGGGCCTGCAGCAGCCATTCTGGCTTAAAGGAAGCCAGTCTAAAAGCAAAGTTGGCACACTGTGAATGATGTATGTAGTTGTCATGTGTCTTAAAGTGTGGATAGCATTTATGTGCAGAGCTACAGGAGATTTCATTACAAGCCGAGCAAAGTTGAGGCAGCAGGGAAGCATGGGAATGTATATTCACAGTTGAACAAGTCAGTGCCTATGTATGGTTTCATACATCTTCAACGTATTATTTGAACATTATTCTCTGTCTGTTTTTTTGTTTTTTTTTTTTCTTGAGACAGAGTCTCACTCTATCGCCAGGTTGGAGTGCAGTGGCGTGATCTTAGCTCACTGCAACCTCCACCTCCCGGGTTCAAGCAATTCCCCTGCCTCAGCCTCCAGAGTAGCTGGGACTACAGGCGTGCACCATTATATTTTAGTAGAGACGGGGTTTCACCACGTTGGCCAGGATGGTCTCGATTTCCTGACCTTGTGATCCACCCGCCTCGGCCTCCCAAGTGTTGGGATTACAGGCGTGAGCCACCACGCCCAGCTTTTTTTTTTTTTTTTTAAGAGATTGTCTCACTTTGTTGCCCAGGCTGGTCTCAAACGTCTGGCCTCAAAGGATCCTCCTGCCTTGGCCTCTCAAAATGCTGGTATTACAGGTGTGAGACACTGGGCTTCACCCTTTTTCTTCCCCTTTGAGACAGTGTCTTATGCTCTCACCCAGGCTGGAGTGTAGTGGCATGATCACCACTCACTACAGCCTCAACCTCCTAGGCTCAAGTGATCCTCACTTCAGCCTCCTAAAGTGCTGGGATTACAGGTGTGAGCCACTGTGCCCAGTCTGTCTTTATTTTCTTGATAACACCAATCTGTATCTAAAATCATGCTATTAATTTAGTTGTTTACTGTGTGCTTCCCCGATCTTATTCATCCCTGTATATCCAGTGCCTAGAACAGTGCCTAGCCCATATTCAAAAAATGCGTGACTTAAAAATACTATAATAAACTAGCCTTTTGAACTGACATTCAAGCCAGGTAAGTAAATAACCATTGATGTTTTTCCAAGTCATGTCTTCAGGCTAAATGAGACTGAAAGGGCATTTCGCAAGCGAAATTTTAAGTGTCTTAAAGACTTAGGCTTAATCTATAAGATGGTAGGGGAATTTTAAACATTTCTTATATCTTTTAACAGGAAAATCTACAGATGGAGCCAAAATCAAAATCTGTTGTTTTTTTTTTAAAGAAAAACCCAAACTATAAAAATACCTAAAGAAACCGTGGAAGAAACTTTAAGTTTTGGAGAAGACTTTTCAGAGTTTAACGTCATACCCAGAAGGCATAAAGAAAAACATTTAATAATTCAAATACACCAAAATGACTTTCTACAAGTGCAAGGCATAAACAAAATCAAAACCCAAATGACAAACTAGAGGGAAAAAAAACACAAAGAACTAGTTTCTTTAATAAATAGAAGTCATAAAAGATCAAGCACTCAGTCAAAAAATAGGCAGAAGATATTAAGTGAATAGGAATAACCAGTTAACAAGGGTAAGCAAGGTGGCTCATGCCTGTAATCTCAGCACTTTGAGAGGCTGAGGTGGGCAGATCACTTGAGTCCAGGAGTTCAAGACCACGCTGAGCAACATGGCAAAACCCTGTCTCTACAAATATTAGCTGGGCGTGGTAGCATGCATCTGTAGTCCCGGCTGCTCGGTAGGCTGAGGTGAGAGGATCACCTGAGCCCAGGATGTCAAGGCTGCAGTGAGCCTCTGATGGTGCCACTGCACTCTAGCCTGGGCGACAGACAAGAACCTGTCTCAAAAAAAAAAAGAGTCTTAAACACATACAATGCTCATCCTCATTCATCATGATAAAGAGTAAAATTATCAGATTGGCAAAATAAGAACTTTATAACATCCTGCATTACAGAGAGTAAGAAGAAAAAAAATACATTGCTAGTAGGACTGTTAATTCATGGACCTTTTGGCTGGGCGCAGTGACTCATGCCTGTAGTCCCAGCACTTTGGAGGCGGGTGGATCACCTGAGATCAGGAGTTTGAGACCAGCCTGGTCAACATGGTGAAACCTCATCTTTACTAAAAATACAAAAATTAGCCAGGCGTGGTGGCGAGCACCTGTAATCCCAGCTACTCAGGAGGCTGAGATAGGAGAATCACTTGAACTTGGGAGGTGGAGGTTGCAGTGAGCCAAGATCGTGCCACTGCACTCCAGCCTGGGCAATAAGACTGAAACTCTGTGTCAATAAATAAATAAATAAATAAATAAATAAATAAAACTGATGGGAGTTCAATGAAGGACAACTTGGAGATCCATGTCTGTATCTGCGTACATGCATGATTAAAATTCACAGACCCTTTGACGTAGCAGTTCTATAGGAATTTATCTTATAGATATGCTTGTTCAAATGTACATATTTAGTTATGCATACATTTATTCATTGCAGAAGTGTTTCTAATAGAAAAAGGTTAGAATAACTTAAATATCTATCATTGCTGGGGGTGCATCCTGAAATAAATTATGGCTTATCCATATAATTGAACATTATACAGTCTTAAAGTGTCTTTATCTATAGATTAATCCCAGAGACCAATTGTTAATGTAAAAAAGCAAGGTGTCAAATGTTATGTATGGAATATTATTTTTTGAAAAAGAAAAAATGAATATATATTTTATATACATAAGATATGTACATATATAGTACACATTTACATATATGTGTATATACATAAAACACCTTAAAGGAAGAATACAAAAATTATACTAGTTACTTCCAAGGATGGGACTGGGTGGCTGGGGGACAAGGATAGAGAGCATTCTTTTCAGTGTCTATAATTTTAAATTTTTACATGAACATATTATTTATTTTTAAATAAATAAAAGTTTAACAACAAAATAACAGGCTTGACTCAAAACGTTAAGAGGCAAATCTAATGCCCTTGTTTTGCAGTTCATTCATAAGCTAAGAGGGGTTAGGTAATTTGTCAAATGTAGCAGAACTAGTATGTAAGCAACACAGGACAAGAGCTGGGATTGATTGGGCTCTCTCATAGAGGTTGCTTGAGAGTAAAGGAAAATATACTTAAGCTGGGTGTGGTGGCTCATGCCTATAGTCCCAGGACTTTGAGAGGCTGAGGTGGGTGGATCACTTGAGGTCAGGAGTTCAAGACCAGCCTGACCAACATGGTGAAACCCCATCTCTACTAAAAGTACAAAAAAAATTAGCCAAGTGTGGTGGCACATGCCTGTAATTCCAGCTACTCAGGAGGCTGAGGCAGGAGAATCGCTTGAACCCGGGAGGCGGAGGTTGCAGTGAGTCGAGATCGTGCCATTGCACTCCAGCCTGGGCAACAAGAGCGAAACTCCTTCTAAAAAAAAAAGAAAAGGAAGGGAAGGGAAGGGATTGGATTTAAATACTCGTCACACAAATAAGTCAAAAGTTCAAAACTCCATTTTTGTGTGGGTGCAGTGAAAACAGTAATTAACTTGCTGGAGGAAGCATGACTTGGTATAACACTGAAGAACAAGCTGGCGGCTCATATAGGAACAAAGAACATACTCTCAGGCAGGTGAATAGGTACAGGGAGGACTTGCCTTATCAGATGTCAAACTTAAATATAAAGCTATTTACATTGAAAGCAATGTGATGGAATAGGGAGGTCAATGGAACAAATTATTAAACCCATGAATAGGCATATTTAGAAATTTCGTATATGATAAAGGCAACATCTCTGATTTCTGGGCATAGAGAGAAGGGAGGTCGGGGAGTGGTGTGCAGGGAGAAGAATGGATAATCCAGTAAGTAAAGTTGTGACAACAAGCTACTCATTGATTAAAAAAATAAAGTAGTCCTAGCTTCTCTGGAGGGTGAGGCAGGAATATTGCTTGAGCTCAGGAGAGCAAAAACTGCCTGGAGAGCACAGTGAGACCCCATCTCTGAAAAAAGAAAGTCAGATACATACACCATTCACTAAAAAACAAATTGTGTACCTGTAATTCCAGCACCTTGGGAGGCCAAGCAGGGAGGATCACTTGACTCCAGGAGTTTGAGACCAGTCTCGGCAATATAGTGAAACCCAGTCTCTACAAAAAATACAAAAATTGGCTGGCTGCAGTCACTCACGCCAGTAATCTTAGCTCTTTGGGAGGCCGAGGCAGGAGGATCACCTGAGGTCAGGAGTTCAAGACCAGCCTTGCCAACATGGTGAAACCCCATCCCTACTAAAAATACAAAAATCAGCTGGGCGCAGTGGCGGGTGCCTATAATCCCAGCTATTCAAGAGGCTGAGGCAGTAGAATCACTTGAACCCGGGAGGCAGATGTTGCAGTGAGCCGAGATCGCACCACTGCACTCCAGCCTGGGCGACAGAGTGAGACTCCGTCTCAAAAAAAAAAACAAAAAACAAAAAACAAAAATTAGCAGGGCATGGTGACATGTATGTGTAGTCCCAGTTACTCAGGGGGCTGAGGTGGGAGGATCAATTGAACCTGGGAGGTCAAGGCTGCAGTGAGCCATGATAGCACCACTGCACTCCAGCCTGAGCACTAGAGGAAGACCCTGTCAAAAAATAAAAAATTACCCACGCGTGGTGACACAGGCCTGTACTTCCAGCTACTCTGGAGGCTGAAGTGGGAGGATTGCTTGAGCCCAGGAGTTCGAGGCTGCAGTGAGCTATAATCACACCACTGCTCTTCAGCCAGATAGACAGAATAGGGCTCTGTCTCAAAAAAAAGAAAAATATCCCAGCACTCCGGGAGGCCGAGGCGGCGGATCACGAGGTCAGGAGATCAAGACCATCCTGGCTAACATGGTGAAACCCGTCTCTACTAAAAATACAAAAAAATTAGCCGGGCGTGGTGGCAGGCGCCTGTAGTCCCAGCTACTCAGGAGGCTGAGGCAGGAGAATGGCATTAACCCGGGAGGCGGAGCTTGCAGTGAGCCGAGATCGTGCCACTGTGCTCCAGCCTGGGCAACAGAGTGAGACTCCGTCTCAAAAGAAAAAAAAAAAGAAAAAAAATTATTTCTTTAGCAATTCTGCTAGGCAGGCATCACAATAGGACTGCTTCTGTGGTTCAAAAATTCTCTTATCCTTCTGATTTAGTAGGTTTGGATGAGGCCCTGAAATTTTAAGTTTACCAGGCAATTGCAAAGATGAACCAAGCTTTGTGAACTATTACCTTAGATATCAAAACTAATTTGCTGGGTCTTAGGAAAATAGCATTGGAGAATAATGGGAAAGCCATAGCCTTTGAACAGATTCCTTACTCTACAATATATTAGCCACATGTCCTTGGAACGATTTCTTATCTCTTAAGTCAAGGTTTCTCATTGGTAATACAGAAAAATCTGTGCTCCCAAGATTATGATGAGCAAAGCATATTATCTAGCTGTGCGTGAGTAGAGTATGAAATTGATAATCCACTTAGACAATATAAGAAATAACTTTTAGGCATAATTCCAGTATCGAAGTTTGACAAAAAGTAAGCTTTAGTACACCAAAGGCAGTAACACGTGCATAAACGTAAATATACATATAGTGGAAGTACCTACTACTTTACAGATGGGAAGATGATCAAAAGTTGAGATCATTATTCCATGCCATTTAAAACTTTAAATTTTAATTCCTCTCAAAATAAATACGGGACACAACCTTTAAAAGACATTATCAGACTAGTTTATGGATAATTAAACCTAGAAAATAAGTTTGACTACTAAGACAGCTGGTAGCTGATAGTTGAGTTTAAGGGTTGGTAATCAATTCTAGCGTAGGATTCTTTTTTTTAAAGACAGGGTCTCATTCTGTCACCCAGATTGCAGTGTGGTGGCACAATCTCGGCTCACCAGAGCCTTAACCTCCCCACCTCAGCCCCTTGAGTAGCTTTTTGTATTTTTTGTAAAGACAGGGTTTCACCATATTGCCCAGGCTGTCTCGATCTCAAGAGATCTGCCCACCTCGGCCTCCCAAAGTGCTGGGATTACGAGCACAAGCCACCGCACCCAACCAAATTCTAGTGTAGTATTATTGGGTTTGAATCTTAAGTCTTCTCCCTAGCTGCTACAGCTATATCAAGCTATTTATCCTCTGCTTTGACTCAGTTTTGTTAAATTCAACACATGGTGTACTAGGAACTTAAGTGACATACATCATTTGGTACTACCCATTCCCCATACCACAGTGGGTATCACCAGGATTAATTGAAATAATGTGTATTAAGTGCTTAGAATTAACAAAGTAGCAAAGGCTATAAAGGATCAAGTTTTAAACAGTAACATCTGGAGATGGACTGTGTCTGAATCCTGGCTTTGCCACTTACCACTGAGCAACCTTGGTTATTACTTAACCCCTTCTATGCCTTAGCTTTCTCATCTGCAGGTTGAGAACAGTACCTATCTCATAGGGTTGTTGAAAGATTAAACCAATTAATACATGAAAAGCACCTTCAACAGTAACCAGCACCTAGAAAATGCTCCGGTTAGCTATCCTATCACACAGTGCTCACCCCAGAGAGAAGGCACTCAGCCAATGTTAGCTATCATATATATATATATATATATATATATATATATATACACACACACACACACACACACACACACACACACACACGTATATACATGTGTGTATATATCACATATATCATATATGTATATGTATCATATATATACTTTTTTTTTTTCAAAACAGTCTATGTCACCCAGGTTGGAGTGCAGTGGTGCAATCTTAGCTCACTACAACCTCCGCCTCCCAGGTTCAAGCCATTCTCCTGCCTCAGCCTTCCAAGTAGCTGCAATTACTTGCCTTAGATTTTTTTTTTAACCAAATTATGTAGCAGTGTTAAGTTTTTAAAAATGAAATGAGCCGGGCGCGGTGGCTCACGCCTGTAATCCCAGCACTTTGGAAGGCCAAGGCAGGTGGATCATGAGGTCAGAAGATCGAGACCATCCTAACATGGCGAAACCCCGTCTCTACTAAAAATACAAAAAATTAGCAGGGCATGGTGGCAGGCGCCTGTAGCCCAGCTACTTGGGAGGCTGAGGCACGAGAATTGCTTGAACCCGGGAAGCGGAGATTGCAGTGAGCCAAGATCATGCCACTGCACTCCAGCCTGGGCAACAGAGAAACTGTCTCAAAAAAAAAAAAAATGTTCACTCCAGAATTAAATTTTCCTAAAATAAAACAAGACATAAAAAAACACTTGGAGGATACCAGAGCAACTCCAGTATTGCTAAGTGGCCTTAGATACTTGGTCACTGGATGCTGGGCAGCTTCAGGTGAAGATGGTGGTCACTGAGGCTCAGGTAACCATGGAGAGCTTCTCAGCACTGTTCTTTCCAATGCAATACAAAACAAAGCTTAAAAGACGCAATGTATCTGGGAAGTTAATTGGGGTGAAACTATGGATTACAGCTGAGCCAAGGGAAAAATGTACCACAGCTGAGCGGGGTGACCCTGGTGCGCTCACTGCTTTGTCATTGCTGCTGGCCGCCAAGGACGATCACCCCTCAAGGACTATGTGATGCCTTTTTCACGTTGTCTTTCAGAAACTTGATAGGACATCATATGCCTGATATTAAATGCCAGTATCAGGTTAGAAACTACACTGAAGTCTTCCTGTTTCTCATCTCAACTACATTGAGGTCACACTGACTAGGTGAGCATGTGGCTGTTTTCCAACTCTGACAAACTAGTGTCAAATAGAAAAGCATAAATATAACCCATCACCATTAAAAAAAAAAAATAAGGTAATGTCCTAACTTTAATGTACAGAAGTTGATTTTCCGAAATATTGACCAACTCTTAAAGTTCTAAAAAATAAAAAAAGCTGCCAGGTATGGTGGCTCACTCAGGCCTGTGATCCCAGCAGTCTGGGAGGCCAAGGCAGGCATATTGCTTGAGCCCAGAAGGTTCAAGACCAGCCTGGACAACATGGCAAAACCCCATCTCTACAAAAGATACAAAAATTAGCAGGGCATGGTGGTGCATGCCTGTAATCCCAGTCACTCAAGGAGGCGGACGTGGGAGGATCACCTGTGCCTGGGAAGAAGGTGGAGGCTACAGTGAGCCATGACAGTGCCAGTGCACTCCAACCTGGGTGACAAAGTGAGACTGTCTCCACAAAAAAAAAAAAAGAAAAAAATGGAAAGTATAATTCTTCCCTCAATTTACATGGTACTTGTGTACCTGGGAATTCAGTATACATTAAACCATGCAAAAAATGCTCTGTATTTATATAAATTGGAGTTAGGAATGAAGACCTGTATCCACAAAGTATTGAACACCTTAAGACCTGTAACTCGTTAGCTTGTTATATTTGAAATCTGAATGTTGCTGTGGTGGCTCACGCTTGTAATCCCAGCACTTTGGGAGTCTGAGACTAGCCTGGGCAACATGGCAAAACCTGTCTCTACTAAAAACACAAAAATTAGCTGGGCATGGTGGTGCACGCCTGTAATCCCAGGTACTCTGGAGGCTGAGGGAGGAGAATCACTTGAACCCAGAAGGCGGAGGTTGCAGTAAGCCAAGATTGAACCACTGCACTCCAGCCTGGGTGACAGAGTGAGAATCCGTCTCAGAAAAAAAAAAAAAAAAAGTAAATCCATGGCTTGGTATCAGTATCAATCATGTATTAATAAAGCTAAATTCAGTGTGAAAATGCACCTACGTAGAAAATCCTGTTTCCCAAAATTCTCTGCAGGTTACTTGAAAAACAGAAAAAAAGCATAAACTAGAAAACCCTAAAATCATCTTAAAATAACTAAAGATTAACCACTCATTTACATATTTTTATTTGGAAGTGTTTATATCAGTACAAGGAAACAATTTTGGAGACACTGGATGTCATTAGTTATCATTAGTTTATTATAAAAGAGAAATATGGAAATTATTTACATGACGAAAGATTTCAGAACTTCAGTGGAATGGGCAGCATCATGTTGATGCCATTTCAATAGTGACTTATTTCAGTCTACGTACTTTCCAAGAATGTCACCATCTCTAAATAGGAAATAATCCTGCAAGTGAAAAAAACCATTAGTTAAGACAACTAATTGCAAATATCTGACTTCTTTTTAGAATTATTAAGTTTACACACCTTGTCATCTAGAACTACTTTGGTGCCTCCATATTCTGGGAGAAGAACTTTATCTCCAACTTTCACGCTAACTGGTTGAATCTCTCCACCCTTAAAAAAGGAAGGATGTTTATTAGCAAAGATATCTAGTTCACCCAACATAAACAGTTAACTTTTAAATCACTACAACTAATGAAACATGGTCACTCAAATCCAATTATATTAAAAATATATTTCGTGGCTAAGTGATACGACTCATACTAGAATTACAGATCTTCACTCAAAAATACCACTGTAGTTACACTTTGAAATAATACACAGTGGCTTAAACTAAAACCTGACTCCAACGTAAAAGTTCAAGAAAATATTCTGGAAAAGCTAACTTTAGTTAACTAAAGCTAACTTTATAACTGTTAAATATTAACATAACTTATCAACTATATGAAATAAACCTGCAACAGTAGCCAGCACCCAGAAAATGCCATATACAAATGGTCATATTTTCCTTCTTTCAACATACAAAAATTTAAAGTTTTTTTGGATTTAGAACATACTCTTGTGATTGTTTTGTTCCCTCCAAAGAACAGATTTGGGGAAAGGGACTGCAGCTAAGTGTCCACTCCCCAAAGTCTTCCTATTCCTAACTCCATGACAGCTCCTCAGTAGAGCTTTCCTCCTCAGAAGCAACTAGAACAATGCAGTTAACATTATTTGGCCCCAACGGCGTTTACTGTGTATTTTGGCTGAGATCTTTAGAAGCCCGAGGCCTAAACAATTAACTGAGGAACATCTAAAACAGAGGTGTGCAATCTTTTGGCTTCCCTGGGCCACACTGGAAGAACTGTGTTGGGCCACACATAAAATACACTAACATTAGCAGTAGCTGGTAAGCTTAAAAAAAATTGCAAAAGAAATATCAGGTTTTAAGAAAGTTTAGGGATTTGCGTTAGGCGGCATTCAGAGCTGTCCCAGGCTGCAGATTGGACAAGACTGACCAACCTGTTCCTCTGGTAGGTATACAACCAGGTATACCAACTGGTTAAGATTAGGGCAATTTCAATGTGTTAGGGGTTAAACGAACAGTCCAAGTTTCCTCTCAATTCTTAAATGCCCCCTCATTTTACCTTGAAGCACATCTTTTGTATTTATTTATTTTGTAGACAGGAGGTCTCATTATGTTGCCCAGACTGATTTTGAACTCCTGATTTTGAATCCTGAGCTCAAACGATCCTCCTGCTTTGGCCTCCCAAAATGCAAGGATTACAGGTGTGAGCCACCACGCACAGCCTCTTTTGTCTTATTAAAAATTTAGAATGTAAGGCAAACACTGATCACACTAGGCTACCAAATTGCTATTGAGGGGATTTTTTTTTTTTTTTTTTGAGACAGAATCTCGCCCTGTCCCCCATACTGGAATGCAGGGGCGCCTTGCAACCTCGGCTCCTTGCAACCTCCGCCTCCAGGGTTCAAATGATTCTCCTGCCTCAGCCTCCCCAGTAGCTGGGATTACAGGCGCATGCCACCACACCCGGCTAATTTTTGTATCTTTAGTAGAGACGGGGTTTCACCATGTTGGTCAGGCTGGTCTTGAACTCCTGACCTTGTGATCCGCACACCTCGGCCTCCCAAAGTGCTGAGATTACAGGCGAGAGCCACCGCACCCGGCCTATTGAGGACAATTTTTAATACTCTGAAACTATCACATAAAATAAGCATCATAGCATTGGTCATATAAAATAAGCAACTTTATATTAGTCATTTCCCTTTAAGAAACAGATTAGAACCAAAGCAGTTAATGATCTTGAAAACGACATAAACTCTACTTAATAAGCGACTTTTAATACTCCAGAATTACTTCTTTTCCCTCCACTGCACACTATAAAAAATAGTTCCACTGCAGCTCCCATTTACCTTTCCTTTAGAACCCGATCCAACAGCGACTACTGTTGCTTGCAATACTTTTCCTTGAGATTTTTCTGGAAGCATAATGCCTCCTTTGGTTACAGTTTCAGCAGCACTCCTTTCAACCAATACTCGGTCAAAGAGTGGAAGAAACTTTCTAAACGCTTGTCCTGCCTGTAGGAAGAGAAATGTTTTGAAACAAAAACTAAATGTAATCACATTATCAACAGGCAACGCCACCGTGCTATACATCTCAACACGTTTTGGCTTTGAAAGTTAACACCAAACCTCAGCTTATTCGTTAAGGAAGCGCATTTGAATGTACTAACCAATATTCCAAGTTTAATTCCCGATTCCTTACGTCTGTTAGGGGTCGTTGTCGCTCCTCCGGTGAGCAACCAGACCAGCTTTAAGGTCAACCTTAGTTTATTCCAAGGTCAAATGTTTTCCTTCTTCAGGTTTTTCCAGAAATTTTCAGGAAACGCTGGGTCAAGCTCCCTGCCTGGCACCATGATTTTTACCCAAGATATTACACATCCACAAAGGCCCTGCAGAAGCAGGTGAGACGCTGCGCGTGCGCCCGGGTTCTCGCCCCCCTGCCTTACACACCGGCAGCACACGCGCGTGCAAAGAGCCCTGGGGGAGAAAAGGGTCGGGCGGGCCTTGCCGCTCCAAGGTGCCATCGGGCGCTGGTCACTGAGTGGCCACCAATCCCTCCCGCCCAGCCCAACAAAAGAGGGGCGTCAGGGATCCCCGTACGCCTCAGACAGGCCCGGGCCTGCAGGCCTCGGGGCCACGCGGGACTCACCATTACTCCCTCCGCCTCAGACTCGTACTCTGCTCTAGTGTAGCGCCGCAAAGAGACTCGCAGTCCGGCCCTGGCGACACGTGAAAAAATCACCCAGCGCGCAGGCGCGCTCGCCCCAGCGGTCGCCGCTAGCCCCCTCGCCCCTCCCAGGGAGGGAGGGCGGTCGCCCCGACGCGCACCGCGATTCGCCCCAAGGGCCCTGCGCAGGACGCTGACGCGAAGACTCGGAGGCGGAAGAAAAAAGGAGCTGTTTCTAGGCTTTTCTAGGCGCCCAGCCGAGGTGAAAGAACTACCCCTTCGTCCCCTCCCGGAAATGACGCGATTTGACCCTTGAGCCGTAGGGAGCGCGGCATTTTCTGGAAAGTTCTGGAACCGAGCGAGGCCCGGGAACTAGACTAAGCCGGCCGGAGAGGGCTGAGCGCGCTAGCACACCCTGCGCGGGTAGGGAGGGGCGGGGCTCGCGCGCAGGGTGTGCAGATTGCAGGGCCCGGGCTGACGGGAAGTGGGTGGGAGCTGCCTGCACACGCGGTGCCGCGGGGCGGGAGTAGAGGCGGAGGGAGGGGACACGGGCTCATTGCGGTGTGCGCCCTGCACTCTGTCCCTCACTCGCCGCCGACGACCTGTCTCGCCGAGCGCACGCCTTGCCGCCGCCCCGCAGGTACGCGGCCTTCCCGCACCACCTCCCCCCGGCTCCTGCGACCCCCGAGTGGGCCTTCCTCCTCTGCGGTCCAGCTGGAGGGTGCGGGCGGCGACAACCTGGAGTTCCGCACCGCGCCGCACCGCAGGCCCAGGCCTGCGGGTCCAGGCCTCGCGGGTCCATGCGGGTTCCATCACGTGCGACGCGGATCCTGGACCTCGGCTGGGCGCGGGAGGGACAACTCGTGGGGTTTGAATTTGGGGGATTGTAACCACTTAGGCCCGCTGGTGCAACCTGCGCCTGGCCGACTTCAGGGAACCGGGGAGGGTGGTGTACGTGAGGGAACCGCTTTTTTCCCCCGCAGGCAGCTGGGATACCGCGCCTCCAGTCTTGACCTTGCTGGGGGCGTTCGGAAAGAAGGACACGTGGGCTCGCGCCGAGTGGGCCGGGCCGCCGCCCCCAGCATCGCGGCCTTGCTGGTTGCTCTGATACAGTAGCCTTGGGTGGATCCATGGAGACACTTTGCTGAGCGGCTTTTTGCACCGTCAGGAATACTTTTAACTTCCCTGGTCACTTGGATTTGTAACTTGCCTCTCTCCGGCTGACTTGGTTTCTCAGGGGCCACAGTTGGAGTGGGTCTGCCCACAAGGCCGTTTTCGCGGTGAAAGATTAACTCGTTTTTGGCGGCAGGGATAGGTGGCCGTGGGGAAGGAGCCGCATGTGCTTTGTGCTGGTGCTATAGGTCAGGCGCCGGCCGGGGCGGCCTCTTTAGCTTGCGCTAGTGGCTGATGTTCCGAAGCTGCGGCGCCTTCCGTCATTCAGGCGTAGTGGCTGGCGGAGGTCAGCCAGGCTCAGCATCTCACGTTGCTTGCTCTGTTGCACAGGTGGGCATGTTTGTTCTGCAGCGCACCACGGGTGGTAGTTCTGATGATCTTTTTGCTTCCATCCCCAGAAATGCTTCGGTTACCCACAGTCTTTCGCCAGATGAGACCGGTGTCCAGGGTACTGGCTCCTCATCTCACTCGGGCTTATGCCAAAGATGTAAAATTTGGTGCAGATGCCCGAGCCTTAATGCTTCAAGGTGTAGACCTTTTAGCCGATGCTGTGGCCGTTACAATGGGGCCAAAGGTACCAGTATTTTTATTTTATTGTAATTACGGTATTATTAATAGCATTTTACTCACAAATAGTCGCACTGAACTATTCAACAGTACTTTCATCTCCATTTTTGAGAGAACTCAGTTTACATGTAAGAATTCTGAAGTATTGGTTAGCCTTTTTTTCTTAGACATGATCTTAAAGCTTAAACTGCTTCAGCCAGATTTTCGAAACTATTTTGTTCAATGTGTGATGTAATCAGGTAGTAACTTACAGCTCAAGGTGGATTCTTAAACTCGAGGTAGAATTTCGCTGGCTTAAGTTAAAATTTGGATCCTTTCCCAGTAGTTCATGCCAAGTGTAGAGAGAAGAGTTTAACTTATCTTCCATAATTCCTTAGGTATGTGCTTGTAGATGCTAAATTTTTTTTTGGTTTATTGTAGTAAAATGTACACAACATAAAATTACCATTAAGTGTGCACTTTGGGGACATCAATTACATTTATGTTGTGCAGTCATCACCACCATCCATCTCCAAAACTTTTTATATGGAAAAATTGTAACTTTGTACTCATTAGACAGTAGCTTCCCATTCTCTCCTCCACCCCAAGATGCTAGTTTTACCCATCGGTTTTCTGCTGTTCTCTTGTTCCAAAGCATATTTAAAATAAGTCTCATTTAATAGGGGTAATGTTTTGAGGAGGCCTTTGAAGGTGGTGTGCAGTCAAGTGGTGCTTCATTTCAGTTTGAAGACAGTTCAGATATCAAGTGATCCAACAACTGCCTAAAATACAACATTTGCACACCTCACAAATAGAAAGTAGCAGCTTTAGTTCAAATCCAAAGGATGGCCAATAATTGTGCCATGGTTGAAGTTTTATGTTGCGTGAACCTGGAAGAGCACGCTACTTGCCTTGATGGTTAATATTTTAGTTAAACGGATTTTAAAACAAGTCACATTACTTTAAAAGATAACAGGCACTAACTAAAGTATAAGTGATAGGAAGATTGTTTTATTCTTTGTCTTGTGTTCTTGTTCATTTTATAAGATGACAAGTTTTAGTCCCTAGGATTTTAATCTCCTAAATTACCTAGTTCAAAATTATGCTCTTGGCAGAGAATCAGGTCATTTTGTCTGTAGACAAAGAATGTCGATAAACTTGCCCTTGAGGTTCATGCTGCAAGACTGATAAAAATGACACAACTTACGTTGAGACTTTGAAGTAGTTGCTTTATTATGAAGACTGCTCATTTTTAAAAATGTAAATCATCCTTAGGGTATGTCTGATCCTGTTACATTTTTTTCTTCTAGGGAAGAACAGTGATTATTGAGCAGAGTTGGGGAAGTCCCAAAGTAACAAAAGATGGTGTGACTGTTGCAAAGTCAATTGACTTAAAAGATAAATACAAAAACATTGGAGCTAAACTTGTTCAAGATGTTGCCAATAACACAAATGAAGAAGCTGGGGATGGCACTACCACTGCTACTGTACTGGCACGCTCTATAGCCAAGGAAGGCTTCGAGAAGATTAGCAAAGGTGCTAATCCAGTGGAAATCAGGAGAGGTAGGAATGTCTGTTGTCACCACAGTGTTCTAAACTTCAGTGTGCTTTAAGGCATTGATTCCTTGGACCTAAGGAAAGTGTTAACTTGAGGAAATTAATCCTTCTCTCATTCCTCCTCTTGGCCTGGAGAAATCTTAAACTGGGTTTTCCTTTAGCAAGCTTGGCTGTATGGTGGGTAGGTACTGTTAGGTAATTTTGATATTTTACTTAGTTGGTTTCTTTTGTTTTTAGAGACAGGGTCTTGCTCTGTAGCCCAGGCTGGACTGCACTGGAACTCCTGGGCTCAAGCAATCCTCCTGCCTCAGCCTCCAAGTAGCTGGGACTACTACAGGCACTCACCACCATTCCTGGCTAATTTTTAGTTTAGTTTTGTAGAAAGTAAGACTAAATACACTGGATCATTCAGAATGTCAGAAAGTAATGTTTTCCTCAGTTTATTTTTTCTTAATAGCACACACCATGTTATTGGTTTGTGTTTTGTTAGTGCTTGTAACTAGAGTGCAACTTAATTAACAATTTGCTCCTCCTCATGAGGTTCATGGCAGTATAGACTTAAATTCTAGTCCCATGTTTGTCATTTATTAGCTGTGTGCTAAGACTTGGTTTTCCTATCAGCAGAATTGCTATGTATATCTAGGGTATGTTAGGGTTCAAACCAGGAACCCTCTTGTAAGTGAAGGTGGGGGGAGCTATTGGTAATTTTTTGTCAGAATTGGCATACTAATTTATTACTACATTACTAATGTATCATTACCTCATCTATTTCAGTGTTTATGGGCCAAGTGAATATACTTCACTAAAAGCAGTTTTACTGTAAATCACTAACAAGTATTAATTAAGGTTATGAAGAGGACTTACCAGCACCTTGCATTGGATTTTTTTTGAAGTAACAGTTCTCAAACAAGAGAGCTAGCACTATTCCCAATTGAGCAAAATGGGACTATTAAGACTGATGTAAAACAAAAATATTTTGTTAGTTCATAATACGTACTAAATTGAGGGGATTTCAGATAATTGACACCTGCAGAGGCATAGTCACAACAGATTCCTATCATTTAAGAACTGTACTTCTTGTTGAAAATAAGGGAGTGTTAGCCATTTTGGTCCTTTTTTGCATCATCTAATGGACATGAGAAGTGTCGTGGACCCTATTGGAAACAGCATGATTGGGTTAGGAATTTGCATAGGATGAGTTCAGTGGTGAGACTTTTGAAACTACACACATCTACCTTGTTTTAGTCCTATTTTCAAAATTTTGGCATTGTGAGATTTTATTTACTGTGTGAACCTAAAGTTACTGTTTAAGTACATGCCACGCAACTCTGTGTTATTAAGAAGCACTGTCTCAGAAGCTGTGTGTAAATTTAATATTAAGGCACTAAAGACCAAGCATAGGTACATGCCTGTAGTCCCAGCTACATGGGAAGCTGAGGTGGGAGGATTGCTTGAGCCCAGGAGTTCAAGACCACCTTGGGCAACATAGTGAGACCTTGTCTACAAAAATAAAAGAAGCTGAGCATGGTGGCTTGAGCCTGTGGTCTCAGCTACTCCCTTGAGCCCAGGATGTCAGGGCTGCAGTGAGCCATGATCTGTGCTACTGCACTCTAGCCTGGGCAGCAGAACAAGACCCTGTCTCAAAAAAAAAAAAAATTTTTTTTTTTAAGTTAAGGCATTAAAATATTTGTCACAAATCTCAAGATTTCTACTTGACATAGAAGCCATGAGAGAAATAAACATTGTAATGACATATATCGTTGAACTAGGTGTGATGTTAGCTGTTGATGCTGTAATTGCTGAACTTAAAAAGCAGTCTAAACCTGTGACCACCCCTGAAGAAATTGCACAGGTAAGGACTTAACATGTTACACGTTTTTTAAAAAAAATTTAATGGCATGTGTGATTTTTTTTTTCCCTTGATCACACCAATGTCAGAATAACAATACTACCCAATCATCAATATTAGAATCATTGTTTCTTACTGCTAAAACCTTTGAAAAGAATTATGACCATAATGGTTGTCATTTAGTTCTACATGTGGTTGTCATTTTAGTTCTACATGGCTGTAAAATGGATTCATATGATTGTGAAAATGTTCTTAGCCATTGTCAAAGGTGCATAAGTTTTGTCAGTTTGTAATGAAGTCAGCATTTTTAAACTTTTTGTTACAAGAATAGTTTTATGTATCATATTCTTCAAAACAATGTAGTCAAATAATGAATCGGAAAAGAGCAAAGAACCAGTACTTCATGAAAACTACCATAACGTAAATTCCCCTTCTCTCCCCTGGATGGAAGTATCAATTTGGAAGTTACTAGGAAAAGGTAAGGGAACTGACTGAGGACACTAGGCTTACCTTTTAATTTCGAAGAGTAACTGGATTATTTCAGGTTGCTACGATTTCTGCAAACGGAGACAAAGAAATTGGCAATATCATCTCTGATGCAATGAAAAAAGTTGGAAGAAAGGGTGTCATCACAGTAAAGGCAAGTGTGTTTGTATTTTTAAAGATAATTTTGAGTTATCTTATGATCAAAAGTTTGAGTTATCTGATGATCAAAACTGAATTTTTCAAACAGAAAAATTCTGTTTTAAAAACTGCTTTTTTTATTCCTTCATATGTAGTCTCAGCACATGTATAGAATAAAGTACTTACTGTGTTTTATGTGAATTAGCCTTTGCTGCATGAAATGAATCCATCCTAACTTAAATGATTATTCAAATAAGCACTTTTGGGATTTTTTGCAGAAGTGTAATTGGATGTCCTGGGCTGTTTCATACTCTACCCTGCATCTCTTATGGCCAGAGGGGTCTGTTTTTATTAATCTGGCCTGTAATTCCATGTTTTGTGTTCAATGAAATCCATATACCTAATTCTTTGACTTTTCATAGGATGGAAAAACACTGAATGATGAATTAGAAATTATTGAAGGCATGAAGTTTGATCGAGGCTATATTTCTCCATACTTTATTAATACATCAAAAGGTAAGAACAAATCAATAACTGAATTATTATTATTTTTATTATTTTAGACAGAGTCTCATTCTCTGTTGCCCCGGCTGGAGTGCAGTGGCATGATGTGGTGGCGCGTTGCTCACTGCAACCTCCGCCTTCCGGGTTCAAGTGATTCTCTTGCCTCAGTCTCCCAAGTAGCTGGGATTACAGTCACACGCCACCATGCCAGGCTGATTTTTGTATTTTTAGTAGAGATGGGGTTTCACCATGTTGGCCAGGCTGGTCTCTTAACTCCTGACCTCAGGTGATCCACCCACCTTGGCCTCCCAAAGTGCTGGGATTATAGGTATGAGGCTCTGTGCCTGGCCAATTTTTGAATTTTTTAATAGAGACAAGGTTTAGCCATGTTGGCCAGGCTGGTTTTGAATTCCTGGCCTCAAGTCATCTGCCTGCTTTGGCCTCCTGAAGTTTTTAAAATATACTTTCTAATATGTGTCAAACTATAGGTATTAGTTGGTGTCATCCTCTAAAAAATAAATGTATATATTCCAAAAGTTAATGCATATGAGAAATGAAGGAGGAAAACCAACTCACTGGTGAATTTTAAAGTGTATTGGAACCTTGGTTTCGCTTTTCATTTAAATGTATTGCAGTCATTTTTTGTATATTTTTGAAATCTTCATTATTTTTACAGGTCAGAAATGTGAATTCCAGGATGCCTATGTTCTGTTGAGTGAAAAGAAAATTTCTAGTATCCAGTCCATTGTACCTGCTCTTGAAATTGCCAATGCTCACCGTAAGCCTTTGGTCATAATCGCTGAAGATGTTGATGGAGAAGCTCTAAGTACACTCGTCTTGAATAGGTAATAAGCAGTGGTATTTGTTGATTTATATTTCTCGGTGAAAGACAGAATTATTTGTATTGCTGTTTGCAGTTTCCATCATGTGTACCTCCACATTTGATCCAGTTGGGTTTGTATCTAGAATTGTAATTGTGTAAATCAGGTGTGCTCTAATGTATCCTTATGGTTGTGTTTTTGAAGGAACCCCAAAGTCTTTACTATTTTGATCAGCTTTCTCATAGAATAGACTAATTTAGCACATGGGTACCTTTCTGTATTTTGCAAGTGTTTACAGTTGTTTTGAAGGCACATGACTGAATCTTGTATTTTTTTTTTTTGAGACAGAGTCTCACTCCCTGGCCCAGGCTGGAGTGCAGTGGCATAATCTTGGCTCACTGCAATCTCCATCTCCTAGGTTCAAACAGTTCTGCCTCAGCCTCCCAAGCAGCTGGGACTACAGGTGCGTGCCACCACACCTGACTAATTTTTGTATTTTTAGTAGAGACAGGGTTTCACCATATTGGCCAGGCTGGTCTCAAACTCCTGACCTCGTGATCCGCCCGCCTCAGCCTCCCAAAGTGCTGGGATTACAGGTGTGAGCCACTGCGCCCGGCCTTGTAATTTTTTTATTTTTTATTTTTATTTTTGGAGACAGAGTCTCTGTCACCCAGGCTGGAGTGCAGTAGTGCAGTGGCTCAATCTCAGCTCAAGCCTCCGGGGTTCAAGTGTCAATCTTGTTTTTTGTTTTGTTTTGTTTTGTTTTTTTAAGGTTTTTCTGGTTAAAAATATGTAAATTTTCAGAATATTATTTTGCATAGAACAGGGAAGTAAACAACTAACTTCCAAATAACTCAGAGCCAGGCATGGTGGCTCACAGCTATAATCCCAGCACTTGGGGAGGCACAGGCGGGTGGATCACCTGAGATCAGGAGTTCCAGACCAGCCTGGCCAACATAGTGAAACCCCGTCTCTACTAAAAATATAAAAATTAGCAGAGCATGGTGGCGTGTGCCTGTAATCCCAGCTACTCAGAGGCTGAGGCAGGAGAATCACTTGAATCTGGGAGGCGGAAGTTGCAGTGATCCGAGATTGTGCTGCTGCACCCCAGCCTGGGCAACAAAGCGAGACTCTGTCTCTAAATAAATAACTCAGATGTAAGTGTATTTCACCATCGAATATTTTTATTTATTTTGAGAGACAGACTCTGTCACCCAGGCTGGCCTGCGGCGGCACGATCATAGCTCACTGCAGCCTTGAACTCTTGGGGTCAAGCAATCCTCCTGCCTCAGCCTCCCAAGTAGCTGGGACTACACACTTGCACAAGCACACTTGGCTGATCTTTTAATTTTTTTGTAGAGACGAGGTCTCAATATGTTGCCTCAATATGTTGCCTAGGCTAGTCTTAAACTGTTGGTGAATCTTAAGTGATTCTCCCACCTCAGCCTCCCAAAGTGCTGGGATTACAGGCATGAGCCACTACCCTTGGCTGTGATCAAGTATTTAGTCTGTTGTTAAATGTTTACTAAATAGTCTGAAGTAGAGAAAATAGCACCCAATCTAAAATAAGGTGAGGTCTAGTCACTTATTTAAATCTACATTTTAAGCTATAGTTTACTATTAGTTTAAACTTTAAGACAGGTAATGTTCATGCTGCAGACAATCTAAGGGCATTATTAAAATGTTTGTTCTTCCTTATCTCAGAATTGAAGTATGTCAGAAGCAAGACTTTTCTTTCCATTTTGTTATAGTAGAAATGCATACATTAACAGGTACGTTTTAGACATTACACGTGCTCATCTGACCCAAAAGCTCTAATGAGCTGCCTTACCCTGGAATGTTTTTCTTAGCTTGGATTTGCTTTTTTGGAGGGATTAAGAAAAGACTTGGCTGGGCGTGGTGACTCATGCCTGTAATCCCAGCAGTTTGGGAAGCCGAGGCGGGTGGATCATGAGGTCAGGAGATGGAGACCATCCTGGCTAATACGGTGAAACCCCGTCTCTACTAAAAATACAAAAAATTAGCTGGGCGTGGTGGCGGGCTGAGGCAGGAGAATGGCGTAAACCCAGGAGGCGGAGGTTGCAGTGAGCCGAGATCTCGCCACTGCACTCCAGCCTGGGCGACAGAGCAAGACTCTGTCTCAAAAAAAAAAAAAAACACACAAAAAAAAGACTTGAGGCCAGAAAAAAACAAGCCTACAGAGTTTTCATTAAGCCATTTTACTGCTAGTTGAAAAGTGGGATATCCAGTTTACATAGCATATAGCTTATTCCTCTGATTTTTATTTGGGTCCTTAATAAAATAGACCAGCTGTCTTGAAGTTTGAACGTTGCTTCTGTTTCACAATCTGCTCTCAAATGGACATTTGATTACACATTCCAAGTATTCATTTACCTGGTAAAAATTTCAGGTGAGCTTAACAATACTGTCAGCTTTTTGTATAACATTTATAAAAGAAGTGAATTCAGAACATTGCTCATTCAAAACTCAGCATTAATATATGGAGATGTTTATTAAATGACCCTCAAATGTAATATTTAGTAATTACTGTTTTTCTACCATTCATAATAGTTATCACTGTATCCTATAACTTACTGTGATGTGATTTTTGCTGCTCGGCCTCCTGAGTAGTGGGGATTACAGGTGCCTGCTACCACATTTGGCTGATTTTTGTTATTTTCAGTAGAGACAGGGTTTCACCATCTTGGCCAGGCTGGTCTCGAACTCCTGACCTCGTGATCCACCTGCCTGGGCCTTGCAAAGTGCCGGGATTACAGGCCTGAGTCACCACGCCCGGCCAGGCCAACAGTTTATTAAGAAGGTAAACGGATATGGACAAGTATAATTAATAGAAAATAGCCTAAACTGTCTCAGATACTTCCTGTCTTAATTTGATCAAAAATTGCTAGGAAGCAAAAAAAAAACAAAAAAACACAAAAACCAAACCAGATTACTTAGGGAGTCCTAAGTAATCTAGTAACAGCTTGAGGGGAATTAAACAGATAGGCATTTTTATTTCATTTAAATCTTACTATCAACTATTCTTAACAGGCTAAAGGTTGGTCTTCAGGTTGTGGCAGTCAAGGCTCCAGGGTTTGGTGACAATAGAAAGAACCAGCTTAAAGATATGGCTATTGCTACTGGTGGTGCAGTAAGTAAAATAAATGTGATAATGGTTTGCTGAATGTTTATACTTGTCTGGAATTTATAGATAGTTTAACATTTCACAATTAGATACTACAACTATCTGTTTCTTTTGGCTCTTTGGAAGGTAGGGGTTGGATTAAATTCCCGTTAATTTGCCACAAGTCTGGCCTAAGAATGAGCTTACTGACTATTCTATATTGACTAAATCTTATTGACTGAATAAGGGGGTTTCCTTTTTTTTGTTTTTTTTGGAGACAGTGTCTTGATCTGTCTTGACTATTCTTGACTTGATCTATATTGACTATTCTTATTGACTTAAATCTGTGGGGTTTCTTTTTTTTTTTGAGACAGGGTGTCTTGATCTGTCACCCAGGCTGGAATGCAGTGGCACGATCTTGGCTTACTGCAACCTCCACCTTCTGGGTTCAAGCAATCCTCCCGTCTCAGCCTCCCAAGTAGCTGGGACTACAGGTGCAGTACCATGCCCAGCTAATTTTTTTACTTTTAGTAATGACGGGTCTCACTGTATTGCCTAGGCTTCTCAAACTTCTGGACTCAAGCAATATGCCTGCCTCCGCCTCC